>NC_000002.12:54735806-55038837 GCF_000001405.40 Homo sapiens
GTGAAGTCCAGATGTCTGCAGAGATTGTAAGGCAGCATCTGCCAGCTCTAACTAAATTTGTCTTTCCTGGCCTAGAAGAGTTTTACCCAAACATACAGAAGTAGGGCTTCGAGGGAAGACCCCTGGAGAAAGTGACTTTTGAAGGCTGAAGAGCGGTTTGGCAGGGAGGTGGAAAAAGAATGGGGAAGGAGGGAAAGACAGGGCAGGAACAGCTTATGCAGAGGCTCAGGGGCTTAAAATAGCAGGGTCCCTTGAAGCAAGAATAAGTAGCTCAATGTTACCAGAATGACAGATGAGAGTGAGGAGGGTACGGTGGGAGATGAAGCTGGAATAAGTGGGCTGGAGCTAGATAGCTAAGGGATTTACCGCTCATTCCACAAGTTATGGAGACCAGTGAGTTCATTTAAACAAGGCAAGAGAAGGCCAATTTACATTTTAGGAAGATCATTGCAGGAGTATTTCACTTTGTTTTTATTAACCTTTTCTTCTGATTCCTTTCTCCTCTTTTCCTTCAATGCCAGACTTCTCAGAAGAGGGAGCGTGGCATTGTGCATGGGGATTGGGGTCCCATGGGATTGAACACTGCATGGGCTCTGTCTCTAACCAGACATGTGACTTTGGGCATGGCAGTTACCTTTTCTGGGCCTCGGTTTCCTCATTTATAAATCCCTAAGATCCTTCCAAAATCTCTTCTAAGTTAAAGTCATGAGGTTCTTAGTTGTCTCCATTTACTGCCCCCGTTTTCTTTATCTCTCATTCACTTTTCAACATAGTGAACTGGTTTCTACTTCCGCCAGCCACTGGAGTTCTCTGGAGCGACTTCAGTGACCTCCATTGCTAGGTGGAGCCACATCGTGCTTAACCTCTTCACAGCACTGGGTCAGCTGATCACCTTCTCCTCAGTGCCTATCCTTTTCTTTCCTCATCATTGTGGTCCCCTGGTTTTCTCTTACCTCCCCTGCCCTTTGCCTCCTCTCCCTAGGCCTACCTGATACATACAGGGGCCGGTCAGTGTCACTGATGACATTTTCTTGCCAAAAATGCATGGCGTCAATCTAATAATGAGGAAACAGACCAATGCAAATTGAGGGACATTCTACAATACAACTGGTCTGGACTTGGCAAAAAATGTTATTCTTGTAAAAGACTAAAACAGATTGAGGGAATGTCCAGGTTAAAGGAGACTAGAATTATAGAACTAAATGCAATGTGTGACTTTGGATTGGGTGGAGAGGGGTTGCTATATATAACAGTATTGGGACAATTGGTGAAATTTGAATGTGGGACTATATATGAGGTAACAGCTTTGTGTCACTGTTAAATATTCTGAATTTGATTGTAGCAATGCAGGTATATAAGAGAATGTACTTATCTTAGAAGATGTGTGCTGAAATACTTAGGAGTGAAGAATCATGATGGCTGCAGTTTACTCTCAAATGGTTCAGTAACGATGACAGCAGCAGCGACAACAATAATAATGCATATGTTTTCTTTTTGTTTTTGTTTTTTTAAGATGGAGTCTCACTCTGTTACCCAGGTTGGAGTGCAGTGGCGCGATCTCGGCTCACTGCAACCTCTGCCTCCCGGGTTCAAGCGATTCTTCTGCCTCAGCCTTCTGAGTAGCTGGGATTATAGGCATGCGCCACCGTGCCTGGCTAATTTTTGTATTTTTAGTAGAGTCAGGGTTTCATCATTTTGGCCAGGCTGGTCTTGAACTCCTGACCTTAATAATGCATGTGTTTTATGTGTGTATGCATTGTCTTCTTCAAGGCATCTTTTCTCTCCTTTTCTCTTCATGCCATGCTCTTTTCCTAAGACCTCTTACCCACTGCCTCTTCCCTGCTTCCATCCTTGCCTTTCCCTTCTATTCTAAACACAGCAGCCAGAGTTATCTGGTTACAATAAGTAATTGCAGTCTTTGCTGTATAAGGTTGTGCGGTTGAACAGGTCGTGTCAATTCTCTGCCTTGAACCCTCAGAGGAAAAGCCAGAGTCCTTGTTATGGCTTCTGAGTCCCTACTTGGGGATTTGGCCCCTTTTACCTCTGCGATCCAGTCTGTTTTCCCTACATTCCTTGATCCACTCCAGCCACACTGGCCTTCTAGCTGCTGCTTGAATACCCAGGTGCTCTTCTGCCGCAGGGCCTTTGTACTCTTTTGCACTCTTTCTGCCTGGATCCTTGTCCCCTCAGACATTCACATGACATTACTCACTTCCCTTAGGTGCCTGATCAGTGTTACCTTAACTGATTACTCTATTTAAAATTCAAACTCTTCTCTAACACATTCCTTATTGCACATCCTTGTTTTTTTTTCCTTAGTATTTCTTTTGATCCATCTTGGCTCTTTAAAATATAAGCTGTATTTGGGCAGGGCTGTTTCATTCACTGCTCTGCCTACAGTTCTCATAATGGAGCCTGGCATGTAGAAGGTGCTTAAGAAGTGTTTGTTGAATGAACAAATGAAAGACTTGTGCATGACTTTTATTTGTTTTTGGATGATACCCTTAGAATTTCTGCTTAGAATAGGACTTCTTTTTTGTACCCCCTTTGACAGGCTATGAAGCCTATAGACACCATCTCAGAATAATAGGCTTGTTTGTTCTGTTTTACACTTTTATTGCAGTGTAATACAGATACAGAAAAGTACATATATCATAGTGTACAGCTGGATCAATTCTCACAAACCCAACACACCTGTAACCTTGCTCACATCAAAAAATCAATACCATCCATACCACAGACAGCACCTCATGCCCTTTTCCAGTGACAATCCCCACTGCAAAGGTGACCTCCATCCTCACTTTTAAGAGCATAGCTTAGTTTTGCTTAAGGTACTTTTAAAAGGAATGGTACAGTTTGCATTCTTTTATGTCTAGCTCCTTTCAGTCAATACTATGTTGATGAGATTCATTTGTGTTTCTACATGCTTATTTTCAGTTCTGTATTTTTTGTTGTGTGGAAATACTGGAGTTTATCTGTTCTACTGTTTATGGGCCTTTGGATGGTTTGCAGTTTCCTTTGGCTACTCGTACAAGCATTCTAGCACAAGTGAACATATATGCAGTTCCACCTAGGAGTGGTATTGTTAGGTCACGGGGTGCACATATGGTACTTGCTAGATACTGTCAAATGGTTTTCCAAAGTGGTTGCATCTGGCCAGATGCGGTGGCTCACTCCTGTAATCCCAGCACTTTGGGAGGCCAAGGTGGGCAGATCACATGAGACCAGGAGTTTGAGACCAAAGTGGTTGTGTCGATTTATACTTCCACCATCACAGAATAGTGTTTTCTCATGTATAAAGTAAAATATATACATATATTCTATAGGAAATTCTTTTGAAATATGGTTATAAAAATAGTTTTAATATGTAGGTATATGTTATATGTGCTTCTTTATTAACACATACAATTAAAAGTTTTAGTAGTTCTTATAATTACTATGATTTAAAAGTAGGGATGAATATACCTGATGTTTGAGATATCTGCAACAAATGTAATGTGATATGAAAATTCTGTGTTTTACCAGTCACAAGGTCGCAGGTGCTGCTAACACTTCTATGGTTTGTTGATTACCTTTTGAATGATAGGAAATCTTAGTGTGTTACAAGTTAGTGAAAATGAAGGTATAATTTTTAATCTAAGTTCATCAACCTCCTGAAATCTATAAAAGGGTACATGGACCCCCAGGTTAAGAAACCCTTAAGGAAAATGACTTACAACAAAGATTTCTTGAGTGCCTCCTGTGTGTCATACCCTGTGTGAGGCGCTGGGGACCCAGCAGCACACAGCACACAGCACACATCTCCTCTCAATGAACTTGCAGTCACGAGGGCAGGAGTCCACATATGCACAGCCAGATATGGTTAGTTACCCAAAGTGTGTGAGAGCCTCAGGACATACTCCTAGCCCATTCATGGGAGGCGGTTGGTGGTTAGGGAAGGCTTTCTGGAAGAAGGGGCATCATTAGATTTAGGCTGTATACCTGTCACTCTGGCTACAGTGTGGATAATGGATTGGAGGAAACAAGTCTGCAAGCACTTGAAGTAATCCAGGTGTGAAGTAATTGTGGTAGAATGCAAAGAGAACTATGAATACGTTCTGGAGACTCTTGATTCCTGGTGATGGATTGGATATGGGAGAGGGCATTGGGAGTAGGGTAGAAAGAAGGCAGGTAGGTGTAACGTAGTGGTCAAGTTTCTGACTTAGTCAGCTGGTTGAATGGTGATGACCATTCACTGAAACAGAATGAGGAGCAGCTTCAGGGTCAGGGGAGATGAGTTCAGCTTTGAACATATTTAGATTGAGGTGTCTGTGAGACATCCAAGAGGTGGTTATACATTTATATGGGCCCTTGCTCAGGAG
Organism: Homo sapiens; assembly: GCF_000001405.40. Lineage (NCBI taxonomy): Eukaryota > Metazoa > Chordata > Mammalia > Primates > Hominidae > Homo > Homo sapiens. Next base: position 54,740,168 of record NC_000002.12, read on the forward strand.
AGAGCTGTGAGAGTTTCAGTGTATGTGTAGGAGTGGGTGAGATACCCAGAGAAGGTAGGGAGGAAAGAAAAGATCCCAGGGTCAGGACTTTGAGAAAGATCAACTTTTTAGAAACCAGCAGATAAAGGGGTACTTATGAAAGATGGGAATGGTCACAGGGGTAGGAGGCAAACCAGGGAAGTAGAATGCCCTTGAAACCAAGAACAGAGAGAGTGTCAAGAAGATGCTCAGCAGACTCAGCAGAGTAGAAGAAGGTGAGTCTGGAAAACGGCCCAGTGGATTTAGCAATAAGAGGTCATTGATGAATTGCTTTTACTACATAAACACTGGGAATGATGATTTTTCTCTGGATTGTACTTTCATCTGGGTTTTAAGCTTTCTGTTATAGCAATACGAATGTCCAAGGGTCATTTCCTTTCAGGTTTACTTTTCTTCTTACATCTGCTTTATATATTTTCCTCATGCTCTAGTGAGTTTTATGCTGCAGTGGTAGTAGGCAGTCCTTTCAGCTTAATGACTTCTATCTCTAGCAGACTCTAGCTCTTTTTTTTTTTCTTGGGACAATAAGAGATATTGTTACAGATGTTGCTTCTTGGTAAAAAGACTTGCAGGCCTATTTTTCTGCAGAGTAGATATGAACACATTCACTTTGACTGGCCCTGTTTGTGTATGTGAGGGGTTGGCCTACTGATAATGACTTTGCAGGTCATCTTTCTTGCCTTGAGTGAAATTCAGTTTCTAGTCCATATGATAAAAATGTAATAGAAGAGATATAAATTCTATAAATTTATAATTATTTTCTTCCCAGAATGTCAACAACTTGGATTTTTTTATAATCTATGGGAGAAAAATGAGAAGCTACTTAAGTTAAACAAACGTGTTCAGTGCTTACTCTGTAAATGACAGTGCAGGCCACACGATCACAGCGATCCAGGCAGGAACCACTGAGTGCCTGGATACTCCTTCCCTCCTCATTCTTATTGTCCAGAGAGCCCCAAGTGCAGCTGATCTTGGCCTCTCTATCTTACTGCTTCTGCCCTGGTCCACATCCCTGGTTTTGTGTGGATGGTTACAATAGAGTACTAACTGGCCTCCTGGCTTTGATGGTTACTCCCCTAGCCCATCCTCTGCTCAAGAACCTGGTGAACTTAAACAAAAAAATTCAGATTTAATGAGCCCACTCCTAAGGATTCTGATTCAGTAGGTATAGGTGTGAGGCCCCAAAATCTGCATTTAAAAAGTTGCCATAGAAATATATATATAGGTGTATATAAATAAGTACACACGCACACACACACACACTTCCTTGCTCTTTCTGTTAAGATTACTAAGAAAGCAGTGACACATCAGCACCAGAAACATGACTAGCACCAAGAATTCAGTTTCTAAAGACTGTTCTCCACAAAAAAGAACAGAACTCCTTGGAGAAAAAGCTGATTCTAGGCCTGGGGCAGTGAAAGCACAAGATACATCTGGAATATCTTCTTGTGCTAGAAAATATAGCAGTGCTTAAAGAATAAGGGGAGATATTAAAATGACATGAGAGCCAGCTTGAAGGGACTTCCATTGGCGACATCTGGGATAATTTGAGCATGAATTATAATCTGTAGAATAAAATAAAAATCCTTGCATCCATAGTGATATAAATAACTCAATGGGGAGAAGGCAAAGCTCTTCCTTGTATAGAAAGCCAAGTATTAAATATAGCTGGAATGATGGAGTTAGAAAACCAATGGATGCTATAACTAGTGATGAAGTTTTGTTGAGAAACGTGATTTTACATTGTCCTCCACCACCAGATAGTTAATATTTACAAAGGACAAACAATAAGTACAGTGGAGAAACCTGGCAACCCACCATAACTAAATTCAAATTAACATTCATAACAATGGGACAAACCACACCATTAAAAGAAAAAAAGATTCCTCAAGTGGTTTTAGTCTCCAGAATTTCTGCTCTATGCTAGCACTGGAATTAGTGTTCTGTGGCACAGATCTGATCTGTCTCTGCCTTGCTTAAAAACTCCGGCCAACTCTATTGCTTCTGGAATGCGACCCTACCCCCACCTTTTTGCCATTATCTCTTGCCACAGCTCTGTTTCCCCGACTTTCCTACCTTTGGTCCCATCACCCATACTCCTTGCAGTAAGTCAAAGGGTATATGTGTCTCCATGTTACTGCCCACAGCCTTGCTGCTGAAAGTGCCTTCCAGGTCTCTGGAATCTGAATTTGTGGCAGATTCATATAAGCCAAGAGACAACTACAGTGTCACCATCTCTGTGAAGCCCTCCCTGATTTCATGGGGGCAGAACTAATGTCTGTTTCCTCCTTGCCACTGTAGCATTTTCTCCGTCTCTTAAACACGTCTCAATTCTGCTATGACTTTCCATTTGTGTGTCTCTCCACCCCAGTTATGCAGGCGACTGGCCCCTCTGTGTCCCGGAGGCTCTTTATGTGGTGGAAAAAGCTAGGGCTTCAGTGCCAGTCACACCTAGGTTTGAATCTGATTCTACCACTTCTTAGTTGTTACACAGCCAGCCTCAGCTTCTTCCTCTAGACACACTGGTAGATTGTTATTGAGAATTCAATTCAGTAAAGCATATAAGGAGCTTTGCAAAGTGAGTTGAAGAATGACATAAAAGAGAAAGAAACCTCACTCTAGGCCCTGAGTAAGTTTTTTCACACGTAAGTCCTCACTGAATTTCATCATTGATAGGTCTTTGGAAACTGTGACTTTAAACAAAACAATGTACAACAAACCAATTTTACCATCAGCCGATTGATATAAAGAGTTAAATTCCTACGCATATTTCTGGCCACAGGAAAATCACTAACCTAACTAAAGACCAAAATGCTTATCATATTAAACATTAAAGTAAATGGGAGCTATCTAGATGTTTAAGAAAAGTTAATAAAAACTAGTAAGATAATGATTTACTTGTTTATTCAGTTCAGGGTCCCGGGTGGCTGGAGCCTATCCCCGCAGCTCAGGGTACAAGGTGGGAACCAGCCCTGGACAGGACGCAGTCACGTCGCAGGGTGCACGCACATACACAGTTGCACTCATGTAGCACTCATGGAGACACACCAGTTCACTGAACATGCACATCTTTGGAATGTGGGAGGAAAGCAGAGCACCTGGAGAAAACCCTCGCAGACGTGGGGAGATCGTGCGAACTCCAAATGACAGTGGCCCTGGCCAGGAATTGATATTTTTTCTCATCAATGTTGTAACAAGACAATGTTATTCAAGGACCTGCTGTATATATCTATTATTTTCAAAGACGTATTTTATATATATGCATTTTTCCCTGTAATCCTGAAGAGAATTCAGAGGTATAGTTACATGGCTAGTAACCAACAGACCCAACTTTGAACCTATTTCTGACTCCAAAGCCATGTTCTTTCTATTACATGGGAACTCATAAACCAGGAGAGACAGAGCCAAAATTACCTTAAATAAGAAGCCCATAGTGAAAAATGTTAAGCTAGAGTTGTAGTCTCTAAACTTTTTTTGATTGTATACCTCTCTTGGTAAAATACTCTTGTGCAACTCCCACTATAGGAATATTTGTTTTTTTATATATTTATGTTATATACTTGTATTATTGTGCTAACATTATATTATAAAACACATATGACATTTACATTAAATTTATATGTGAATGCAATTTACATATAAATTTCTTACTATACTCCCCCAAATCATCTTGCACATATCTTTGAAAACCCCTGAACTAGAGAATAGAGGAAGGAAGGTAAATTTGACTAGTGGGGTTTTGGAAGAACCCATTCTGGAAGAGATGGCATTTGGGTGGCCTCTAGGAGGATGTTAGGAAGTTAGCTGGCACACTGGGTGGGGGAAAGCATTGCAGGTTGAGGTCACAGTTAGGATGAAGACAATGCATTGGACAATTCTGGGCATTTACATTGAACAATGGTAGTTGGGCCAGAGGAGAGTTGTGGGGGGTGGGGGGAATCTAGAAAATAATAATGTAGCACACTTAGAAATGCAGCTGTGAGACAGGCGGCCTTCTGAGCTAAAGAGATTGCTTTATGTTAGCAGTCTTTTGTGGGGAAAGGAAGGACCCATAATGGTGGTAGCCTAGAAGAAAACAAGAGCTGGCTGAGTGCCTAAGGGGCCAGAGGAAGGGATGTAAACCCATGGGAATGTCCTTGGGTGGCAAAGTGACCCCGAGGGATAAATTTGCAGGAACATGTAGGTGATTTCACATTTGGACTGGATAAAAATCCAAATGCGGAGGTGAGCCATGGAAGCTTTGAAAGATGTTAGTGACTGTGACTGGATCTGGATTTTAGACATACGGACTTATAAAAAAGTAGCATGGACAGGGGAGTGGGGTGTGCAGAGTCAGGGAGGCCAGTGTGAAGGAATGACCTCTGGAACGCAGAGCAGGGGGAGCAGGAGGGAGACAGTGGAGAGGCAAAGGGGGCATTCATGGGATGAGGAAGTGGGAGAGGGAGGAGCAAATGCATTAGATGACTAGGAAGTTGTGGGTCAGTTAGGGGAGAGAGGGACCGAGGAGGAGGATTGGGTTCTGGGGTGGGAGGATGGGGGCCTATTTCAGACATGCTGAGTTTGAGGTGCCTATTGAAAATTTAACTATGGACATTAGAAGTGCACAGAAGAGACCTTGCCTATTCAGGTGTCAGTCACCACTGTATTAGGTGCAACTAGAAGGATGGGAATGCATGTGTATAACACAACACACACACGTACACACACACACACACACACACACACACACACACACACACACACACACACACACACACCCTGCCATGCAGGCCTTCCCAGTGAGGGAGTGAGGGAAAGAAGGCATTGTGGGGTGCGGAGAAGAGGGCCTGCCTGCCTGCACACTGGTTTGGGGGAGTCTTTACAAGAGAAGGGATGCTGGAGGCGAGTCTTTAAGGCAGGAAGGATTCTCCGGGTATGAGGTCTAGGAAGACTGTCCTGCTATTGACTCCAGGGTAGATGAGAAGGACCAGGTTTGGTGAAGCAGAGAGGTATTACAGAACACTGAATTCAGTTTAGAAGTGGTTAATCTTGGGACAGACTATTCTTTTAAGGGTAACTTCCCAAGGAGGGAACAGGTTGGCAGTCTTGACTGCAGGTCTGATCTTCAGGAAGGTGGTTGGATGGAGATCCAGATGGGATAGTGCCTTCTATGAAAGGTAGCCAGATGGATAAAGGTGAGACTCATGTCACAGACACTGACTGAGTGCCTGCCAGGAGATACTGATGGAGGTTAACATATGGGTGAGGTGAAATGCATGTGAAATGAAAAGGCACAAGACCTTAAGACAGGCCAAGTCTGGTGGTCAATATCTGTAATCTCAGCACTTTGGAAGGCTGAGAGGGTAGGATCGCTCAAGCCCAAGAGTTCGAGATGAGCCTGGGTAACATGGCAAGACTCCGCCTCTACAAAAAAATAAAAATAAAATTAGCCAGGTGTGGTGGTGCACCTCTGTGGTCACAGCTGCTTGGGAGGCTGAGGAGAGAGTATTGCTTGAGCCCAGGAAATTGTGGCTGCAGTGAACCATATTCACTCCACCACACTCCAGCCTGGGTGACAGAGCAAGACCCTATCTCAAAAATAAAAAGAGCTTAAGATAAAACCATGGGGTACATCCTTCCCTTTAACTACTGAGGAGAGGAGAAGAAGCATGAAGGGGCCTGAGCAGGAGCAGAGTAGCCAGGAAGAATTGGAGAGGTTTAGGATTGTAAACCAAGGGAGGAGCAAAATTGTAAACCAAATTGTAAGCCAAGGGAGGAGCGAAAGACTCTGCATGTGTTTTGCTGGAGCTGGTGGTGGAGGAAGTGGAGGTGGGGTCAACTGTGGAGCTGTGCAAAAAGATGGACCAGGATTGAGACTCAAAAGAGGTTAAGGGAAGAACAATTTCATTCCAATGGTATGGGGCAGAATCCAAATTGCTAGAACAATGAGTAAGAATGAAAATGTGGAGGCAATGGGAAAGTGTAGCCTAATTAGGGCAAGGCATTTCCTGGTATCTGGAAGATTTAAGAGTTGTCTTGCTAATAGGCACCTATTCTGGGAGATTCAACATGCCCAAGATGCCATCTGTTTCAGTAGGGAATACTGAATGAAGGTGCAGGTTGACCATCGACTGTGTCTCTTTTTCTCAAAATGATCCTTAATCAAGAGGACATATCTGCTTTGATGGAGCAACAAGTCAGAGGTTTGAAAATCTATTTATTGTTTTCCTTGGGTACAGGCTTGTGATTTCGTTTGTTTTTATGGTGGTTAATTATTCCTGAAATTTCAAGATATATACAACATTCTGTTTAAGGGCTTTGTCAAAAATAAAAATATAAAGAAGAGAGAAAAAGAAAAGAGTGTTGTTGTTGTTACTAATCCTTATAGTATGTCACACTGCGAAGACTGATTTATAGGTGCAAATTTTACAGAATTCAGGACTTAGTTTTTTTCTGAGTTATAGCATCTTTTTTTCTCTTTAAGCGACTTTTTTGTTTTATAGCTAGAAAACGATTGATCTGTTTATAGGTATTTAATTCCATACGTGTCCTAGTTTCATCTAATTCTCCTTTGAATCTCAAAAGCTAATTCAGCAGCTAGCTTTTTCTTTCTGGGTACCACACAAAAATAAAAAATCAAATTTCCAGCAATAAATCAATGGAAATGTTAGAGCAGTACTGTGCCACGAGTGATCAGTGATTGGCCATAGATGCCACATCAAGGAAGCAGTCACTCAGTAGATATCCCAGGAGTGTTTTTTACTGAATGTCAATTACTGAATGTCTAACTTACTTTCTCTGGCACTGTATGCACTTCAAAGAGACTGCAGTATGAGCGCTGTGTATTTTCTACAGCCTGTGCTCATTCAAATCTTCATTTGACCTTTTCCCTTGTGTTCACAGGAATCTTAACTATAGGATTTTAAAAGTGATTTTATTAAATATCAAGGAGATACATAACATTTTGGTAAATATGTAAAGTGTAAGTAATAATTAAAGATTTTTAGAACTTCACCAAATGTCACCACTGTGTTGGTGGGTAAAATGCTACACTTGTTTTTCTAATTAGAACACCCTATGCAGTGACCTGAGAGTCCAAGGGCTTCATGTTTTCAGAGCGGGTCACTTCACCTTTTCAGCCATGACAGAAGCAAATCTAGCCGAGGATACCCTTTCTTTTCATGCCAAGTGTGCTTTCTGCATAATAAGGTAAAAGGTCTGCTAGACTGATGTTCAGGTGGTGGCAACATACTACTATAGGACAAGATCCTGAAATTCAAAATAGTGGGAGTTAATAATGGGACATTTTGTGAAATGACTAAAAACAAACTCATTAACTTATATATTCTTTGGTAACCTTACTTATCACTAGGCTAGGAGAAAATTAGTATGCATGTCTGAAACCCACATAAAGAATGAACTTAATTCTTGCTTAAGACTAAAATGGCAATAAAAAGTGGTAATTGTAAGGGAAATTGGAACTTTAAGTAAACTTATTTGAGGCTCTTTGTTTTATTTTATTTGGGCCCTAAGCAAAAATTACTGTACTAATTAGCATGATTGATTTCATCCCATGTTATTTATCCTTAAGATATGAAATTATGAAAAAAACTTTGAGATACATGTGAAAAAATGTTAAACAGTTCTTGTTTCTACTAGTATACTCATTTTAATCTTCTTTATTTATAACTACATTATACAAATTTATCTAGGATTTTTACTTTATATTAATACTTGGATTACAGAACTGAGTCATTATTACTTATCCTAATTTTGTGCTTGGTTAAATTTTGTTACAATTTATAGGTTTAGAAACTTTCACTTTAAAATGTGCAAGGTATTCCAGTAATTCTGGGGAAAATGGGTTCCTTATAGTGAAGATTATTACAAAAATTATAATGGGTAAAATTGTTTATTAATTCTGGCAAGACACCAAAAAGAAATTATAGTAGTTGACAGAAAACTCAGAAAAAATAAACTGTAAGAGAACATAGGAAATTATCAAAACTATGATTATATGGTGTCAAAGAAAGACTCAATAAAACTTTATTTCCTTTTCATACGAAAAGATTTGCCCCAGTACCTTTGGTGGGCATAATTTTTATATGATTCTTAGTTGAAGCTATAAACTAAAAATCATGGGTGTTATTAAAAGCTGTCTTCTAAGATCCTACCTGGATTGGGAGAATATGGAATCTGGTTTTGGTTTTTCTTCTTCAGGCTAAAGGGCCAGAGTATCTTGTTTGCTGTCTTCATCACTGGTCCAGCACAAGGCCTAGTATAGGGAGGACACTCAACACATTTTTGTTGACTTGAATTGACTCAGAGGCCAGTGTTTACATACATTGTGGCTACCAGAAGAACCCCTGGACTTCTTTTTATTGGGGGGCAGGGAACAGGATTGCACTCTGTAGCCTACACTGGAGTGCAGTGGTAGGATCATGGCTCACTGCAGATTCAACCTCCTGGACTCAAATGATCCTCTCACCCTAGCCTCCTGAGTAGCTGGGACTACAGGTGCATGCCACACTCTCTGCTAATTTTTTATTTTTATTTTTGTAGAGACAGGGTCTTGCTTTGTTGCCCAGGCTGGGCTCAAACTCCTGGCATCAAGCAATCCTCCCACCTTGGCCTTTTAAAATGCTGGGATTACAGGTCTGCGCCACTGTCCCTGGCCAGAATCCCTGGACTTCTAATTTGTCAGTTCAATCTTGGTTTTATGTCTAAGCCTTCATATCGATGGACATTTAGATTGTTGACTATTATGAACACTGTTGTAGCACACATCCTTATGTATACTTTCTAGAGTATATGCGTGTTTCTGTAGCAGATATTTCTAGAAGTAGAATGGCCAGGGTCAAGGAATGTGTATACTTTGTATTGTGATAGATGTTGACAAATTGCCTTTCAAAAAGAGATGTACCAATGGACATGTAGGAAAATGATATTCCTGACGGCTTCCTCTGCTCTTATATCACATTAGTTTTAACTCTCTTAAAGACAGAAAGAATGTGGAAATTTTAAAGTTAAGAAAGTAAAGCATTCATGGGTGAAAATAATAAACAATGTTTCTTCTTTTCTGTTTGGTCTCTTTCATGGTAAATGCCTACATTTACACATGTGAAGACTCACAGAAATAGTCTATTAAAATAATAAACATTATATTCAAATATAATAATCTTATATTCAAATATCTTGGGCTTGATCATTTAATATGTGATTGTTTAATTGCTGTCATAACATAAATAGGGATTTATCATACTGTCTTTTCTATAGAGTTGTCCTACCAATAATATATATTATCGATGCAGAGAGAAGATAAAACCAACATTTTATAATGTGTACCTTATTGATTAATAATATGTAATTATATACTTCATATATATGTGATTTATATTACCTATTATTATGTACTGGGCACGCTGAGCATTTTGCATACATTACCTTATTTAATGCTCACAAAAAATTTTTGAGGTAGATACTATTATTCCCTGTTTACTGAAGAAGAAACTGAGGCCTGGAGTATTTAAGTAATTTGCCCCAAAACATCCAGCTAGTAGCTGTCAAACAGGAGTTAAACCCAGGCGTCTCTCACCCCACACCCCAGCTGCCTAATTTACGTAATTGTCTGGCATATTTTAGTCACTCAGTTATTGTCATCTGATGGTAAGAATCAGGGATATTTTTCAAAGAAAAATAATGACATGAATTTAACATGAACTCCCATCACGGTATGTCCATTTGAGGCTTTCAGAGAGGTCCCTACTGAAAAAACTAGCCCTCTTCTAAGAATTTCTGCTTGACACTAGGTCCAGATCAATTTTTTTCCTTGATGTTTGCTGAAAGCAATGGCAACAATTCCTGTCACCTGTTTCTTGAACAAGGGAAGTACTTTGGCACAGAGCAGGGCCCTGCCACGGTGAGCTCCAGGACTATCCATCGTGCACTGTCCACAATACCCCCTTGGCCTGGCTGCCCAGCCTGAGGGCCCGATATTTGGCTTTTGGATATGGCCCAGGAAGAACTCAGGTGACATGCAGATTGATAATATTTGACTCCTGGGACGGGACTCAAGCTTTAGACCTGGAATGGCCAAGCTGGAACTCTGCCATTCCGATGGCTTCATAGCTACTTACTCACCAGCCAGTCTACAGCATTAGGTTGCTTGCTCCTCTGGGAAGCCATAAAGAGCTGGTGTGAGCAGTTAGCTTATTGGCATCACCACCACAGTTTTTTGGTGTTTAGAGACTTTCAGTTCAGGGTAACAGAACCCAACTCAAATTGGCCTAAGGAAACAAAGGAATTTAGTGGCTTATGCCACTGGAAAGTTCTAGATTGGTGCTGACATCAGAGCCTACAGGGACTCAGATGACTGTCAGTAGTATCTTAGACTCTCCCTTTCTCCATCTCTTGGCTGTGTTTCTCTCCGGTCGTTGGCCTCATTCTTTCCTTCTGCTGGCCGATTTTTTTGAACCTATGGGTATAGGCAGTATGTTGATGCCAATGGTCATGGGTGGCTTCTGGTTTCCAGCCTCTCAGCTCAAGACCTCAGAGGAAACAGGGAGCTTTCCTAGCAACAGATTGTAAAGTTACAGGGAAGGACACTCTGGCCTTGCCTGGGTAATGTGACCATTTTAGACATATGACTGTAGCCCAGAATGGGTATCATGGTTGTCCGATCAGTGCAAGAAATTGTGATTGGCAGTCCTCCCCGAGCCACATGGGATGGGGAAGGGCCAATTTTTTTAAAAAGGGGAGAAGAGTTATTACCAGAAGAAAGGGAAAGAAATGTTGAGCTTACTAAAACAATATGTATTTCAAAGTGGTAGTTACAAGAAAGCCTGGAAAATAATAGGATGTTGAGCTTGACGCATCATTCAGAGAACAGATGAGTCCAGGAAACAATAGATCCCTGCTTGTTATCTCTTTGAAAGGGATGGTTGCCTTCACCAATATCTTTTTAGGTTGAGAATCAGATCCATGTTTTATGGTGACAAAGACAATTTACTTGGGCAAAGGGCAGAATCATCTGGGCATGTTAAATAGCAAATATGAAACCTGCATATTGGATTACTGGTGTGGAGGACAGGGATCACTTCCTTAGTGTAGTTCCTGAGAAACACACGGGGATGTAAAGGAGCTTGGGCATGAGCTTATCTTGGAGGACTCTAATGGGAGTATAGATAAAATGGAAGCTTCTGAACAGAAGATTCCCTTTGAATACTGAGCAGAAGGTTCACAAGGAACTTTAGTTATTTTATGCAAAGCACAAGGGAACAGAGAGGATTAAATTAGAGCTTCTGCTTCCAGAAAAAGAAAAAAAAATAGGATAAGTTTAAAGGAAGAGAAGCTTACAAAAGGAAGGACAAATGCTCCGCAGCACACAGTAATACCCCGTCCCCTCAACCTTCCATCCCCCATATCCTTATCAAACTTTAGACAGATTTTTAAAAATCACTGAAGTTATTTTGTGGGCCTATATTTAAAATTTATTTTTCAGTTTAGACAGAACATGTTATTCCATGTTGGCACACAGTAGCCTAAAAGTTGTCTTGGTTGACCGTGCAAGGTTTGTTATGCTGAATATATAGTGCCATTTATTGTTAACTTCTGGCTAATAAATGTCTTCAATTTGCTTTCTGAAAACTGAGGCAGTTAGAGGGTATCAAAAAGAGGATGAAACTTTTATCATCCAGTTTCAAGAAATAAGGGTGATAGGCCTTTGGGTTTCATAATGATAACTGGAATCCTTTAAGGGTTTGCATTTTGTGTATTTAACTATTTTGAAGGTAAACTTCAGCAGCCTCTATTTGTAACTTAGGCTTCCAAAACTTTCTTCCTTCTTTCCCACCTTAAGGATGAGTGCACTTTAGGGCATCATTTTCAGCATGTCTAGCGTGCCAGTGTTTTTCATTACACTGTGTTTAAATTACATGCTCTACTTAGGTTTGTTGGGAACCTCACAGAATCTCAGTTCTGCTGTTTTTTAAAAGTTACTTTTTTTCCACCATTATAATACCTATATTTACTCATTAAACAAAATTTTAAAAATAAGACAAGAAAGGAAAAAATTATTCATAGTTGAACCCCAAATATCTGTTCACATTTTTGTGAACTTCTTAATTGAAATATAACACATATATAAAAAAGTATAAAAATTATGTGTTTATGATGAAATTTAGCAAGGTTAATATACCCATATAACTACTACCCAGATCAAGAAATAGAACATTAATGCAGCCTGGAACCTCTCACCTACCACTTCCCAGTCATTATGCCCTCTTGAAGATAACCACTATTCTGACTCCTCTTATGTAGATATGTTTTGCCTGATATTGAACTTTATAAAAATTGAATAATAAAATATGTTCTCTTTTGTGTGGGGCTGAATTATTCAACATTTGTCAATGAAATTCATGCATGTTGTAGTAGATAGCATTCGTTCATTCTTTTTCATTGCTGTATAGTATTCTACTGTGTGAATATAATTTATTCTGTACTTGCTCTTAGCCAAAAGGCCAAGAAGTGATAAATATAATTTATTGTGTTCACTATTGGACATTTGGGTTGTTTTCACTTTGAGTCTACTATAAATAATGCTTCTTTTTAAACCTTTTTTTTGAGACAGAGTCTTACTTTGTCACCCAGGCTGGAGTGCAGTGGCACGATCACGGCTTACTGCAACCTCTGCCTCCCAGGTTCAAGCGATTCTCCTGCCTCAGCCTCCCAAGTAGCTGGTGCCACAGGCATCCGCCACCACACCCAGCTAATTTTTGGATTTTTAGTAGAGGCGGGGTTTCACCATGTTGGCCAGGCTGGTCTCGAACTCCGTGAGTCACGGTGCCCGGCTACATTCTTATACATGTCTTTTGACACCTGGATCATAGGGCATGCACATGTTTAGCCTTAATAGGTATATTACCAAATGGTTTTACCAATTTATATACCACTAATGTATGAGAGTTCTAGTTTCTCCACATTCTTGCCAAGACTTGGTATTGAATGTCTTTTTCAGTTTTAATTATCCTGGTGTGGAGTACCACATTGTGTTTTTAATTTTATTTTCTCTGATCATCAATAACATTGAGCACTAGTGTAGTCACAATGATGTTCCTCTAAAGATATATCGATGTCCTGATCCCTGGAGCCTGTGAATATGTGACATTACATGGCAAAAGGGACTTTATCAATGTAATTAAGTTAAGGATCTTAAAATGAGGAGCTTATCCTGGATTATCCCAGTGGGCTCAATGTAATCATAAAGGTCCTTATAAGTGAGAGTGACAGGGAGTCAGAGAAGGAGATGCCATGATGGAAGTAGTGATGCTATGAGGAAGGCTCGACTGACCATTGCTGGCTTTGAAGATGAAAGGGACCTGCTAGCCAAGAAATGTGGGCAGCCTCTAGAAGGTAGAAAAAGCAGAGGAACAGAGTCTCCCAGTCTCCCTAGGGCCCCCAGTAAGAATGCAGTCCTGAGTTTTTTTTTTTTTTTTTTTGAGAGACTGGGTCTGATTCTGTGGCTCAAACTGGAGTGCAGTGGTACAGTCATAGCTCACTGCAGCCTCGAACTCCAGGCCTCAAGCTCAAGTGATTCTCTGGCCTCAGCCTCCCGAGTAGTTGGGACTACAGGTGCACATCACCATGTCTGGCTAATTAAAAAAATTTTTTTGGCTGGGCGCGATGGCTCACACCTGTAATCCCAGCACTTTGGGAGACCAAGGCGGGTGGATCACGAGGTCAGGAGTTCGAGACCAGCCTGACCAACATGGTGACTCCCTGTCTCTACTAAAAATAGAAAAATTAGCCGGGTGTGGCAGCCTGCACCTGTAGTCCCAGTTACTCGGGAGGCTGAGGCAGGAGAATTGCTTGAACCCAGGAGGCGGAGGTTGCAGTGAGTCGAGATCACACCACTGCATTCCAGTCTGGGAGACAGAGCGAGACTCCGTCTCAAAAAAAAAAATTTTTTTTTTTTTTAGAGACAGAATCTTGCTACGTTACCCAAGCTGGCCTCAAACTCCTGGCCTCAAGCAATCCTCCTGCCTCAGCCTCTTGAGTTAGCTGCGATTACAGGTGGGAGCCACTGCACCTGTCTTGAAAATCTGACCACTAGTCAGCCTTGAAAATCTTGATTTTCGTTCATTGAGACACATTTTGGACACCTGACTTTCAGAACTGTAAGTTAGTACATTTGTGTTGTTTGAAGCCACTAAGTTCATGGTAATTTCCTATTATGGCAGCAATAGGAAACTAGTACAAGCACCTTTTCATGTGCTTAGTGACCATTTTGATACCCTCTTTTGTGAAGTGCCTCTTCAGGTCTTTTTGACCATTTGAAATAACTGGGTTGCCTGTCTTTTTCTTATTGATATATATGAGTTATTTATATATACTGGATATGAGTACTTTGTCAATTCTATATTTCAAATATCTTCTCCCATTCTGTGGCTTGCATTTGTATTCTTTGATGATCAGACATTCTTTATTTAGTGAAGTCCAATTTATCAATCTTTATCAATCTTTTACTTTATGATTAGTGCTGTCTGGGTCCTGTTAATGAAATATTTCCCCAATTCAGGGTTATGTAAAGATTTTCCTATGTAATCTTCTCAAAACGGCACTGTCCAGTAGAACTTTCTGAAGTGCAGAAATGTTCTATGTTTGTACTGTCCAGTGGTAGCCCACTAGTCACATTTGGCTACTGGCCACTTAAAATGTGGTTAGTGAAAGCTAAATTTTAAATTTTATTAGATTTTAATTAATTCAAAATTAAATGTAGTTAGTCACATGTAGCTAGTGGTTACCACAATGGATACCACAGTTCCAGAAACTTTATTGATTTACCTTTAAAATTTAGGTCTGTGATCCAATGGAAATGATTTTATGAGATGGTCATGATTAGCAATTTGTTTTTTAAATACAGATATACAGTTAACCCAGATCTATTATTGAAAAGATCATTTTTTAACCCATTGAACTAGTGGCAACCTTGTCATAAATCAGGCAGCCCTAATAAGTCTGTTTCTGGATTCCATTCTGATCCATTAGTCTTCATCCTTGCACTGACGCCACGCTGTTTTAATTACTGCAGTTTGAACTCTGAGAATATAACCTCTCTGACTTTGTGGTACTTCTTCAGAGTTGTCTTGAGTATTCTGCGTCCTTTGTATTTCTGTATCAGTTTTAGAATTGATCTGTCAATTTCCATTAAAAACCTGCTGATATTTTGATTGAGATTATATTGATTGTATAAATCACTTTGGAGAGAATTGACATCTTTATAATATTGAGTCTTCCAATCCATGAAAATGATATATCCCTCTACTTTGTTCTCTTAGTAATGGTTTATAATTTTCTGGAGGAAGTCTTATCCATCTTTTGATGTTCATCTCTACGTATTTGATGGGTTTTGATGCTATTGCAGATGGTATACTTTCAATGTTCATTTTCTAATTATTTTTGCTAGTATATAGAAATATAATTTTTTAGTTTTTTCGAGACAGGGTTTGGCTCTGTTACTCAGACTGGAGTGCAGTGGTGTGATCTCAGCTCACTGCACCCTCCACCTCCCAGGCTCAAGCGATCCTCCCACCTCAGCCTCTGAGTAGCTGGGACTACAGGTGCAGGCAACCACGCCTGGCTAATTTTTCTATTTTTAGTAGAGACGGAGTTTCATCATGTTGCCCAGGGTGGTTCTGCTTAGGTTTTTAACCTCTTAACCGCTGTTTTCTGCTTGGCTAAGAAAGCTCTTCCTTCTTGTATGTACTGGTTAGGAATCGGCAAATACCTTAAGGGGAAATTGTATGCAGAGGGTTGGACTTTCCTCTCTGCCATACCATTTTTAATTTGGATCTTGGCCCTCTTCCTTAAGTTTAGGCTGCCTTGGAAGCCCTGAATTCTAAGTTTTGTTTCTCTCATTCAGTGAGAATGCCGTGAGCGATAGGTGGCAGTTTCTGCTTACCCTCTGGGCTCTGCACTGCAAATTGGTAAATGCCCCAAGGAGGCAGAGTGGGTGAAATTTAGGGCTTACTTTAATGTTCAGGGCATTGCTCTTCTGTCAGGATCCCTGCCCCTAAAATTCCTCCTGCTTTGGTTTGTTCATCAGTGTCTTCAATCGACTGTGCTCTTTAATTTTATCTAGCTTTTATAGAAGTTCTCAATGGAAAGGTTGGTAGAATAAAATTCACTTTGTCCAACACAGAGTGGATGTCTAAATGTTAACATTTTAATGGATATTCATTCTGTTTCCTTTAATGTGCTTATGTTTTTATGTCTGTGAGCATGCTGTTTATACAAGTTTGGGTTTTGGTCCTGATTTTATATTGTCATACACAGCAGTTTCTTGAACCATTTCTCTTGTATTTGGGCAGTAGGGTGTTTCTTTTATTTTCCTTTTTAAAAAAATCTTTTTTTAAGTTTATATTTTCCTTTTTATAAATGATGTTCTCAGGAGCATTTTTTTCTACAAAAAGCCTTTTTTTTGATTTGGGGTTATTTTCTTAAAAGGTAGGATTTCTAATTTATTTTTGTTGTGGTTTTCTCTGATACTCTGGGTCATTATTCCTGGCATACTGAAATTTAACAATAATGTGGCTTTGTTTGGGTCTTCCATCCATTGATCTTGCCTTTTTTGGGCCTTTCAACCTACAAACTCCTGAGTCTCAGTTCTGGAATGTTTTCTTGCCTTCCTTTCCATTCTCTTTGCTCTTTCTTCTTCAAAGCTTTTTGGTAGTTTTGAGACCTCCTGGATCTGTAATTGTAATCCTATTTTCCTTATTATTATTGTTTTCTATTTTCTGGTAGATTTTTCTATTTTGTCATTCAAATCGGTTGAATTTTTATTTTTATATTTTATATTTTAAAATGCTTTTTAAAAATTTACTGAATTTTTCTTTTTTATACCTTCTTGTTTCAATATATTGCCATATTTTTTCTTTTTTCTGAGTATATTAATTATGTCCCTCCCTTATGTCTCCTTCCTTTTCTCTGTCACCTCAGCATTCCCTTTTTCTCCTGTATATTTGTATTGGTCTTTAACTTTTAGGTTCAAGGCTTTCATCAGATGTTGGGCAGGCTTTGGCTCTCTTTGTATTTAAGAGCAAGACCCCTGAAAGCAAATTGGGAGCTCTATATGAGGGGCAGTGTTGATGAGTGGTTTCACCATAGGGTGTTAAGGTGGTGCACCGCCTTTGCAATGGAGGATGCTGTAATACAATGTCAGGATGGAGGGGCATTTTCTCTTGTGTTGGTCAGTTTCCCCAGAAAGGAACCTCCAATCTCTTGCCTGGGGGTGACCGTGGGGTATGCAGTATACCTGGTGGCAAGTGTTCCAGGAGTAAAATGGAGAGAGGTTTTATGGTTCACAAGGCCGCCGACTCACTTAACTTCCTGTATGAGCTTTCCTCAGCTGGGCAGCCCCAGAGAGTAAATCTCCAGAGTTCTGCTGGGTGAGAGGAGGATTCTGGTGGACTCACTGTTCTTTACACAAGCTCTCAACTAGTCCTCCTACTTTCACCCCCTCCCTCCACTCCAGCCTTCAGGATATGTATCTGCAAGGCCCTGAGCCTTTCCAGGTTTCCGGCTGTGAGCTGGCTGCTTCTTTCTGACTTCCCCCTTCTTCCTCCCACCCTCGCCCTGGTAGGCTTAGATTTCTTAGGGTTCTAAAATCAGTCACCACTTACTCATTTGCTTTCCAGCTCCTTTTTTTTTTTTTTTCTTCAAGGTTTCTTTTGCATACTTTATCCTTTCTTCTTGTTCTCTTTGTCTTTGTGGGCCTGTGTCTTTTAAAATAACTCCCTATCTTTTCAATTTGGCAAGAAGCATAGATAAATGCTTTAAAACTGAAAGTCTTGCATTGGATTTTGAATGCCAGTCACCGTAATTTTCATTTCTATGAGTTTTATTTGACTTTCACTTTTCTTCTGTTCTCGTATGCATTATTCTTACCATGTGATATCTACACCTTCATCTTTTTATTGATTTTAAATAGATTTAAAATCTTTCCAGCTGTTCTATTGTTTTCAAGTCCTGAAGGGAGAGGGGAGTGGGTGGAAAGAAGGGATGCTAATTGTCTTGCTTGCTGTGTCTCCTGAGTCTTCCTTACAGTGACTTGTTTTCTTTGTCCAGTGTAATACTATTTCTGGTGGGAGTCCTGTATGTCCTGGTTGTGGAGACATCCCTACAGAGTAGGTTTTGCCTTGCTTCTGATGGCCCAGAATGTGCTCTTATAGTTTCTCTTATTTCTGGACCTCTATACGTGTGGTTTCAGAAATGTTCTATTTTCTCATCTTTGCTTCACTGTCTCTTACTAATCTCTCAGATCTCTGTTTAGAAGTGATTTTCTCTGGGACGGTTTTCCCAGTCCCCCATTCCCTGTATTGTCCCCTAGTATATTATACTTCCTCCAACGTAGTACTTATTACCCTGTAGTATATCATCCATTTGTTTGTCTCTCTCTTCCTTGTGACTGATTCTGGAAGACAGGATCATGTTATCTTGTTCACTGTTAAATATCTAGTGCCTACCAAAGTACCTGGCCCAAACCAGGTGTCAGTAAATATTTTATAAAAGAATATGATGCTATATCTTGTTTTAAGAGGCTTTGCAGGGATGGGTTACAGATTGGTCTGAGAGCATTGTTTTTTTAATCCCAGTTTTGCTACATTCCAGGTGACACTCCTTCATAGAGCAATGTAGGGTAATGCAGGGGTGCTCTGCAAACATAAAATATGGGTGGTTCATAAGTTGCCTTTTTGAGCTATAGATTTTCTTCCTGTTTTCATCACTTCCACATATAGTACATAATGGATCACACACTTGAAAACAAAAAATAGGGATGGAGTGCTTGGCACTCAGCACACGACCCAGTATTCTTGTGTGGCTCCCTCTTAGACCCAGTGAAGCAGCCTCCATTAGGTGGATGTTTTCAATTCCATTTTCCATTTGTGAAATGTGTGATTATGAAACAGCTGTGTAACAGTCTGTTGTGTCTAGCATGTCTTCTTTTCAGGTAGTAGGAAATGACAAGTTCATACTAGATGAATAATAATATGCATATCTGATAATTAGGCCCACAGTTTACAGTGGCTTTGACTGGTATTTCATGTAGCTATCTTCAAAACTTGAGTTTAGGAATACTGTCCAAAGAATTTTTTTTATAGCTAATTGAATGAGTAACCTTGGTTTTCTGGAGTATTTTATGGTAATACTAGAAAGAATAGTGGTGGTAACTATTATAAGATCATGGGGGAAGTGCTAAAATGAGTCACTTATTTTGGAAATAGCAATAATATTATTTGCTAATATTTATTGAATGCTGACTAAACGCATAGTAACTTTATTCATTTAAGGAGCTTTTAAAGGTTTTATAGAGTTTTTAAAAGTCATAAATTCAGACATAAATTAGCAATGGATGCCAAATCTGGGGGAGAGAGAAAAACTTTAAAAACTCTAAAAACTTTACATGTACCAACTCATTTAAATCTAAAGAAAAGTTGGATTTATACCAACACATCTTCATCACCAAGCTAGCATGTGAATGCTCAGGAGAGAGCATGCAGAATCTGCTCAAAATGGAGACATTTTAACTATATCCCAATGTTAGGCTGTGCTAAGGTGATCCAAGAGTGAAGTTCGAGGTTGGACAAAATTAGATGTAATTAATAGTTGAGGAAACTTCCTTCCCTCCATATATATATATATAAAATCTTTGTTTACATATAATATATATTTATATATATTTTAATGATTAAGTGTAGGTGAGAAATAAGATAACTTGCTCTAGATATCAGCAGGATCATTATACACAGCAGGATCAAGACTCCGGCTCCGATTCTGGGCCATTACTCTGATGCATTAAGAATGTTAGTAATTTAAATAGCCTAACTTCCAGTTTTTCTCAGTTTCCACTATTTTGTAGTCAAATTGATCTTGGTCTTAGATTTATTTAGTGTTTGACTCGATCCATATTTTTAATCATTGAAAATTAATTTTTAACTACTTAAGTAATACATGAATAAGTTTTCTTTTTTTTTTTTTAATTTTAGAACATTCCAAATGAAGCTTTCATTTCCTGTCCTGGTCTCCCTCCATGCTCCCCAGATATTCACTACTGCTATGAGTTTGGTATATATTTTTCAGATCTTTATATTCACGTACTACCCAAGAACATAACAGAGTATTGCTTTATGCATGTGCTTGATTTCTTTACATAAATTCCCCTATTGACAGACTTCTAGGTTCTTTTGCTTTTCAAACAGTGTTTCAGTGAATCCTTGCACACATGGGAGAGTGGCCCTCTAGGGAGATATCTAGAGGTGGACTTGGTTAGTCACAGGTATGCCCATTTTCAGTTTCAATATAGCCTAGAATTGCAGTACCTAGAGGCAGCAGGCTTGCAGAGTACCTGTTTCCCTACCATCTGGCCGGTATATGACACTATCAAATTCAATTTGTTTTGCCAAATGTAATTTTATCTGGGTTTTCTTTCTTATATGAAGAAGTAAGTTTCTATCTTTCCCTTATACAAACAAACCTTGACAGAGAATCACTGCTTTTGTCCTGGAATTCGGAAGATTTCAAAGATGGGAGGTGTACATGAGATCCATTCTCTCTCCCCATTGCTTTGAAGTTGAGGGAGCATTTTTTTTTTTTTTTTTTTTTTTACTAGAAAAAGAATCTGGGACAGACTGAAAGATGGAAGTTACTCTGTGTCTGGGAAATACAAACCTCCTGAATCTAGAAGCATGAGGCTTAGTATGATGAATGGTGACCAATAATGTTTTTATTAATCTGGGAAGTACTGAGTTTGGTAATCAGTATCTTTGAGGTTTATGCTAGTGAAGTTAATCCCAAGGCATTTGAGAAACTAGATTTCAGCTTCTCTGCTTTATGGTTTTAATTCCACTTTATTCTTAGTGGTAGTGCAGCCAAATGATAATAACTCTCATCATTGTTGAGAAATTGTTTTCCATATGGTTATTTCATCTGAGAATATGATTTTAAACAGACTACCAAAGTCATAGTACTCCCAGTTTGTGGAACGGACTTGTTTAATGTTATAAACTTGAATTTTGCAGTTTTGTGAACCAAAAAATATGATAATAAACAATACGCTTTGTTTCTTTTTTATTAATGCTTAACTGAAAAAAAAGCATAAATGAAGGTGCTTATTTTTATTAATTGGGGAAATACCAGGGATTAAACAAAGCTTAGTCCTTCAGTGTTTATAATTTCTGGTAAGAAAGTTGAATAAGGTATTTCCCCTTTTCAGAGCAGCTTACTAGTTTTATCTGAGGTATATAATATGTGAATGTAATTAAATTATCAAATTTGGTTGATCATTTAAAAAATCACAAAGGCATAAAAGTGGACATTTATGAATCACATTGCAATTTGGTCAAAAGTGATTCTTTCACTAACATAAATCATAAACTCTGTGGATATAGCTTGACTTTAATTTGTCTGAATTATGATATGGAAATGTTTAAAATGGTCAAAAATAGTTGAGGTACCTATGCTTTAAGTTTAAAATATAAGTCTATTTAAACTTATTTTGGAATCATTTCAAACTTGTAGAAAAATAGCAAGAATAGTCCACAGATTTCATCCATTTTTAGTATTTTGACACATTTTCTTTGTTATTCTTTCTCTTTATAGATACGCATTAGTATTGCTTTTTTTTTTGGAATCACTTGAAAGTAGGTTGAATGCATCATTCCCTTTTACCCTTAATACTAAAACATGTAATTTTAAGAATAAGGATAGTCACTTGTATAACCACAGTATGGTTATTAAATTCAGGAAATTTAATGTTGACACAATACTGTTATCTGCTCTATATTCTTCTTTAGTCAGTAATGCCAATAATTGCCTTTAGGGCAATTTTTTTCTGGTATAAGATCCAGCTCAGATAATGTATTGCATTTCATTTTCATGTCTCCTTAGTCTCTTTTAATCTGGAAAAGTGCCTAAGCCTCTCTTTATCTTTTAGGACATTGACATTTTAGAAGAACACAGGCCAGTTCTTTTACTGAATGTCCCTCAAGTTGGGTTTATCTGATGTTTCCTCATGATCAGCTTTAGGGTATGCATGTTTGGCTGGAGTACCTCAGAAGTGATAGTGTGTCCTCCTCAGAACATCACGGATGGGAATGCATGATGTCTATCCACTCATTATTGGTGATGTTCAATCTGATCATGGTAAAATCGATCATTAAATGTTATCCATTTTCTCTATCATATAGTTACTATTTTTTTCTTTTCTAATTATAGAGTAATTTGAGTGGAAGTGCTTTTTAAGACTCCACATAAATATCTTACTCCCCAAGCGTCTCCCACCTCCAGATTTAGTATCCGTTGCTAATTTATGTCTGAATTTGTGACTTTTAAAAACTCCATTGTTCCTTCCATATTTATTAGTTGACATTCTGCTATAATAAAGTGCTTCCTGCCCTTATTTATTTTGATGCTCAGATTATCCCCAGGGCCAATAGGAACTCCATTTATCTATTTCCTTTGTCCTTCTGACATGCTTTATAAATTTGTGTAGCATCTTATTGCTGTTTGGCATCATAGCTGTTCCAGGTCCATTTTGTACTTTCCCTTCCCTAGCACTGGAATCAATTTCTCCAAGAAATTCTGGTTCTTTTAGTGGGACTGGTATTTAAGAACTGTGATCTGTGATCATTGCTGTGCCAGAATGTCATTGTTCTTGACCTTTTCAGCAGATGGAGCTGGGGAATATATATACCTACACACTCATATATATAGCTAAAAAGATAGAGATACATTTAAACATCTTAAGTTTATACTGGTAACCCCCCAATTCCAACACAGCTTCCCACCCTACATTCTTCCTTGGTTTCTCCCATTTATTATTTATGTCTCTTTTCTTCCATAGTGAGAAGTCTGGCTCACAAAACATAATACATTTATTCATTTGATCCATCCTGCAATGTGCATAAAATAGTTTCAGGATTGTATACCCATCGAGTATGAAAAACAAACTGCTAAGAAGAGTTCAAGATTTATTTGCAGTTCTTTTATATTTCTTTACACTGAGCATGAATAGTCAAAGTTCTATGTTCAGAAGTTACTTGGATTAGTTCTGTATTTTAAAAATTCAGC
The DNA here is from genome assembly GCF_000001405.40 of Homo sapiens. Lineage (NCBI taxonomy): Eukaryota > Metazoa > Chordata > Mammalia > Primates > Hominidae > Homo > Homo sapiens. Next base: position 54,763,310 of record NC_000002.12, read on the forward strand.
ATGGTTATGTTATTCATTTTAAATAAAGTTGGGTTCACTGGAATACAGTTAGGTTTACATTCAGTTTTAGGCTTCTCCCTCTATTCTTGTTGATCTAATTGAATTTTTGAATGTTTATAGAACTTTAACATGATTCCAAAACTCCAGACTATACAAAATAAGATATACTCAGAGAAGTATTCCAAGCTTCTTTCATTTTATTATCTTTTAAGTTAGCAATCTGCTTTTAAAGAATATTGAGAATTTAAAATCAAACACAGTGTTTGGCTAGGTGCATTTGTGTGGTTTTTGGATGGGTAGGTGGGTAGAGATATTACTGTCTGTTCTCCAAGTCATAGAAAATATGGAGAATGAAAATCGTCTTTCTCCTTCTACCAGGAGCCTAAAAGGGTGAATGTATTCAAAGTGGTTAAGGTAAAAATTGGGTATGACATTAATTTCATCGGAAAACAGCTTCAGCAGGCCTGGCAGGGTAGGGTGAGGGTTTGGAAAGGCTCTGGTGCTTTCAGGGCGTGACACTAGGGGGCACCTTGGCTCTGATGCTGCCTTCAGGCTCCCTTCTCTGCCAGAGCGAGGCTGGGAAGTGAGGTTCAAGATCTCCAGCCCTGAAGGCCTCTCCAAACTCCGTTGGTTGTTCTGTGCCATCTTGTAGGGTTTTGACCCAGGGGTGGACAGAAGTTGAAGGACAGGGACATTCTCAGGCCTCTGGCCTTTTCCCTCGTTGACCTTCTTAACTTCCTGCCCTCTAGTCAGCATTTTATTTTGTTTAGGTTGGCAAAAGTGGCTGAGTTAAGTAACCTGTCCAAGGTCATCATTCAACCTCCAAGCAGTCCAGTTATTTTCAATATGCCATTTTAGAAAGGTTATAGACAGCGGCCATTTATGCTGTGTGCCTGTCTGCCTGTAAAATAAGATTAAGTCCATATAATTTCCTAATACAAAACAAACTGGCACAAAGTAGACATAGTGGGAATATTATTAGTTACACGTTATGAAGTTGGAAAATTCAAATGAGAGCCATTTAAAGTAAATATAGAATTAGCGAGATTAGACCAAGAGGAAAAAAGTTGAGCTGATAATTAACTCAACATCTGATCCCCCCAAAGCAATCACAAATAAATTCATTATCCCTATTGCTCGTGAAACCTGGGGGCACTCCACTTGTATAAGGAATTTGAGGTGCATTAACTTTAAATTGCACTTGTCTGCTTCTTGTTGCTTGTGTAGGCATGTTTGCATTGCTTACATTAATGCTTAGTAATTCAGTGGCTAATGTGAAATCCCCCTGCTTTAACTTTGGGGAAGATAAAATTAAATTGTGCCTTCATCAATAAATACAAGAATAGGTTAAAGGCTGAACTTGTTTTTAAGAACATCACCTATCTCATCAGGAGTGACTGGTTAAATACTGTTCTGCCTAGGGCAGAATCAAACGCAGTTTGGGGAAATGGGGCAGCAAAAGGCCATGGTGGCCTTTTCAGCTTTCTTTCTATTTGGTATATGCATGGTAGGAGATGCCAGATTCCTATTTAACCTCTTCTATTTACAAAACTGCTTATGCCAAAATTTATTCATGAGTGCTTCCATTAAAGCTTGTAGTGAATTTTTTCCACCTGGGATTGTTGGCATTTGATTAGTGGGAGATGGTTAAATCACACATATGAATAGTTAGCTAATATTTTTGCTTTCAGTGTTTGTTTCCATTTTTAAAATTTTTCCTCTCTTTTGCCTACATTAGAATTTTTTTTTCTTTATTTCCCACTTTCTCGTAATAATATATTTTCTGGATATCTTCCTTTGAGTGGAAAACTACCTGAATTTTAAATTTAAGTGATCGTAGAAGTTTTAGAAGCAGTAAATATTTATTATATTCAGCCTCTAACTTATTGTGTATAATTTAACACACATAAGCAGATCTCTAGAAATTACTTACAAGGGTATTTTTAAGAAGAGAAATGCTGATCTTATATTTTTAGTATGGATTGACATAATTTTAAATCTTCTTAAACAATGGCTAAAACTTGTTATGAATTATCTATATCTATAATTTTAGCATTTAATTATATATCTCCTCTTTTGAACTGTTCTCTGGTTGTTTACCCTCTTTTCCCTACAAACTTAAGGGCAAACAAATTTTATGCATTCTTTTATTTTTATTTTTATTTTTTGGAGATGGAGTCTCGCTTAGTCGCCCAGGTTGGAGTGCAGTGGCACGATCTCGGCTCACTGCAAGCTCCGCCTGCCGGGTTCACGCCATTCTCCTGCCTCAGCCTCCCTAGTAGGTGGGACTACAGGCACCCGCCCTATGTCCGGCTAAGTTTTCTGTATTTTTAGTAGAGATGGGGTTTCACTGTGTTAGCCAGGATGGTCTCGATCTCCTGACCTCGTGATCCACCAGTCTCGGCCTCCCAAAGTGCTGGGATTACAGGCGTCATGCATTCTTTTTAGTTTAGTCCCTATGGTACCATCTATACCATTATAAAATAGGTACTTAATAAATAGTCAATAAATACTTTAACCATTTCTTATCTACATACAATCTACTTTCTTTTTTATTTTACTTTTTATTTTGAAGCAATTTTAGACTTAGAAAAGTTCCAAGATGTGTAAGAAGAATACCAATATACCTTTCACCCAGATTCCTCAAATGTTAAGTATTTTGCCACATTTGCTTTAATATTCTCTCTCTTATTCTCTCTCCCTTCTTTCCACCTCCTCCTCTCACACTTTCCTTCCTCTCTCTATTCTTTTCCTTCATCTATCCACATGTATATGTATGTAGATACATATTTTTTTCTTGAGCCACTTGAGAGTAAGTTGCAGACCAGACACCTTGTGTAGTTACTAAAAACAAGGACTTCTTTTGTGTAACCACAGTATAGCTTTCAAAATCAATAAAATAATATTTAAACAATAGCTGATGTATAGATCTGATTAATATTTTGGCAATTGTCCCAATAATGTCCTTCAGAGCAAAAGAAAATCCCAGATCACGTGTTAAACATATCAAGTCTGTTTTGTCTTCTTTGATCTAGAACATTTCCTTAGTCTTTCTTTGTCTTTCATAACCTTGATACTTCTGAAGAATACAAGGCAGTTATTTTATAGAATGACCGTCAGTTTGGGTTTGTCCAGTGTTTTCTTACAATTTTGTTTATATAATTTTGGCAGAAGTATCACAGAAATGATGTATTCTTCTTAGTACATAATATCAGGAGGCACATGATATTAATTTGTCCTATTACTGGTAATGTTAACTTTGGTCACTTGGTTTAGGGGATCTGCCAGATTTCTCTATGGCAAAGTTACTATTTTTTTTTCCTTTGTAATTAACATATATCTTGTGGAAATACAGTTTGAGTCTGTGTAAATATCTGTTTCTAATCAAACTTTCACACAGGAGTTTTAGCATCAACTGATGATTCATGGCATAGTAAATTATTATTATGATTGCCAAATTAGATTCTGTTATTTTGAATATATATGTCCTTTGTTTATATGTTTACATATATGTCCTTTGTTTAGCTTCAGAATTATCTCCTAATTGTCTTCGTCATTATATGCCTTATTCTATTGTACAGTAAATAACATTTATTTATTTCTCACAAATAAGTAACTTCATACTGAATACTTTTCATGATGGATCATCTGCTATCCTTTGTTTGCAATAGCAGCTAAAAGTAGCACCAAGTATATTAAATATCACTAGCAGAATAGTTTGCTTTCACATAATTTTAGGAAAAAAATAATATCTAGAAATATAGTATTTTGTGTCAAAATTACCCTCCTTGAATGAGGCAGTCAAAGTAGGTTTTTATAGAGCATCTGTTTGCTGTCACTGTTTCTTTGAAGCATCTTGAATACTATTTTGACACTGTTACAGCAAAGTATTAACTGATGCAACATAAACACAATTTAACTCAGTATTAACAGGACAGTTTGACAAGCCCTATTCAATGAAGAAGAACCTACAGCCAGGGAAAAAATGCCTAGATTCTAATGCATCAACATAGATATTGTTTTGCCTTTTTATTATATGATGATAAAGTAGAATCTACTAGATAAAAATAAATAACATGTAAATAGATATTTATATCAAGACTGGATAGTATACTTTTATTTTAAGAAACACCCATGCAATACTTTTAGTCTCCAGTCTAAAAAGATATTTCACCTCAAATATCTATTTTATTTTATTTCTACTATGTCTATTGCAATTTAGTTCTGTGTATCACATATTTACTGAGTAGCCTGCCTGGACCTATACAGTAATTAAGTGGTATGAAGAGTGTGTGTGTGTGTGTGTGTGTGTGTGTGTGTGTATGTGTGTGTGTGTATGTTGCAAAAATATTGGAAGAAGTACTTTCTTTATTTTTTATTTTTTGTAGAGACGGGGTCTCATTATATTGCCCAGGCTGGTGTCGAACTCCTGGCTTCAAGCAGTCCTCTTGCTGCATGCTCCACCATGCCTGGCTAATTTTTGTATTTTTTTGTAGAGATTAAGTTTTTGCCATGTTGCCCAGACTGGTCTCAAACTGCTGAGCTCAAGCGATCTGCCTGCCTCTGCCTCCCAAAGTGCTGGGGTTACAGGCGTGAGTCAACATGCCAGCCAGAAGAAGTACTTTTAATTTAATTTTGAATTTCACCTGCAAACATCTGCATGAGATCACATTCAGAGTAATGATTCTTAGGCTTTGTAGAGAGTGTGGAATTGTTGTCTAGGTAAGTTTCTTTCATTGGTTCAGATGTGGGCCTCTTGAAAGGGAACATTGTAGATGAGATCATATGCCAAGGCTACCTCCTCATTGGTGATATCCTGTTTCAGTTCTCATTATAGTTCTAAACAGATCAGAAAAACTTTTTTTTTTTGATGATTCATTGGCCTTTGAGAACAATGAAAACATGTTGTTTTGGCCTTAGTTGATCTCAGGGATGCCATTCCTTTATGTACTTACTTTTTAGTTAAAAGGATTCAGCAACTGTCAGAGAATCAAACTGACTTTGCAATGTTTTGGCATCTTATTGCTAGAACTACTGATAGATATGGTATCTCAAGGATGACATGCAAGGACTTTTCCTAGTTGGTCCCCACTACTACTTTTCTTCCCAATATGATATGAGGAATTCTGAATTGGCTCTTTTGTAAAGTTTTCAGGGTGGCAGGCAACACAGTGACAAGAACACTTGTAAACAGTTTATTTACATTCAATGGATTATATTTAATCATTTTATAGTTAATTTGCGTAAATCTCTCTCTGTGGAATGTCCACGAAAATGTTTTTGGTTGGTGACAAGCAACATGGTAGAGATGCAGAGAGTCGTGAGGCCCGGATTGTAGCCCAAGATCTGTTATCCTCTTTCTGTGTGATCTTGGGCAAGCCATTATCTCCTCTGAGTTGGTTTTCTCATCTGTGAAGAAGACAGATTACAACATCTCTGAAGCTTTACATCTTAAAGTTCTAAAACTTTTCTGTTTAATAGTTAAATATATATAAATTTTCTACTCAAAGTTTTTTTTTTAGAAAATAAATGGGATTTTGGCTTCTATATAAGTAACAATTATACAAGACATTGTAAATCCCAATCTATGATTTATAGGTTCTAATTGAAATACTTCTCATGTTCATGTCTGCATAGTGCCAACACATGTGGATAATGATGACTTTGCATAAGATTTTGTCTGTATGAGTTTCAGCTTTCAGTGGAAAGCTGGGTAGTTAAGAACCACACTATCCAAGAAGCTGGGAAATGACTTATTTTGATTAATCAAAATACAATGTACAGATAAGCTGGTTGAGATACCCGAATCTGACAGGACATTTAAAATAAACTGGCAAAGATTTATATGAGCCAGTCTGGCTGCAGTGTGCACCTGGTGGGTTGTCTGGAAGCTTTGATGAATTAGTAGTGATGTCAGAAGACTTCACTATAATTCTAGGCTAGAATATTGCCATAGGGATGCAGCAGAGGACATCTGGTTTCACTTCAATTTATCCATCAGAGCCAACAATTTGAGTGCTACAGGGACAAGCCCTAGAGAAGCAGATTTTAATACCATGCACCTGATCTATGATGGGTTCTTATTTTTGAGAATGGATGGGTATGTTTAAGTACATTTTTAAAAATTGTAGTACAAAAGTAATACATGCTCACTGTAAGACATTGAAAACTACTGAAGCATATACATTTAAAATATCCTCACCCCCAGCCACCCCAACTCTCACTCTCCTACGGCAGCCAGTATAAGCAAAATTTTATATACTTTATTGAGGTGTTATTGACATTCAAAAAGCTGTATGTATTTAAAGTGTACAACTTGATGAGTTTGGAGGTGAGTAGAGGCCTGTGAAACCATCACCACAATGTATGCCATAAACATACTCATGACGTCCAAGAGTTTTCTTCTGCCCTCTTTATGATGGTGATTAGAACATTTCACATAAGATCTCTTTGTGAACTTTTAAGTGTGTGATACAGTGTTGTTAACTCTAGGTACTATCCTGTCCAGTAGATCCGTAGGACTTGTTAATCTTGCATAACTGAAACTTAAACTTTGTACCCTTTGACCAATTCCTCCCAGTTTTCTCCTCCTCTCGGACTCTGGAAAGCCACTATAAATTTTATATAGATCTTTGTAGGCCTTTTTCTAAGTATCCCACTATTATATTATATTATTGTAATTTAGAATTTTAGACTTGACTGAATGCAGATAATTTTGCATTCTGTGGACTGATATGAAGAAGCCCTTTAATATTTTTCAGTAAAATTGATAGTCTATCAGTATACTCAAATATTTGTCCTGAGCTTCTTGCCATGGGCCAGTCTTGGGCAGTTTTCTAACTTAAATAGTGATCTTGCTTAACCTAAGTCATGTAGAGCTTGTTCAGTGTTGGATAAGGAGATGGTGAACTATAAATAGTATAAGGATATAATTTATCATCCAAACTGGGACATTTTGAGAGTCCTTAATAATTACACTGGGACAACAGGTGTAAGCTGGGACCGTTGGACATTTGGTCACTCTAAAAGTTGACACCAGCACACTTGGGACCACTTGCTTTCCAGTTCTGTTCCATGGTTCCTCATTCCTGTGGGATGATATAGCTGTGAACTCTACTGCATTTGGTCATTGACCTTAAATGAACTGATGGTTGATCGCCTCTTGCCCTTTGGCTTCTGTAATAGAGAAACCACAGTATTTCTTAGGGAGACTTGTTAGCACCCAACATCAGACTAAGTTTCTTAATTCCATAATCATCTAGTGTCTGTTCTTTCCACTTCTCACTTCCTAGTCTCTTCTCAGTTGCCTCCAGCTGGGCTTCTCTTGCCACCATTCCACAAAATCAGCTTTTGTTTATGCCATTTATGACCTCCATGTTCACAAATCTAGGGGTAATCACATCTCTGTCGTTAGTTGATACAGTTGATCGTTCCTTCCTTCTCAGAATATGTTCTTCCCCTTATTCCTGTGACTGCACGCTTTTCCAGCTTCTCCCCACTTTCCAGTGCTGCCTTCTTAGTATCCTCTGCTGAATGCTTCTCTGCTTGTCCTCTGTGTTGAATTGCCCCAGGGCCCTTTCCTACCCACAGTCACACTTTTGTGGATGTAGTAATCATCTTCATGTTGGTGAATGGTTGTACCATGTACTGAAATGGAAACACAGAGAGGAGCAGGTTTAATGTGGGGTGGGGAAGTGGAAGGTCAAAGGCTCTGTTTTGGGTTTAAGATGTCTGTTACAGGCCTGGATGACAATGTCAAGTGGGCAGTTAGATGCATGAGTCTTGAGCTCAGTGGCAGGATCAGGCCTGATGAGTTCTGTCATCCAGCCTATGTAATTTACTGAGCAGTTAATGGCGTGCTACACATTTTTGGAGTTATAATTACAGTTTAGGCTCTCTACCTTCTCACCAGATCATCCCTAAAGCCTTTAACCTGGACTGGCTAGATGAAGTGTCCCTTGGTATTCTGTTCCAATTCTTTCTTTCTCATCACGCTCATTCTCTGTCATCCTGTGAGTCACCACATGTCCCGTAACGCCACAGGCAACCATTCCTTACTCATACAAGAGCGGATACATTATCATAGGTATCTTACACCGTGTCAGCAGTTATTCAAAAGCCAATCTTTAAATTATGCAGCTTTTCTGCCTCAACTGGTCTTCATCAGCTGTTTATCACCATATTTCTATTGCTAATTGCATAAATGAAGACAGATGCAGGAAACTCTGGATGTGGGATGTCTTCTTTGAAAACGAATGCTGCTAACGCCATTTTCAGAACGTCTGCTACAAAATTCCTTCTATAAAATGGTAGCTATCACATATGTGTGTGAATGTATGTGTATATATGTGTGAACACACGCAGACACATACACAGTTGGGGTTGCAGCTGTTCCTCACAGTTGTCCGATAATCTGTTAACTGAGGTAGTGTCCATACAGTTTCTTTGAGGCATAAAATGATTATACACTGGGCAGCAAAACTGCAGCCTATTTTTCTACTCTGATAGTTTCATTTGTGTTACCTCTTCAAGAAGAAGATTAGAATTAAATTGACTAGGCAAGCAAAGCTGAAAATTGAATTAATTTCAGATTTGTAATAAAAAATGGGATCTCTCCTACTCAGTGTTAACTAGGACCCTGTAGGCTATACAAACTAAACTGACAGTCTCTCATTAAAATGATATTTTCTCCAGTGAAATGTACTGGCACTAAATAGTCTCTGAAATGCTTTATGCTGCAGGAACACAGCTGCCTTCAGGATTATGGAACTGAGAGCAGTTTTCATGAATCCCGTGGAAGCCACAGCATTTATTAAATTGTTGCAATTTTACCAACTATTTATGAAATTCCTGCTTTGTGCCAGACATTGTGCTAGGCAGTTTGGATAAGGAAGGTAGTTCATGATTCTTGTGATGAAAGAGCTTCCAATCTAATAGGAGAAAGTGTTACATATAAAACGAAGCTTGAAGTGACTTGGTTAGTGGTGTGAGAGAAGTGCTATGGAAATATGAACAGAGGTGACTAATTCTATCCAGTTGGTTTGGATAAGAAGGAAATGAGTAATGAGAGGTGTGGACTTTGAAGGATTTCACCAGGAAGAAAATAGTCATATGGAACGGTGAAAATTATAAAACATTTCATGTCAAGTTAAATACTATGGAATTAATTCGATTTTTACTATATGGTTTGCCTTTAAGGAGATTTGATAATTTCATTCCAAGATACAATTTCCCCTAAACTGAGGCTACCTTTTTGTTTGTAAGAGTGGCAAAAATTTACTGAATGCCTACCATGTGCTGTGTGTGTATGTACATTCCCTTATTCTACACATAACAGCAGCTCTGCGGTGTAGTTAACATTGTCAACAGTAGATGGGAGAGGTCAGGAGACTTGTGCATGGTTACACAGCTGGTAAGTGGCAGAGCTGGGCTTCACACCCAGGTCTGTTCCTCTGCAGAGACCATGTGTTTCTCCCACAGAACACTGCCTTTCTCACACAGGACTGTTAACAGCTGTGACTGCTGGTCGACGAGGGTGATGACATTGTCAGAGTCCACGTGTACAATTCTGGATTAATTTAACCAGATGCTACATTTGGGGAAGTCTTGGAACCAAATACTTCTCAGTATTTTGTTGACTTGATGGTCTGAGAGCTTAGGTGTTGGTTAGGCCCAGGGTAGGGCAACACTGACCTTTCCTTCTGTCCTCATGTCCGAAAGTGACTGGATCTTGGAGGATGAGTCCCAGTTGCTAAAGAGAGTGGTAAGCCTCTCAGTGGCCCCAGATGAGCTGCCTCAGGAGTGCCAGCCTGTGGGCGGCTGGGTGAGCTAACTGTCCAGCTAGAGGCTGTGGCTCTCCCCTAAGGTACTAATGGTTAAGGCTGCTGGCTATATGAGAGATATTTTCTCTTGGAAGTAACCAGAGCTACACTAAGTGACCTCAGTCCTTGAAGACTAGAAGGCTCCACTGAGCAGTGAGGCTGAGCATGTAGCCCAAAGCCGGGGCAGCAAGACACTAGGACAAGTTTCAGAACTGCGTTCCCTGAGCACTTCTATGTGCCCACCTCTTTTCTGTCAGTGTTCCAAGCCAGACTGTCAAATTGCTTATCTCAGATCCGTAACTGAGCCCAGTCTTCCCCTCCTGGGCCAGTGGCAGATCATGCCTGGAAGGCTGAGCTTTCTTCCACCCCTCATCATTCAAGAAAGGAAGAGACATTATTCATCTTTGGAGGGGAATTTCAAGACTAAAGGAGATGTATGAAGTATTGGTTTCTGACATCTATGTCTCTAGGCAAAACATCACTAGGCAATTATTTCCAATTTACATTGTCTAAGCTCTCAGATGTCCATGGAAGGAGCCACATTTCTGTCTCTCTTCTTTCATCTACTGTATTTACAACTGGGAACTTCTTTCTTGCAGCTAACTTTAAGTTTGCACACTTTATTTGAACATCCATATCTGTTTCTTCTGTGCTCAGGAATTATGAAATTAGCGCTTCTCCTAAGGAAAAGTATCACAGAATTTTCTCCCAGAGGCATCTTAGTGTGGCATGAGAGCATAAGCTTTGGAGTCAGATCTAGATTCAAATCTGTTTCTGCTACATACCATCAATTCGATTTGATGACTGGCACAGGGCCTCCTTTTTTCTTGTTCCTTTGCTGTCCTCAAGAAGTGGCTGCTCCCACTCCAGCCTTCATGTCTGCATTCCAGCCAGCAGGAGGAGAAAGAGGGGCACTGCTAAGAACACTTCCTGGAAGTTGCACACATGACTTCCATTTTCATCCCAGGGGCCAGAGCATGGTTGAATGGCCACACCCAGCAGACTCCAAGGGAAGCTAGGAAATGTCTTTATTCTTGGCATTTATTTCTGTAAAAGAAGAGGAGTGATTATCATAGGTTGAGTTTCCTAGGAAGCAGCTCTGAGACGAAGTTCAGCTTGCAAAATGTTTATTGGATCAGTAGTGATGGAAGGGAGGGCAGAGAGAGAAGTCAGGATACTATGCAGGCTCCACAGGATGGTCAGGCCTTTATGTTCCTACATTGATCAGTCATTAGGTACAGGCCATTATGGGAAGAAGGGTGACTGTGGGTGAGGGAGCCGTTGGAAGTTGAGGTGATCCCTGAAGAGCCTGACAGACAGAGGCCTTCTGGCCAACAGCACTACCAGCAACATATCCTTCATGGAAGGGGGTTCTGGATGGTTTTTAGCCTACATCACGGGGAGAATGGAAGAGCTAGCATCTCTGCTACACTACATCATAGGGTGGTTGTAAGGATCAAATAAAATAAAACATAGAGGTCCTTTTGCAAGAGGACCTGGCTTATGGTAAGCATCCAATCTATCTTAGATGTGGTATTAGCATTTCCCAAAGTTATTTTTACAAGATGTTTTTCTCCCCGAGGATCTTGTGGGACTAAAAGAGTTGGCATCCCTAGTCTAATGATCAAATTTAGAAAATAGTGTATTGCAAAATCTTTATCTTCTACTCTGTGTGGATTGGTCTTTAGTCAATGCTTCTCCTAATGACTTGCATTAGAAAAGATAGTGTTGACATTGCTTTTGCCTTTGTTTTTCACCCAAGTGGAAATACAGAAAGTGCTTACAACATGTAAAATTCTGTATTGTTGACATTCATTACTTTTGTTAACAAATGTGTCACATAGAAATTTCCTGAAAATATGATCAAAAAATGAAAAAGCAAATACTTAGTGAGCAGACATGCAGTGGGGGGACCTTCCTACCCAGTGTGAGCCAGCATTTCTCACCTGTGCCTCTATAGTAGTCTAACTGGTGTGCCAGTTCCCACTTTTTGCTCCAGGTATAGTCTATTCATTATGGTAGCCAAAATAAGCCTTTAAAATTTTTAAATCAATCTTACCAATTCCTTTTACTCTCAACCCTTGCTGCCCAGTGTATTGACAGTGAAATGCGGAGTCCTTGCCATTCCTCGCTAGGCCCTGCAGGCACTGGCCCCTAGCCACTTCTCTGACCCCATTTCTGTCCCAGCCATTTTGCTCTAGCCACACTGGCTTCTTTGCTATTTCTCAGATAAACCAAGCAAGTGTCTGACTCAGGACTTTTGGACTTGTTCTTTCCCGTGCCTGAAACGCTCCTCCCCTCGATTTGGCCTTGGCTTACTCCCTCATTTTGTGCAGATTTCTGTGCTCCTCCTAACCTCATTGGAGGCCTTTCCTGACCTCTTTATATAAAATTGCACCTCTTGTCACCCTTTATCTCTCTCACCCTATTTTATTTTATTCATAGCACTTATTACAACCTAAAACTGTGTATTTAATGTTTATTGTTCATTGTATGACCAGACTACAGGATCTAAGAGAGCAGGGCCTTTGTTTTTGCTTATTGCTATATCCCCAGGAGAGTGCCTGGCTTCAAGCATGCACTCCACAAATTTTTGCAAGTGGAGGAGTGAGTGTGCTGGATTCTGGAAGTACAGTAGTACCCTGCCCTTGTGGAATGGGAATATATAGTCTACAACTAAAACCCATTCTAACAGAAGATGCAATAAAAATTATAGAATTTTCTCTTTAAATATATTATTGTTGTAAATACCCATAGGGTTTCTAATATTGAGCCATCCTTGCATTCCTGTGACAACCTTACTTGGTCATGATACACAATTATTTTATAATAATATACTATTCTTAAGATTTGGTTTGCCATTATGTATTCTATTTAATATTGGCAAGTAAGAATGGTTTTCTGTAGCTTTATGATGTCTTTATCTAGTTTTGATAACCATAAGCCTTATCCTGGTTATACCAGCCTCACAGGGGTTCAACCTGCCTTATTTTGTTGTTGTTGTTGTTGTGTTTTGTTTTGCCTTAGGCTTTTAGCAGCCCAAAGCCATGTTTTTTAGTTTCTGACTCTAGTGATAAGTGGAAAAGGAGGAGGAGAAAGGGGCTTTATTGGCCCAACCAGAAACAGAGACTAAGAACCCATGACTATATTCTCTCCCTTGTCAAGAACTCTGTTAATCTAGGTTTTACAGAACTTGCCTGTAAAACTGCCTGGGCTCGGTACCTTCGTGTTGGGTAGAAATTTGTCTTTATACATTTTGCGATTATTGCCCCATTTAATTAGTTCCCTTTTCTTGAGTCAGTTTTTATACTTTTATTTTCTGGGAAAGCTTTTATCTATATTTTTGAATATAGGTAGTAGGCTCATAAAATCTTACACGTATATTTTCTAATATTGCTTATTTGTGTTTTCTTTCACTGGTTTTAATCAAGCTTGGCAAATTTTTTTCTACTGTATTGTTGTTTCATTTATGATCCCTTTGATGAGGGGATCATTAGAAGCCCCAACTCCAGCATTATGCAATACATGCAGGAAATGAACATGCACATGTATTCCCTGAATCTACTAGAAAAAAGAATGTCTCCTCCCTCCCCTCCTGTGCCACCCCACCCCCACGTCCTGTTTCTAACTCAACCTTGGATATTTTACAACATATATTCAGTTTGAAAGCTAATACTGATACCTTGCTTTATATGAACATTTGTATACTGGGACCCTGGTGAGGGACTGACTTCATTGGGATAGTTTATGGCTTAATGCATCTATGTGACTTATGTCTTGTTTTCTCTAAGTATTTATCCTAATAAATTTAAGAGATTCTTTGGTTTAAAAAAAACACCTTTGATTTTGTTCATTGAGTCTACTTTGTTGTTATTTTATTCCGTTTCATTAGGGTCTCTTTTTATTCTACCACAATTGCCAGAGTAAGGACAGCTTTATTGCCAGCTGCAGCTTTGCTGTCCACATCGCCCTGTGAGGCCTGGAGTCCCCAAAGACTCTAACCTACTGATATTTGACCTCAATACTCACAGAAGGAAGTCTGCTAGCCCTGAAAATGAATACTTCCTTTGGTGCAAATCTTAAGGTTTTAGCATGGAGCCAAATGCCTTCTCACTGCCAGCAAATTATTTAGGGTGGGGGTGGAGGAGTTGTGATGGTGGAGTGATGGAGAGGAGCCTATAAGTAGTCCAGCTGCTCTGCAGGATATCATTTAGTTGAGCGTCCTGATGGCTTCTTGACTCTGAGCTTGGACTTTTATGCTCACTTTTTATTGCAGGCTTTTTGCTTTGGGTTCCATGTAAATCTGAGTCCTTCGCTTTCTGTCTTCCACATAGACCTCAAAACTTTTGGTCCACTATTAGCACCATTTCTCAGTACTTAATTTTTAACAAAACAAGACACTGGTATGATCTTGCTTTGGAAAGGGGAAATGTAATTACTATCTTGGTGTGTCCTTATGGTCCTCATTTAACTCCTGTATTTTGTCATTGGCCATGTGGGAGAGATGGGAGTCATGAGTTCTGTTGGGCACTGGAATCTTTTTCTCACCCCAGAGTGACCAATCTGCCCTCAGCTTAGTGATTTCAGGAGCAGGAGGAGCCCTTTCCATGGCTGGGTACATGGAGTGTTACATTAATGGGTGCTTGCTCGAAAGTACCCATGTTTTCTTTGGTAAAGAAACTATCTTAAAATCCAAGATGTGGGTTATTTGAGAATATGATTTATTTATAGCAAATTTCTTCTGACATCAAAATAGACTTCTGAATGAATTTAATAAAATTTTTGGGGAATATTTACATATGAAAAAATACCACTGGTTCTATTTTAAAATCTAAGCTTGTAGAGAAACAAAAGATAAAGAAAAAATGTTCAGCTCTATAAAAGATAATCTAGGCATTCATCACCTAAACTTTCAAAGAGTGGAAATAATGTCTTGACTTTCTGTTTTTTCTTCAACTGTTTGGGGTCATTTAGACATGTCAGGGTAAGAGTTTTTTTCCATTTATATGTATCTGTGAATCTCTAAATGTTTAGCTTATTTGGGATTATGTCAGAATGTGCAAATCCAGAATTAATTCTCAAAAGAAAGTGAGATAAAATCAGTTTAAGATGGCAAGTGAAGGATTTGTATAAGATTTCATTAAAGCTTATTAAATGTCGAAATTTATTCCTAAAGAAGGCTCTGAAGTTTGTGCTAAATATAGAAAGAGAAGGAGGAAGAGAGAAGGGGGAGAGGAGAGAGAAAAAAGAGTTTTCTGTCTGGGATGAGGAGAAAGTTGTACCCCCCTCCCAAACTGGGGCTGAACTATAATTCTGACCCTCAAAAGTCAGCTACGTTTCCAAATGAGGATTACCATCATGGCCATTTTATCACTCTGTGCGAGATGCTGACACCATGCACTAAGTTTTGGGTCCCATGTATTTCTTTTTATTGTGGAAGAGAAAAAACTAAAATATAATTAGAAGTGCATTGTTAGGCCGGGCGCAGTAGCTCACACCTGTAATCCCAGCACTTTGGGAGGCCGAGACGGGCAGGTCACAAGGTCAGGAGATCGAGACCATCCTGGCTATCACGGTGAAACCCCATCTCTACTAAAAAAATACAAAAAAAATTAGCTGCGTGTGGTGGCGGGTGCCTGTAATCCCAGCTACTCGGGAGGCTGAGGCAGGAGAATGGCATGAACCTGGGCGGTGGAGGTTGCAGTGAGCCGAGATTGTGCCACTGCATTCCAGCCTGGGTGACAGAGCAAGACTCCATCTCAAAAAAAAAAAAGAAAGAAAGAAAAGAAGTGAATTGTTAAATTAATAAATATATCAAATATATAAAATAACTTTCCTTACACTCTTTACAATTATGATAGTAAGAATGAACTAACACTTTACACTTTCACCTGAGAAATGACAGAGCTTCAGAATTTGATTTCTTTAACTGTAGAGTATTAATGAAATCCAAGATGGTATTTTGAATGAAAGAACCAACAGGAAGAAAAAGCCATTTTGGTGACAGTCTCATGAACTTGTCAGTGGTAGAACTAGGGAAGATAATACAAAAGTTTTGACATCTCAGTTGCTTGCCACCCTATCTGACATGGCACTAGCTTGTTCTTTTAGAATATAGGAAGGAGGGGCTGGGTGCAGTGGCTCACGCCTATAATCCCAGCACTTTGGGAGGCCAAGGTGGGCAGATCACCTGAGGTCAGGAGTTCAAGACCAGCCTGGCCATCATGGTGAAACCCTGTCTCTACTAAAAAAAAAATACAAAAAAATTAGCTGGGTGTGGTAGCGGGTGCCTGTAATCTCAGCTACTCTGGAGGCTGAGGCAGGAGAATCGCTTGAACTCGGGAGGTGGAGGTTGCAGTGAGCCAAGATAGCACCATTGCACTCCAGCCTGGGCGACAAAAGTGAGACTCTGTCTCAAAAAAAAAAAAAAAAAAGAATATAGGAAGGAGGGCCTGGTGTGGTAGCTTACACCTGTAATCCCAGCACTTTGGGAGGCTGAGGCAGGTCGATCGCTTGAGCTCAGGTGTTCAAGACAGGCCTGGACAACATGGCAAAACACCATCTTTACCAAAAATACAAAAATTAGCGGGGTATGGTGGTGTGTGCCTATAGTCACAGCTACTTGGAAGGCTGAAGTGGGAGGATGGCTTGAGCCTAGGAGGTGAAGGTTGCAGTGAGCCAAGATCCTGCCAGTGCACTGCAGCCTGGGTGACAGACCCAGTCTCAAAAAAAAAGAAAAAAAAAAAAAAAAGAATATAGTAAGGAAGGCAGGAGGGAGGGGAGAGAGGGAGAGAGGGAAAAAATATCTTTACAAAAATTTAAAAAGTGGAACAAGATGATTGTAAAACCTTCAAATGATACGGAAATGTACAATAATACAGAGTTAGGAGGTGGGACTCCCACTCCCACCTCCTAATTCGGCTTTCCAAAGGTCCCTACTATTCACGGTTGTATATTCTTCAAACATTTATCTGTGTAGAAGCTAACACATGCATTTAGCCAACTGAGAGGCATTTATTAATAATCGTTTACAGTTTTTTACTATTACAAATAATAACACAATGAAATGCCTTTTTACCCATTAGTATAATATCTATTGAAATGTAATTAGAAATGAATAATTAGTTAGATATGATAAAAATGACTTTCAGTCTGTAAGGCTAAACAATTTACTAGACTAGATTGTTCAAAAATCAGAGTGATTTAATATACCTTAGCTTTTAGAATGCATTGGCAAAAATGACGTTTGTAGCTTTAGACTTGCATAGATAGATAGTTGACTGTCCCAGAAATATTTGACCTGATACAGAGATCTTCTTTGCACATGCTTGCTTTCTAGAGAGGGCTGTACTGGAGTGAGTGGATAATAAGGCTCTTAGTTCTTCCTATATTCTCTATTCATTCTCCCCAGCAATTAAGGGAACTGTGTCTATAATATTGGAGATCTGGAGGAGAATTCAAGGTTAAAAAAGAAATACACCGTTATTATGTTAATTGTCTAAGATAATAATAATTTTGATTCCTTAGGGAACTACCTCAAATGTACTACACAGTTTTTGATGGAATATTTGCAATCTGGCTATAAATATGGAATGATAACGGAATGAGATATTTTCATAGAAACATAGTAAAAGGATAATGCTGAAGAATAAACTACATTATGGCTTGTGAGTCACACGAATAATGATTTGAATTATGTGACTGTGGAATTGTTGCATGAGTATAATAGATGGTTCATTCTTGCCTCTAAGCATTTGACATGCTACTTATTATGAAGGTTCAAATCCCATGCTTATTTATAATTCTTTGGGCGGTTAAGAAAGGAATTATTAGCTCTGGCATCCTTTATTTGTATGTAAAAACGTGAAAGGTAATACTATATGGTTTTCTGTATAAGAGGATATACTACTGAATAGTAAAAATAACAATTTACCTTTATTAAGTACTTACTACCTGCCTGCATTGCTCTGAGCACTTAAACATGGAATGATCCCAATGACCCAACTATATATACATATCTATTATTATCCCCTTTTTACATGCGAGGCATAGAAATGGTCAGTATCTTGCCCAGGGACACACAGCTAGTGAGTGGCAGGCTGGCATAAGTGTTGAGAGACTTTTCTGGCAGTGGTGATAGATTTGCAAGGAGCCAGTCATCCATTTACATTCTTGTCGAGACCCTTCTGTGGCCAATAAATCGCATGGATTTTGAAAAAAGTGATTCAGGTAAGAAGATGCAGCTGATGGCTGTGGAATGGGAAATAGTGTCATTCTCAGATAATTGGTCCACATAGGAATTAAAATATTACCAGCATGCTTAAACTAAATTATGACACTTGCCCAAATTATGGCAGTCACCCTCTACTTCACCTGAGTGAAAATTTTGAAATCTAATTGTATCTAGACAGTACTGACAAATCATTGAAGTTAGAGATTGCTAAATATGTTTTAAAGCTCATATCTAATACTAAAAAACATACAAGTGTTATAGTGAAATACTAGCATGAATTTACAAGTATAAATAAATATATATATGTATATTTTATTCTATTTTGAGACAGGGTCTCATTCTGTCACCCAGGCTGGAGTGCAGTGGTGCGATCACACCTCATGCAGGCTTGACCTCTCTGGGCTCAAGTGATCCTCCCACTTCAGCCTCTCGAGTAGTTGGGACCACAGGCACATGCTGCCACGTCCCACTAATTTTTTTATTTTTTTAGAGATGGAGTTTAGCCATGTTAGCTGGGCTGGTCTTGAACTCCTGGACTCAAGTGATCTGCCCACCTTGGCCTCCCAAAGTGCTGGGATCACAGGTGTGAGCCACCACTCCTGGACTACAAATATATCTTTTAAATTTCAAATTGTTAATATTGAGTTACCTTTTCTACTTTTAATTACAGTGCATGTAACAAAAAGTTTTCTCTATTTTATGCCAACCAAATTGCATTCTGTATTGTATTGAAACTAGGCACAAAGTAATAAAACATTTAAAATAAGTCTATGTTCTAACTAAGTTTTATTTTGAATTTCCCTATCACTTCAAAAGTATCTTTTCTGTACGTATGTTAAATTTTACTTCATTGTTAATCTTCTTTGTTGATTAGTTCTTTTCCCTGATATTTCCCTAATAGTAAACAAAACCTTTAAAAATATTTACAAAGTGTCATTTTATGTTTCATGAAATATTATTTTGGGTTTTTAAAGTCAAATTTTTATATTGGGAAGCATGATAAAAATGAGATTTTAGAGTAATTGACATTTTGAAATATTAGAGAGATTTCCTAGGGAAATTGAAAAAGACATGATTTTCCTAAATTGGGGCTATTTTATTTTCCTGAATCAAATTCAGGCCTTGCTTTTACTTCTTAGATCTTGTTCTTTCTTCTGTTCCTTCTGTAAACCAACTAAGACATAAACACTGATTATCTGTTACTTTGTTCTTGTATGACTTCTCAGTTTTTTGTAACGAGTATCATGAATGTGTCTAATCAAATCATAAAGGGTTATAAGTATCTCTATTAGACCTACTTGTATTTTTTTTTTTTTTGGCTAAATTCTGTCTTCTTGTCTTCTTCTCTAAGATGCTTTAGTATTCCTACCCTCATTCATTGTTCATCCCCACCCACCTCCATTTTGTTTTACCCTCTTACTCATTGATTAAAGGCCATAACCTCCACTAGTGAGAATGCTGGGTTCAGACCTGTGCCACCACTTGCCTACCGTGTAACCTATGGTGAAAACCAGGCGTCTCATTCGTAAAGAGAAGAAAAGGTTAGCACCTAATTTAGGGCTGCTGGGATGATTAAATAATCTGTGTAAAGGGTTTAGCTTCCTGTCTAATATATAGCAAGAGCCCAGTAAATCATAGCTGTTTTTATTGCTGTCATTGCCCAATTAGCTCTGTCCTTGTGGAATATTCTACGTGGTAGGGAAGTTAATATAGGTATGTATGCGTGCATATATTATAGTCGATCAGTAAATAATAACTAATAAAAGTTACATCATACTGTATTACATCCTACATAGAAAATGCTTTATTACAATGCCTGGGAAATGTCATTTACTGACCTCATGTCTTATCTCATAAAATAAGAAATTATTCATATTCCATGGCAATTGATGTATATGCATATTTCTTTTTTATTGTTCTGGATATAACTATGTAATGAAACACTCTGTTATATTGCAAGTAAAAATCAAGCTTAAGTCTAGATTTTTAATTTATGCTTTAAAATTTTCCCTTTAGCTAGTGTTTCAAATAACATTCAGAACATCACAAATTGTTTTCTGTAATACCATTAGGTCAGTTTGTACACAGCCTTTAAAAGTTCTTTTCATATCTGGAACAAAGCTGTAGTTGATTTTAGATTTAAGGAAGTGAAATAGAGACATATACCTTTTCTCAATCTAATTTAAAAAATTTAGTCAAATGTGGATATCTGGTGTGGCAAGGAAAGAATTGTCCGTGTAATTAGCTGTAGTTTATGCTGAATTGCGGCTAGTTTGAAACGACTGTGATGATTATATTCACTGAAATGTTTTTGAGGCTTGATTTTTTAAAAAGATTTTGAGAAGACAAGATTTTTAAAAATGAGATTAAAATAATTCTTACTTTCACCACCCTAAAAATTGACTACAGTATTTTCTTTTTGTATAATACTATAAATATGTATCATTGATATACTTGTAATGAGACTGTACATGCTATTTTGTATTCTATTTTCTCTCATGTTAATATAGGTAAATCCACATTGCAAGATTTTAAATATCTGCACATTAGTGTATTATTATGTTCATGTTCCATAATTTATTGAACTGTTTCAATTTTTTTTTGAGATAAGGTCTTGTGGTATTGCCCAGGCTGGAGTACAGTCGTGATCATAGTTCATGGTAGCCTCGAAATCCAGGGCTCAAGTGAATATCCTGCCTTAGCTTCCTAAGTAGCTAGGACTACAGGCATGTGCTACTCATGCCTAATTATTTATTTTTTTTGTAGAGATGGGGATCTTGCTATGTTGCCCAGGCTGGTCTCAAACTCTTGGGCTCAAATGGTCCTCCTACCTCAGCCTCCCAAAGTGTTGGGATTATAGGCATGAGCCACTGCACCTGGCCTGAACTGTTCTTTAATGTTAGATCTTTATGAAGTTGTAAATTTTTAAATCAATTAGCAAGCAACTAACTATATTGTGCCTATCACTTTTTTGCTATATTAGAATAAATATTTATGAGTAGAATTACCAGGTAAGAGTATAAATACTAATAAACCTTTTGCAACTTGTTACCATATGTATTTTCAAAAGTGTTATAAGACTTTACCGTACCACTAATAATGAATTTGTATAGCCTGCTTTGCCAATATTGGGTGTTACACATCTGACCCTCAAATAAAATGGGACTTAGGGATGCTACCCCCACCCCCTTGCGGTGAAAATCCAAGTAGAACTTTCTGACTCCCCAAAACTTAACTACTAATAGCATGCTGTTGACAAGAAGCCTTACCAATAACAGAAACAGTCCATTAACACATATTTTCTATGTTATATGTATTATATACTGTATTCTTTTTTTTTAAATTTATTTTAAGTTCCAGGATACATGTGCAGGTTTGTTACATAGGTAAATGTGTGCACCTATCAACCCATCATCGAGGTATTAAGCCCCACATGCTATTCTTAAAGGAAGCTAGAGAAAACAAATTGTTAAGAAAATCATAAGGAAGAGAAAAATACCCTTACAGTACTGTATTGTATTTGTCAATACCATAAGAGTACATCATCTGTTTACAGGATGAATTGTCTGTCTGACATAGCAGGCAACTGCAGCTGCAGACCTCAGTCTATGGCAAATCTCAAGCAATTCACCATTTTCTTGTAATATGATGACTTTTCTGTGCTTCTTTGGGAACACCTCCAGCCTAGATCACTAGTGGCACTTCACAGGGGGTCCCACAGTGTTATTTCAGGTTTATAGTATTGCACTAAACATGATGAAAAATACGAGAGAACTTCAAGAGATTTCCACCCCCCCACACACACACTTTTTTTTTTTTTTTTTTTTTTTAAGACGGAGTCTCACTATGTTGCCCAGACTGGAGTGCAGTGGCGCAATCTCGGCTCACCACAACGTCTGCCACCCAGGTTCAAGTGATTCTCGTGCCTCAGCCTCTCGAGCAGCTGGGATTACAGGTGTGAGCCACCACGCCTGGCTTATTTTTGTATTTTTAGTAGAGACGGGGTTTCACCATGTTGCCAGGCTGGTCTTGAACTCCGGACCTCAAGTGATCCTCCCACCTCGGCCTCCCAGAGTTACTGCCTCAGCCACCCAAAGGTGTGAGCCACTGTGCCTGGCCCCCATGGCCTTTTAAGGGATACTCACAACACTTAAGTTCACCACAATAGCAAAGTACTACAGAGGTACAGTGTGCACTATAGTTAATTTTATGCAGTTATGATTTAATACTGCATCTTTATATGTGTTTACATTTATCTCGACTGTGAATGATTCCATGTACTGTCTGTGTGTAAGTTTTCATAAGTTTTAATGTTTTATTATACATTTGTATAAATTTTATGGTAGCAAATGATAAAATAGACCAGTGTTTACATATACTTTTTGCATTCATGACATATCTCTTTCTTAATTTTTTTCAGTATTTCTAGGCTACACGGTTCATTTTTGAGTTTTTTCAAATTGTCACAAATCTCCAAAAAAATGTTTTAGTGTATTTACTGGGAAAATTTGAGTATAAGTGAACCAGCACATTTCAAGCTTGTGTCGTCTAAGGATCAACTGTATATATAAATATATATATATATATTTGTATGTGTGTGTGTGTGCAATTTAGGGCATGGTTATGGCCAGGAGGAAGTGGAGTGGCTACCCAGGGTGTTGGGGTAAAGGAGCTAGAGGTGGAGCGGCCACCCAGGGTGTTGGGGTAAAGGAGCTAGCTGAGAGCACCCATTGTAGGGAGCCTTCTGTTTTTTCTGGTGTAATCAATTTGAGAAGTCCCACCGGGGCAGTAGAGGAGGAGATGGCTGGGCCCTGTGGCTCCTATGCTTATTCCCTGAGTGTCTCTTTTCCCTGGAAGTTTTCTCTCTGCCCTGTCTTCAAGGAGGGTCATTCCCTAGGTCTCTAGTCCCAGCCCTTTTTTGCTACTCTTATCTTAAACACCTTAGGGTAGCAGAAAGTACCCTGGACTGAGGTGTTACAATTCTTGACAGCAAACAATCTAGGTATTTACATAAGCAGAAAGTCACTTATTGAAGGGTATTGGGACATTCACAGGATCTCTAGGAGAGCCAAAGACCACACAACGGAGAACAGTGCTCAGCCACAGTGGGGTCCCCTCCCCTGCTCAAGTGCTGCTACCGCACCCGCTACCTACCCCACCAGTGGGTTGTGGTGAAGGAAGAATCTCCTGTACCCTTTCAGGGGACATAGCGGTATAGGGAGGTGGACAGTTTACACAAGGTAGAACCCACAACACACATTCCTCTCCATTATACTGAGTTTCTGGCAAATATTATAGGACTCCATTGAGTCCAGATTTCAACAAAGAAATGGAGCAAACAATTAGAATAATTCCCAGATGCTCGAGTTTCCATGTTGAATCCAGAGGCTCTGTTAAGACAGCTGGTCTCTAAAGCCCAGGTTAAAGTAATGTTCTCCCCTTTCCTCGGAATTCATTCCCACACAGGTTCCCCAAATATATACTGGACAAGTGAAACTTGTTAAACATATACAAGTTTGTAAGTTTGCAAAATAGTGCCATTCTTTTGGTGTGTAAGCCTTTTTCTCTCGGGCTTGACTCTTTGTTTGACTCCCAGTGCAGTTGAAATCTGCCTCTGATTATGGATCTGGGAAGAGTGGGGCAGGGAGAGGTTAGAACATGAGAAGACTTAGGTTCTTTTTGAAAGATGAGTGCCTCAGGTGTGCCCACTGAGGTCTCCAGGCCAGGCAGGCACTGCCTAAGTAGGTTCAGCAGGGCTTCGGGGAGTTGTGCAGTGTGCGTTGGTGGGAGAGAAAGCGGGTAGGGGGCTGGTTCAGGGGTTGGTAGTTCTCGAAGTGACCAAATGCTCTCATTTTCCCATCAATATCGTTTCATAGAAATACCTGACAAGGCTCCCATGGTCTGAGCCTTGTCAATGAGATGGGTGAGGGTTGGGGGGGGGTCTTTGTGTGAACCCAGATGTCAGTTTTTAATGAGAATTTCAAGTATTTATATTTTAAAAGTAAACCAGAGGAAGATTGAGTTATGAAAAGATTGAATTGTAGTCATACAGACCTAGGTCTGAATCTTGGCTCTGCCACTTACCAGCTGTGTGGCCTGGGCAAGTTCCTTAACCTCCGTGAGCCGCAGTATGTTTGTCTGTAAAGAGAGATAAGTTTGTTTATCCTATTGGATTGTTCTTGAGCATTAAATGAGATAATGTGTAAAGTACCGCATAGTAATTGATCGATAAATAGTAGCTAATGTCACTGAATGATTAATAAATGCTTATGGAACTGAAGCAATCTTTAGCAATAAAGTGGAGCATTTTGCTCATGGGGAACTTGGGAGTCGTGTCTGGAGATGTCTCAGTCTGGGGTACTTCCTTAAGATCTCAAATCAGATTTTATAGGAGGTTTGTTTCACATGTTTAAGGTAGCCTGTGTGTTTAGGTGGAATTTGTTCAAGTGTCCATTGTCATAAATTTGTTTAATATCATTGCTCCTTCTGCATCAATTTTTAGGCCAGACCTAAGTTATTTGAAACCCGGTTGTACACACCCCGTCCCCCGAGGCCTAGTTGAAACTTCCCTCACCTGTGCGGTGGTTTCTGCTGTAGCCTGCCTGTTCCTCATCTCGCAGACCCAAAAACCCAGCACACCCCACAGCTGTTGACCATGATGAAACCTGATGGTCAACATCAGAGTCAGGTAAATTAGACCCCCTCCCTTCGCACGTGTTTTCTTTAAACTAGCCAACCACTGCCCTGTGGAAAGCCTACGGCAGAACACCCGTGGACCTTAATAAAGGCTTAGGTCGCCAGGTTCTCGCTCACTCGCTCGCTAGCTGCCCACTTACTGGTTGAGCACATAGGTTCCAGATGGCTCCCGCTTCCTGTTGGCCTGCAAGGCGGGCTGCCCTCTTCTCTCTGGCATCTGTAAGTAACACCGGCTTCTGTTATTTCATGTGTTTTGTTGTGCCGGCTCCTGTGTCTCACTTGAACCTAACTCCCTTCCTGGTCAGGGCTGGACCCAGGTGAGAGAAGATCTACAAGGGTGGCTGCCACTATAACCGAGTTTTCTGTGAGAGGGGCATCTGGTCATGTGTCCACGCTTAGGATTAGGCGTCCAGCTGGGAAAAGAGGTATTCTGTGAGAAACACTATAAACATCTGGGGCCGCCCCCCGCCCCAGCAGGTCTAGAATCGATAGCTACTCTCCAGAGAGAGACCTCAAGACCAAGTTAGAGGAAAATTGAAGCTTAGCAAAATGATCAAACAAGATTTCGCCAAAATAACTGGTTATTTGGCTGGTTATATTAACTTGTCTAATAGAATGGCTTATCAGTCATTTTATTGGAAATTCCTGTTGTTTTGGTGTGAAACGGTGGTGAACACTAATTGGCTTTTTGAAAAATAGGGCCAAACTCTTCAGAACATATATTTTAGGAATCAAAACATTATTTCTCCTGAAGTTTTTATTGACTTTATTGTTTAAAATACATGTTTCATTTCCATTGGCTAGATGAAAAATGGAAAGTCATTTCTGACTGGTTGGAGTTCCATAGACTTAACGCTGAATCCAATGGTTAGTAACATTGGCTTTCTATTCCCTTCTCCATCCGCCCCACCCCCTTTGCCACTTGCTTACATTTCTTAATAAAATGAGGCAGGTTTGCTATCTTTTTGCTTTTTATTCTTTCTTATATCCATCATCTGTTATCCTTTCTCTTTCATGTGTTCTGTCTCTGCTTAATTCCTTCAGCACTTTGGTTTTATTCCAATAAATAGCTTCTGGAAGATACTTGCGTAAACAAACAAAAACAGCAAAAACAATGAAACATTTAATTTTTAGCAAGTGTTATGGTGACCTTTAGAAAGAATGTGCTTTCCGGCCGGGCGCGGTGGCTCACGCTTGTAATCCCAGCACTTTGGGAGGCCAAGGCGGGCGGATCACGAGGTCAGGAGATCGAGACCATCCTGGCTAACACGGTGAAACCCCGTCTCTACTAAAAATACAAAAAAATTAGCCGGGCGTGATGGCGGGCGCCTGTAGTCCCAGCTACTCGGGAGGCTGAGGCAGGAGAATGGCGTGAACCCGGGAGGCGGAGCTTGCAGTGAGCCGAGATTACGCCACTGCACTCCCGCCTGGGCCACAGAGCGAGACTTCGTCTCAAAAAAAAAAAAAAAAAAAAAAAAAAAAAAAAAAAGAAAAAGAATGTGCTTTCCAAAGTAGACATGGGTGGGACGTAACTGGCCCACCTGATGTTGTCTTCCGTACTTGTATTGGTTTTCTTCTCTTCTTCTGTCATGTGCCAGATACTGTATTGGATGCTTTACAAACTCTACCTTATTTAATTATATCCTCATGATATCCAGAAGGGAGTTAATATTCTCATCTTGCAGATGAGCAAACTAAGGCTCAGACATGGTCCTAATAGGTAGAATAGAAGGAATTTGAATCCAGAGTTAACTCCAGCACACATGCTGCTTTCCTTACCAGGGCTTGCTTCTACCTAAATAGTAAGTACAGGGAGAGCTTTATGACACAGAATATCTACAAATACTGATTGACTTCTCTGGCTCTTGGACCCAAATGAGAATGAGCTTCATGGTATGTGTGTGTGGTGGGGATTCATCTTATTTTTGCAATGCGTATATGTGTTGTATTTTTAAATGATGAAAAATGCACAGGTAACCTGTACAAGAGGGAGATCTAAGAATAGTCAGCATTAAGTAAATATTTGTTCAAAGAATGTCTTCCGATGACATTGCATAATTTCAGTTCATATATCTGAAAACTTAGTAATGACTAGTGATTTTTATAAGAGAGATTGAATAGTGGGCACTTATTTCTAATGAGCCAATTGAAAAGCAAATTAGATAACTTGCTGTGTGTATGGTGACAATTCATCCACTTTCTATTTTCTCTCCCACTGTCTTCCCACATATGTATATATTGTTTTCATTGACATATTAGTGAGTTAACTAGGTTAATTTTTATTGTGCCCAGAAAATACTTAGGTAATTTCAGATTCATTGTGGAGCGGGGAAGCACCCTAACTCTGTGAGCTGTACTCTGAATTGCAGAGTAAGTTTACAACTAGTGGGAAATATAAACATTGACAATATTTGCACTCTTAATCTGTGTGTACAACACCATACTCTATTGTCACCACCCATTTCACGGCTGGAGGGTCCATTCTTGTATCATTCAGATACCAGCATTTGGAAGCCAAGGACCTACATTTTAATAGACTTAGAAGCAAGAAACTGGTTATATTTTTGACGTACTTATCACCAGGCTTTCCCACAGTTGATCATTCACATCCATATTAGTATCAGGACCCTATTGTGTATAGAGGACATTGGTAACTTAATTTTCCTTTTTTTTTTTTTTTTTTTGAGACGGAGTTACGCTCTGTCGCCCAGGCTGGAGTGCAGTGGCGCGATCTTGGCTCACTGCAAGCTCCGCCTCCCAGGTTCACACCATTCTCCTGCCTCAGCCTCCCGAGTAGCTGGGACTACAGGCGCCTGCCACCGCGCCCAGCTAATTTTTTGTATTTTTAGTAGAGACGGGGTTTCACCATGTTAGCCAGGATGGTCTCGATCTCCTGACCTCGTGATCCGCCCGCCTCGGCCTCCCAAAGTGCTGGAATTACAGGCGTGAGCCACCGCGCCCGGCCGGTAACTTAATTTTCAAACTTTGAAGCAAACAGTCACAGGCCTAAGTTATTGCATTATCACCATTCAGCATTTCTTCTGAATAAATATTACAAAAAATATAATAGGTGTGAAGAGAAATTCAGAGAGGTGAGGGAGGACGTGTAGGGTTTTCAGCTTTATTTCCTGCTTCTCCTGAGTTGCACGTGGGAACACAGATGATGCCAGTACATGCCTGATCGGGAAGTGACGGCACAGTTACAGTCCTGCCGGTATGCTCACGCAAGTGGGTCTTTTTCTCATCTCTTTTGAAGATAATTTATTGGGAAGGTGCCTACATTCTGTCCAGTTTGATTTCAACAGTGGTTTGCCAAAATGAGAATGAGTCCGAATTTCTCACTGAAATCTATGTATCTTCAAAATTAAGAAATCCAGCAGTACTACCCCTTCCTCTTGTACCTGTGATACAAGTTTATCCATCATTGTTGGAGTTCACCAGCAATGTAAACCCTGAAGTTGATCAGTTTGTCCCCACTTCTAGTTCCAGTCAGTGGATTCTATAATTAGAAGAAAGAATGGCTGAGGTACTATAATAAAATATTTACCTTAAACAAAGCCACACCGGTATCCCTTTTGTTCTTCTCTCCATGGCTCTGGGTAAACACTATAACTGTGATGTTAGCCTGCAGGCTAGAGCCAAGAGAACTGAAGATTGACAAAAAAAAATGATACTGGAGGTTCAGTAGTGTCCACCCTACCGTTTGCCCTCCGCTTGTGAAGTCCAGCCCTGGATTATACTACAAAGTAGCTGTGCTCTTGGACAAGTCATTTCTCCTCTCTGGCTTTGGTTTTCTTCATATCTGTAAACTGAGAGGGTGGGATGAGATTTTACTTGAGTTTCCTTTTAGTTCTGATTCTATGAAGGAGTAACATGTCTTGTTTGACTCAGAAAATCCTGGCGATCTCTTTCAGGCTTATTGTAGTGTTTATTACAGCAAGCTCTTTAGAAGCTTCCGCATAAGCAGACATCAGAATGCGCCTGGACCTCCCAAAGTCATCTGGTTTTCTTCAGTTTTTTAAAAGTTCAGAAATGTGATTTGTAGAAGGAGTAATAGAAGGGAGTATAAATTACAGTGGGAAATGGGAAAACATTCATCTTAAAGCCATATATTTCTCTGTACCCTTTTGACATGTAATATTTTCTTATTTCTATTGTGTTGGGCAGAATGAAAAATGGGTCTCGATATATTTTGTCCCTTTAATTGTAGCCTAATTTATTAATGCCCCCTGGGCTTCCCCTATATTATTGGTGGCAGTTTCTCTTTTTAGTAAGTCATTATGCAGATCTTTGGGGATGACTGTCAAAATGCTTAATAAAAACTTGATAGCTAAGCTAACTTTTGATTTGGGGCTTTGAATAGGCATCCGATGCCCCTGCAATCTCACTCCTAGATATCTGACCAAGTGGAAAACTTATTTTCACACAAAAGCCTGTCTGTAAATGTTGATAGCGGCTATATTTGTGATTGCCAGACACAAGGGGCACAGGGGAAATTTGGAGGTGATAGAACTGTTGCGTATCTGCATTACTGTGGTGGTTACATGATCACAGATGTTTCAAAACTCACAGAACTGTACACTAAAGGGTGAATTTTCCTGTATGTAATTTATACCTCAATTTAAAAATGTGAAAAAATACTGCTAAAAAAGTTTATTTGAAGTATTTTTTATACCTAATACTATGGGCACTTTGGGATAAAATAGAAATACGCTATAGAAATACGACATTGTTCACAAGGGCCTTTTAAGGAGATTGAAATTTAGGATTTCTAAAAAGATGTTATGAGGACATACGGATTATTGGAAGTAGTAGTTACTTCTGTCAGACAACAGAGGAGTTATAAAAAGCAAAAAAAAGAAATGATTTTTAAAGTTATAGCATCTGAGCTTTTTCTTAAAGTTGGTTTAAAGTTTTTGATCTTTAGGCTTGGTGGAGTGGCTCTCAACTATAATCTCAGCACTTTAGGAGGCTGAGGCAGGCAGATTGCATGAGGCCAGGAGTTTGAGACCAGTCTCGTCAACATCGTGTAACTCCATCTCTACAAAATTACAAAAATTAGCTGGGTGTAGTGGTGCATGCCTGTAATCTCAGCTACTAGGGAGGCTGAGGCAGGAGAATTGCTTGAACTCAGTAGGTAGAGGCTGCAGTGAGCCAAATTTGCACCACTGCATTCCAGCCTGGGCAACAGAGCAAGACTGTCACAAAATAAAATTTTTGATCTTTCAGCGTTTGCAGGGCAGTAGAGGGGAGGAGAACCAAGTCATAAAACACGGATCAACTTTATTTTCCTGAAGAAGTATAAGGTAAATATGTATGAGTAGGCTTTTTTTTTTTTTTTTTTGGGTCCCAGCATATCGTAACTACTTTTGACAATCCCTGTTTCTAATAAAATGTATGCAAGCATATCTTTGTATATTTAATTTTTTCTGTGCAATTCAAGGAAGGCAAATGGTTACTATGAACACTAAATCCTGTCGAACTTCCTCACACGCCCGCAACATAGGCAATTGTTTCAAAGGCTGTGGAAGAGACTGCCAGTTGCCTACCAAATATCTATTCTTCCCTTCCTTAGCAACAGTACCCCAGTTCTTTTCAGGAAAGCAATGTCCCTGTAGGAAACATTGGCCAGTTTTCCTTTGAGCCAGATGTGGCTGGTGACTACATAAGTGTTGTGGACTTCCAGGAAGCGGGGCTGGTTTGGTGAGTAGGGGCAGCAGTGGCAGAACTTCCCCAACTCCCACCTCCTGGTGCCTGGAATGCAGCTGTGATGGCTGGAACTCCCTGGAACTCCAGCCTAGGTCTTTTCTCTTCCTTCCCCTAGCCCCTCAATAGCCTACTAGGAGACAGTTCTCCTTCTCAAAGAGAAAGTGTCTACTTGACAGTTGATGGAACAGTTGTTACTGGTTTCCCTGAAATAGCTCTTCGGTCAATTCCCTTGCCTCACCTCATCTAATAAACATGAAAACTGACCCTTAATAAGCATTTTCCACTTTGCTGGCAGTGTACTAAGTATATTCCATATATTATCTCAAATAAATCTTATCCCAGTGAAGTAAGTTGTGTTATTATCCCCATTTCGGACAAATATAAAGGCTAAGATAGATTAGGCAGCTGGCCCTGCTGCTTGGTCATGCAGCAGGGGAGCTGGGATTTCAGCAGAGGCCTGTTGGCTTCTGGACTGTGCCATTACACTCAGCTGCCTATTCATCTTTACTCAAGTCCCTGTTAATGTAGGTCACTCAGAGGCATTAAAACACCAATTCATGGATTTCTATCGCCCTTTTCTCTGTTCTTATTATTGATATTATACAAATTTTTCTTAGCAAAATTCTTAATTTGACCCCTTGCTGACCATGTGATTTGATTACTAAAACGTTAGTTCTCAGTCCTCTTCCCTGGCAGAAACATCTGAGGGAGTAGGGACAGGACGGGGAAGGGTCAACTCAGTTCCCTTAATTCAGATACTTTCAGCACCCCTCTGGCTTCTGTAAACTGGCTCGTCCTGATGCCCCCTAAAGGATCCTGTCTGCCTAATGTTTTTTCTAGGAAAACTTATCTTACCAATGGCCCTTGCATAATGCCCCTTTTTCCTTTCAGTGGAGTAAAGGCTGGGCCACCTGTAAATGGTTAGTGCACTCAGGGATTAACTTTAATAGTAAAAAGGTCCTAAGCATTCTTAAACAAGTGTTCAGCTTACAAAAATTGTACGACATTACGCTTACGTGACAAGTGTAATACAGTTGTTTGGTTTAGTAAATGCCTAAAGGAGGGTCATTGGAGATGAATTTGTAGCTTCAGTAGGTTCTGGTACCAAGACCAGCCCTCATCTGTATGATGGCAACTGAAGACTTTCAGGATATTGATTACCTTAAGAAGGAATCATTTGTTAATTCACTGACCACACTAGGTCCCACCGACCCAGCCTTCTTGAAACTCCTTTACCTCAGAATTTTACCACGCCATTCTTACATAGTACTATTTATTCGTGTTTTTTTGTTTGTTTGTTTTTCTAGATTGGTTTTGCTTTAACTTGGTCTTAAGCTTCTGGAGGATATAAAATGAGTATAGTGAGTTTGTTTTCACACTACTATAAAGAACTACCTGAGACTGGGTAATTTTTAAAGAAAATAGGTTTAATTGACTCACACTTCAGCATGGGTGGGGAGGCCTCAGAAAACTTAGAATCATGGCAGAAGGTAAAGGGGAAGCAGGGCATGTCTCACATGTGGCAGGAGAGAGAGCATGTGTGAATGAGGTGGGGAGGTGCCACACTTGAAAACCATCAGATCTTGTGAGAAATCACTATCACGAGAACACAAGGGAAATCTGCCCCCATTATCCAGTTACCCCCCACCAGGCCCCTCCTCTGGCGTATGGGGATTACAATTGGAGATGAGACTTGGGAACACAGAGCCAATATCAGTGAGTCTCATCAAATACACGTGTGGGGGAGGAAAAGGGAAGAGGGGAAGGAGGAGGATAGGGACCAATTTAAAAAGCATGGTGTAGCATCCTGCCACTGCCAGCAAGGAGCATATGCCCCCAGGGAATGTCTGGGTCTGGCGTCCTCAGTGGGCCTCAGTACTGTACAGTCATGTACATATGCCACATGCACTGCGCTGCCCCGATGGTGCTCTAAGGAACTGACTATAAGCAAACTTTAGTATCTAGCCCCTAGCATAATATGTGATTTCCCCCGAATTCAATACTTAATACTTGAGTGAGCCTGATTCCCAGGTGAAAACGCTGATGAATGCAGAGGCATAGATTAGGGTATTAGGCAGCTACATCTTAAGAATTTAAGAACAGTGGTACTCATTCAGCTTAAAAAGCTGCTTCTGTGGAATTTGCATGATTTCTCTTTCATGGACATACTCACTGGTGGGCTACAACTGTTGGCATTAAAAATCCAGCACCAAAATCTAGATGAGATGCTTTCATCATCTAAATCTCAAAACACTGAATACGAGATAAAATTACACAAATAAGTCTTTAAAACTTTCTCAGAGAAAAATTATAACAAGGATTTCAAAAGATTCTGAAGGGAAATAAAGGCAAGTATGATACAAAATCCGTCTAATAGTATATAAGTAAAATCCCAAGATATCATATCTATCTATGACATCTCTCTCTCCATATCTACATCTAATTTTAACCAAAAGAAATCTCCTTGGGAATAAGTCTGATTAATGGCTTCTAAAAATGACTGAGGAAATATTTCCTCCTGAATTTCCTTATTCAGTCTTTACTCATTACTCTCAAAATAACACAATAGGAGCCTAAAGAAGCTAAATGACCTATTTCTTCAGAGAATCCATTTCTTAAAGGGAAAATGAAATATTCCCACTTCAGGTGGAATCACATTTATATAACCTGTGCATTTTTTTTGAAGTGTATTGAGTAAAGTGAGCGCTTTTTTGTTTTGGTAAGTTTTTTTTTTCTTTTTTTTTGTAAATGGAATCATTTTAAGTATGCTGAGAGCTTACTATCTTAAAGGAACACTTAAATCCTTTCATAATGAAAATTGAGTATATTAAATGTGTGTGCTTGCATACACGAGCGCACACACACACTTAAGTGACTGTTAGTTCAGTGCCAAAAGACTTACAGAAACAGGGATTTAAGCATACTAGGCATCCAGAAAAGGTTATGGGGATCTACAAAGCGCCTACTTGGGAGAAAATGTTGTGTTTCTTGTGGTAACATAAGTGAATGCATAGAACAAACCGTTTTAGAGCACCGCCAGGCTATTATAGAGGGTTAAGTGCAGGAGTAAATGATTCAGACAAGGACTCCTCACCCTGTGGCCAGGTAGTCACAAGGCGGGGATCCTTTAAAAAGGTAAGCTCTGCAGCACTTTGAGAGGCCGAGGTGGGCAATCTCGAGGTCAGGAGATCCAGACCATACTGGCTAACGTGGTGAAACCTGGTCTCTACTTAAAAATACAAAAAAATTAGCGGGGCCTAGTGGTAGGTACCTGTAGTCCCAGCTGCTCAGGAGGCTGAGGCAGGAGAATGGCGTGAACCCAGGAGGCAGAGCTTGCAGTGAGCCGAGATCGTGCCACTGCACTCCAGCCTGGGTGACAGAGCAAGACTCCATCTCAAAAAAAAAAAAAAAAAAAAAAAAACTGTGATCTTGTAGGTCTAAGGTTGAGTCTGAGGAGCTGTATTTATTATAATAAGCCCCACCTGTTGAGGATGGATGCTGCTGGTCTGAAGACCATACTTTGAGTAGCAAGGGGCCAGTATAGACAATAACAGCCATCGGAGTTCAAAGGAGAGAAATGAATATGGTCTGGCCTTGAGACCTCTCTCAAACCTAACCATGTCTTCTAGTAATACGAATCCTGTCTTAATCTGCTTAGGATACACCTTAAACAAATTAAGTCATGATTTCATACACAGGTATATATCGGATGGAGGGTTTGGTTTCAGACCACTGCAATAAAGCGAGTCACACAAATATTTTGGTTTCCTAGTGCATGTAAAGTCATGTTTATATTGTAGTCTACTAAGTGTGCAATAGCATTATGCCTAACAACATGTAGAAAACTTCTTTATTGTAAAAAAAAAAAAATGCTAGCAATAGTTGAGGCTTCAGCTAAGGTCTTTGGGAAGTGGTTGGTTTCTAGTGAGACTGTACTGTGGAAAGGCAGCCTGTGTAGAGGTTATAAGCACCAGCTTTAGAATCTGACTGCTAGGGTATAAATCCTGTCTCTACCACTTATCAGCCATGTAATCTTGGGCAAGTTACTTGACTTCTCTGGGCTTCAGTGTCATTGATAGATTTTTTTTAATCCTTATGCCAATAGCACATTGTCTTAATTTAGCTTTATATTAAATCAAGATTTAATATAGTGTGAGTCCTCTAAGTTCATTGTTTTTCAAGGTTTTAGTTTTTTAAAAAACCTATTCTAGGACCCTTGTACTTCAATATAAGTGTCTGGATCAGTTTGTCAATTTCTATAAAAAAGCTTGTTGGAATTTCGATTAGGATTGCAATGAAGCAATTTGAGGAGGTTTGGTACCTTAACAATAATTGAGTTTTTCAATCCATAAACATAATATCTCTTCTTGTCTTTAATTTTTCTATGTAGTATTTTATAGTTTATTTATTTATTTATTTTGTCAGATGGAGTCTCGCCCTGTTGCCCAGGCTGGAGTGCAGTGGCACCATCTCGGCTCACTGCAACCTCTGCCTCCCGGGTTCAAGTGCTTCTCCTGCCTCAGCCTCCTGAGTAGCTGGGATTATAGGTGCGCACCACCATGCCTGGCTAATTTATTTGTATCTTTAGTAGAGATGGGGTTTCACCATGTTTGCCAGGCTGGTCTGGAACTCCTGACCTTGTGATCTGCCGGCCTCAGCCCCCTAAAGTGCTGGGATTACAGGCGTGAGCGACCACACCCGGCCATTTTATAGTTTTTAATGTAAAGGAGCTATACATCTTTTTGTTAAACTTAAGATCTTAAGTACCTTATGTTTTTTGATGCTATTATAAGTGGCATTAAAATTGTTTTCCAAAATATTGCTACCGGTACCTACAAATTGATTTTCGTATATGATCTTGTGTCTTGCAAATATTGTTATACTGAATTCTAGTAGGGTTTTTATTGATTAGGATAATAGGATTTTGTAACTGTAGATTAATTAGGATACACAATATCATCTGTGAGTAGACAGTTTTACTACTTATTTTCCAATCTTTATACCTTTTATTTATTCTTGCTTTATTGTACTGCTAGGACCTGCAGGCTAATAATGAATAAAAATAAAAATCCTTGCCTTGGTCTTCATCATAAAGAGAATGCATTCAGTATTTCAGCATTAAATATTTTAGCTTACAGGTGTTTCATAGTTGCCTTTTATTAGATTGGGAATTTCCATTCTATTCTTAATTTGCTGACAGCATTTATCATGAATGGATGTTGGATTTTGTTAACCAGCAAATCTACATCTATTGAGATGATTGTATTTTTTTTCTGCTTTATTCTGCTATATATTCTGCTAGATTTTTTTGAGACGGAGTCTTGTTCTGTCTCCCAGGCTGGAGTGCAGTGGCACCATCTCGGTTCACTGCAACCTCTGCCTCCTGAATTCAAGTGATTCTCTTGCCTCAGCCTACCTAGTAGCTGGGACTACAGGTGTGCACCACCATGCCCAGCTAATTTTTGTATTTTTAGTAGAGAAGGAGTTTTACAATGTTGGCCAGGCTGGTCTCAAACTCCTGACCTCAGGTGATCTGCCTGCCCCAGTCTCTCAAAGTGCTGGGATTACAGGCATGAGCCACCACGCCCAGCCTTTATTACTATTTTTTTTTAAGATGGAGCCTCTGGTGTGTGGTGGCGCGATCTCCGTTCACTGCAACCTCTGACTCCCTGATTCAAGCGATTCTCCTGCCTCAGCCTCCTGAGTAGCTGGGATTACAGGTGCCCACCACCACGCCCAGCTAATTTTTGTATTTTTAGTAGAGACAGGTTTCACCATGTTGGCCAGGATGGTCTCGATCTCCTGACCTCGTGATTCACCCGCCTTGGCCTCCCAAAGTGCTGGGATTAAGGGCGTGAACCATCGTGCCCAGCTGTGCATGGTTGCTTTCATACTAGCATGGCAGAATTTTGTAGTTGCAACAGAGACCATATGACCATCAAAGAGTAAAACGCTTACTATCTGACCCTTTATAGAAGGTTTGCTGACCCCTTATATAATGGAAAAGAAATTGAGATTGGAGAGGTAAAATTAGCTCCAAGTTTTCAGAAGCAGACAAAACTCATTTTGAGTCTTTGCTCAGTTTGTTACTAGATAGAGCTCTCTGACCTTTGCTAGAAATTATTTAAAAGGAAAGTGAATGTGAAAATGTCCAGCAAACTGGTTGGTACACTTTATAAAGAGATTTGGGGTTTCGGCCAGGTGTGGTGGCTCACGCCTGTAATCTGAGCAATTTGAGAGGCTTGAGGCAGGTGGATCATGAGGTCAGGAGATTGAGACCATCCTGGCCAACATGGTGAAACCCCGTCTCTACTAAAATTACAAAAATTAGCTGGGTGTGGTGGCACACGCCTGTAATCCCAGCTACTCGGGAGGCTGAGGCAGAAGAATCGCTTGAACCCAGGAGGTAGAGGTTGCAGTGAGCCGAGATCACACTACTGCACTCCAGCCTGACATGCCATGCAACCATTTGATTTCTTATTTTGTTTGCTCTGGAGGAGTTGGATTGAATGAGGTCCCTTAAAGGGTCAAATAGCTCAGATGTAGATGTTAAAGGTATCCCCCACTGTTCCATCAGATTGGAAGGTGATCCTCAAATGACGCTTGAATTCAGGAATAAACTTTAGCCACACACACGTACATACACACATATAAATATATGTATATATATTTTGGGGTACCTATTTTCAATATAAGGACTCTTAAGCATCAAACATATCCTAAAATAATCGGTCTTCAGAGACCCCTCCCACACAGATGCTTTTATTTTTCCCAAAACAAGCATGAATTGACTTAGAGGCTGGCTCAAAGATATAACGGCACCCTCCAGCATGGTGAATGCACTCAAGAGGGCATTGTCCCTTACCACAGCTTCCATTCCTTGCACCTGGCTCCAACCCCTAGGACATCAGATACTTGGATGGGTAGATGGATGAACCACCATTCTGGATAGTAATTTTCGTGGTTCCCAAGCAGCTTTTTTACTCTCAGTGGATGAAAACCAATACGGGGGAAGAGAAGGGAGGCAGAGGTGTTACTTACCTCTGTATAATAGACATGTAGGATCCTCAACTCCAGCCCAGGTAGACTCTTATTGGGGATTAAATTTGATCTAACATGTGACGTCTCTGGAACAGGAGCTGGTAAATGGCAGACTCCAATTTCATTAGGGGTCAAGGAGCTAGAATAAAGTTACCCTTCATGTTATCTGTTTCCTTGAATTTTCTTAGCCCTGGACATTAAATTCTGTTCTTTAAAAGTCGCTCATTGAGGCCGGGTGCAGTGGCTCACCTCTGTAATCCCAGCATTTTGGGAGGCTGAGGCGGGCTGATCATGAGGTCAGGAGATTGAGACCATCCTGGCTAATACAGTGAAACCCCGTCTCTACTAAAAATACAAAAAATCAGCCGGGCATGGTGGTGGGCGCCTGTAGTCCCAGATCCTCGGGAGGCTGGGGCAGGAGAGTGAATCCGGGAGGTGGAGCTTGCAGTGAGCCGAGATCTCACCACTGCATTCCAGCCTGGGCTACAGAGCGAGACTCTGTCTCAAAAGAAAAAAAAAAAAAAAGGTTTCTCATTGGAATTGAAAATTTCTTCCTATGACGTGTCTGAGAATATGAAGTAATGAAAAGTGGGCTGGGTCAGCCTTGGCCTGAAGTGATGCTTACATGAATTAACCATCTCTGGAGGGATACTCGTGTCAAAGTAGGAGTTTATTCATGCTTGACTCTCCAGTGTGATGTCTGGGATTGCTTGCGCCAGCTCTGAGGAGGGCGTGCTTGTCTTTCTTTGTGAAATAATAGAATATGGATGAATCCGTTTCCCCATGAAACCATTTCTGTTGAACTAAAATACAAAGGAAAATCGGTGACCTTGAATTAGGCTTGTTTGCAGTGTTATTAGCTTTCAAAGGCCCTTTCATTTCCATTTAATGATTTTCTTCTGAACAAACTATTGTAAGAACCTAATGCAATTTTTCAAAACCAACATCACAAACGTGGTTATTATTTTGTAGCTAATTTGGTTAGAAAACTATGAGGCCCTATGTATTAAAACGTCATGCCATCACTTCTCAGAATGGCACTTTTAAAAACTGGATTTTAGTCTTCTGGATAACGATTTCTTGAACTACTGTTATCAAGAATAAGTGGTATTTTTCATGATCTTTCTTGTCTGGAGAGTTCGTGACAGGAATTTTGTGCATGAAGGATGCCTGTGTTGTTGAATGTGTTCTTGCATCCATCTTGCTCTTACTCAGATGTCTGAAGCTATACATGTCAACTTACTCATTCAACATGTATTTATAAAAGTGTCCATTATAGGCTAGGCACGGTGCTGTTCTGGGGGTCATCAATGGAAAAAACAGACTATAAAATCCCTGCCCTCCTGTAGCTAACATTCTTTTAAAATACTGATGGCAGAATTTTAAAACACTGATGGCAGAATTGGAAAGAATGCCCCCGATACAAGCAAGAATGAAATACAGTTTTTATTTTCTGCATCTAAAAATCACAATAAGTAACTTACCTCGTACTTCTAAGAGTTTGAATTTTTTTAACTTGGTAATAATTTTAGTAGGCAGGGTGCAGTGACTCACGCCTCTAAGCCCAGCACTTTGGGAGGCTGAGGCGGGCAGATCGCTTGAGCCCAGGAGTTTGAGACAAGCCTGGTCAACATGGTCAAACCCCATCTCTACAAAAAAATAAAAAAATTAGCCAGACATAGTGGCATGTGCCTATGGTCCCAGCTACTCGAGAGGCTGAGATGGGAGGATCACTGAGCCCTGGGAAGGTCGAGGCTGTCATCATGCCACTGCACTTCAGCCTGGGCAACAGAGTGAGACCCTGTCTCATACTACTACTACTACTACTACTACTACTACTACTACTACTACTACTACTGCTACTACTACTACTACCAATAATAATAATAATTTAGTTGCTCTGATAAAAGGCCATGTTACTTTACTTATGGCTACTATTTGAGTGCCCACTGTGTCTCACACCCTGTGCTGAGCGTTCCCATTTACCCCATTTGGCAGATGAAAACTACAGCATGTTCTCAACTCAGTAGAGAGACACACTCTTACACATGGAATCTTAAAAAGGTTTTAATTAGTCACTTACACCAAGTTCTGTGATAGTTCCACAGTGACTGAATCCAAACTGCGCAGAATTGAGAGTAGTGGGCAAGAGTCAACGATGGGTTTCCAGTTCTGGGAACTTGGGAGACTGGGGTGAAACAGGTCCCCTCTTTCCTGCCCACTTACTCCTCCAAACACCAACTTGCTGGATGAAATATTACATATGATCCTCATTGAAAGAGAAAAAACTTGGAAAGAGAACAGAAGGGAGAGGAAAAAGATGAAACTGAAGGGGAAGGGAGTTGTTCTTAACCACAAGAGCAAAACAAAAGCCAGAGCTCCGTGTGAGCTGCCATAGTGTGGTGTCTGTAGTTTCTGTATGGCCAGGAAGTGCCCTTGGAAGCAAGTTTCATGAACATAAATGATCAAAGCCAACTAAACTGGTCAATTAGTCAAACTTGGCTTCCTTAGAAAAGAATAGGACCTCAATTTAGCCCTATTTGTCAGCTAGAGGAGTCAATGCAATTGAGGGGTAAGGGGTTGACAGTGGTAATAAATCATTGGGCTTTTTTCTCGGCTGTATCTTTGCCTCATACCTTCGTCAAGCCACCCTAGACCCTCCTCTAGCAGCTCCAAGCCCCTTTTGTTTGTTGTCACTTCTATTTAAGCCTTTGCCTTAGGTACCAATTAGTGAAGTGATTATCTTAAAGTTGCCATTGTCAATGCTTTGGAGAACGCCTTGCATTTTGACCAAGCTGGTGAGGGAATTGTTAAGTTAAAGATGAACTCTGCATGATTAAGGTATCAAAACGGCTTGAAGACTGCCATTTTAATGCACCTTTCACAAGGCTGTGCAACTCTATACTTAAATAAGTGGCCAGTTTTGTTTTTAAGTGACGAGCCACATGGAGAAAATACTTCCAGGATTTCAGTTTTGAAACAATTGAAATTCTCCTCCTCTTAGAGTGTTAGCTCCTGTGTGTGTGAAATACAGCTGGTCACCTCTCCCTGTGGTGCTGACTCTCCACTCACGGACCGGGCACCATCTGAGATGTTTGACAGAACATTCTGAGGAAATGGAAATGATGAAATCACATTGAATTCAACAGTAGAATGATAGGCCATTTAATGCAGCCTTAATCTTGTGGCTCAGTTGGTGTGGTGTAATATTAGGCTTGCATTCTACCTTCCAAATCCCTTGATAGTATAAACTAGCAAATTAAGACTTACCCTGAAAATGACTGTGTGCTACACTACAAGAAAGGTAGAATGCTCCAGGAGCAGTACAGATAGAGGTAGTAACATTTTGCCATCTGGCAAAGCCACTAGACCAGATGGATTCATTAATGACTTCTCTAAAGTATTTAATCAGACATTACTGAAACACATGACTGGCATATTTAATTATCCTAAATTAACAGGACTTCTGCCAGATACAACCCTCAATGCTTGAGTCATACTCCTTGCTTAAAGAGAGGAGGAAAAAAGGATGACTAGCTCCAGAAAGCTGGATTTCACATAGACCTCTCTCATTAGTGAAACTTCTCATTAGCAAATTGTTGTGTTACAGTCTTAGGCAGTATTTCTTCTTTTTCAAAGAATGCACTGTAAGACTAGCCATGCTGATCAAATTCTTTTATCAGTAGCAATTATACTGGTGAGAACCTCTGCGAGTTGATAAATGTGACATAGCCATCAGACAACCCTGCCCACTTCCTGCCTGTGGAAGACTTCTAAACCAACAGATGCCTTCTTGTGTCAGTTAATCAATTTATATTTCTCCAGGATCACTTTTGTTTTAATCTTTGTATTTGTATCAGAACAATGGAGACACAAAATAACAGAAAGCATTATAATGTAAATTTGCCCCTGCTCTAGTCTTTCCTATCTGCAATCTACTTTTCAAAGGAACACTTCTAATTTTCAGGACTGTTCTCTCTGGTGGTTACTTCCACATCTCAAAACAGTATGGTTAATGGCTATTTCTTATTTTCTTTAGACATGTTGACTTCCTTTTAACATACATGAGGATGTAGCTTAGGTATACCATTCTTACATCACTTTTCTTCTCCTCCCTGAGGGTTATTTTATTTTTTATTCCCTTAACGTTTACCTTTGTAGCTTTAGGTTATATTTTCATACCTTTTTATTTTTGGGATTGTCAACTAGAAACAGTATGTCTTGGCTCCTAACATATGTTGAAGGTATTAGTGACTTGAGTATTCCACTGAATGCTCCAGAGTTCTTTCACTCAATGTAATATTTTTGAGATTCATCCATGCTGTGGATGTCACTAGTTCCATTTCTGTTTATGGCTGAGAACAATTCCATTGCATGAATAGATGATAATCTATCCATTCACTTGTTGTACGTGTGACCTATTTCCGATTTCTGGCTCTTTTAAATCTGTGAAGACTTGTATGCAAGTCTTTGTTTAGACATTTCCTTTTGGTTTCCCTTGGATAAATTCTGAAGAGTGGAATTGCTAGATCATAATGGTACGCATATGTTTATAAGCAACTGCCAAAAGACTTTTCAAAGTGATTTATCATTTTACATTTCCTATTAGCAATATATATGCATTCCAGTTGCCCTGTGTCTTTAGCAACACTTGGTATTATCAGTCTTTTTAATTTTAGTTGTCCTTAACATTGTTCAAGTCTTCCAGCATATTTTAAATTAAGTTGTGTTCTTATTAAATTATAAGCATTTTTATATATTCTGGGTAGAACTTTGGTGATTTTGTTGTTTTTTTCTTTTCATTCTCCTAGTCTGTGTTTTGCATTTTCATTTTCCTAATAGTGTCTATCAAAGACCAGAAGTTTTTATTTTTAAAGTCCAATTTCTCCTTTGTGTAATGGTTCATGCTTGTTTGTTCTCTAAGAGACCATTATCTTTCAGAGGTCACAAAGATTTTCTTATATTTTTTTCTATCAATTACTTGGTTTAGCTCTTATACTTTTTGAGTTTTTTTGCATATGGTAAAAGGGAAGAGTAAGGTTCACTTTTTTCCATATGGATACCTAGTTGTTCCAGCACTGTCTGTTGAAAAACAATCCTTTCCCCTGATGAGTTATCTTAACACTTTTGCTGGAAATGAGTTGATCATATAAATGTGGGTCTCTCTATGGATTCAATTCTATACCATTGATTTGTATGTCTATCCTTATAGCAATATTCTGTCTTAATTCCTTTTAATAAAGACTTTAAGCAGAACTTCTACTTTTGTTAACATTTTTTCTGACATATACATGTATGTATATACATATATATGTGTGTATGTATATATACATGTATGTATATATGTCTATATTTTAGATCTTTTCTCCTTAGGGAGGCATCTTCAGATAACTGATCTTGTC
Source organism: Homo sapiens (assembly GCF_000001405.40). NCBI lineage: Eukaryota > Metazoa > Chordata > Mammalia > Primates > Hominidae > Homo > Homo sapiens. The sequence continues at coordinate 54,806,212 of NC_000002.12, forward strand.
CATTCCAAATGGTTTTTACCAGTTTAAATCACAGAGAATAGTCTTATTTTTAAATTCAAGGAGAGTTCACCATAGCTCTCTATGTACATGAGTTGCTCGGACTTAGAATGTCTGTTCCTGGCCGGGCGCGGTGGCTCACACTTGTAATCCCAGCATTTTGGGAGGCTGAGGTCGGTGGATCACCTGAGGTCAGATATTCGAGACCAGCCTGGCCAACAGGGCGAAACCCTGTCTCTACTAAAAATATAGAAAATAGCTGGGCGTGGTAGCACGTGCCTGTAATCCCAACTACTCGGGATGCTGAGGCAGGAGAATCGCTTGAACCTGGGAGGCGGAGGTTGCAGTGAGCTGAGATCACGCCCTTGCACTCCAGCCTGGGCAACAAGAGTGACTCCGTCTCCAAAAAAAAAAAAAAAAAAAAAAAAAAAAAAAAGAATGTCCGTTTCTGGGGGTGAGGGGTAGGTTTCATGTGGGTCTATCACATGGTGGTTAATTAATAACAATACCACCTATATAGTGCTAGGTTTTAAGTGCTACTGTTTTAATCACTGCTTTAGGATTTATTAAGTACTCATAGTACCTACTTTCTTTGAGGTAGGTACTGTTGTTATTCCCATTCTTATGGATGAGAAACTGGGGCACAGAGAGGTTGAGTAATTTGCTGAAGGTGATATATGAGAAACTGTTCTTTGCCAGTAAGTAGAGGAGACAGGTTTCAGTGATGCACTTGTCACGGAACAAACAGCTCTCCAGGAGAAAAAAAACTATGCATACGCATTAATAAACTTATACACTTTACTGACATAAATAATATATAATGCACAACTTACAAATAATAAAGTGTCATACTTTTTATTCCACATGGCCAATCAATTCTGATAGAATGCTTTTATTGATTTTTTTTTTCCTCTTTTTCTAAACTCCTATATCTGTGGTCAGTCTATGGTTGCAGTTTAAGCATGACTTGACAAAATCAAATGAGGAATAAATTCTTGATTACCATCTGGTTCAGCAAAGAAGTTGTTCACATCATTGGCAAATGATTAAAGTTCCAATATGTATATGTTTTACATTTTCCTTATTAATGTAAATAAAGCTATCAGCCAACATTTGTGTTGGAACTACACTTGTTGGTCAGTGATGTGAGAGAATATTGAGGACGTTTTCTCAATTTTATATATTCACAATGTAACAGCTACAGAGTGACACGCTTTTATGTTTATTCTGCATTATCAACATTTTATCCTATCTCTTAAGTCTAGACAATCAACAAAACAATAAATTAAGCCCTGATTTGTAGCACTTAGTGATTTCCATGATGTAAATATACCCACTATGGCTGACTTCAAGCCACCAATGTGACATCATTGAAAATGGAGTTGGGAAGAGGTGTGGAGTAACACACCATCTATGGTATTTCTACCATATGGATAGGATAGCAATAAATAACCTCACAACTATAGACAACAGTGAAATGTAGTAAAATAATTACCAAGTGACGAGCTTTCAGTATGTATTACCTTTGCTTTTAATATAATTTATGTAATTGTAAATCAATATAATACCTAACAGTGGCTGTGATTAACTGGTTTACAAAGTTGCTAAAACTTAATCAGTTTTTGGTGGCCAGTCTAAGCTGGCTCCAATCATGCCACTGTATGGCTGTATTTTTAACCATTCTTTTATACGAAGGTATTGCTGGAATATAGTTTCATACCAGTAAGTATAGCATACAGTTATGGCAAGGTATTAAGTTTATTTTACTAAATCACATTCTCATTAGATGCACCACTCATCAAGCTTGTTAAAGTCCAGTTTTAGGGACCCCCCCTGCTTAACTATGGATTATACGGGTTCTGTGGGGTTCACACAATTCAGGAAAATGGCAATGAATTTTGCTGTTTTGTCCATGTTGCTGTCATTCCTGTTTGTGCTGCCCAAGCCCACCAGGAAGGCAGGGCCCTCTCTGTGGTGTCAAGATCACAGTTGTGGTGGGGTACTGAAGTGCTAAGCGCATCTCTTGGGACCAGGACTGGAACACAGCCATCCCCATCTGAGGTTCCACTACCTCCAGGCCACTGTTCAAATCAGGCCTGCCTTTGCCTTTTCTGCCTTGCAGATGAACATCCACTGAGGTTGGGTCACTCCCCCTTCAATCCCCAAAGCAGCAACCTCCCCTTCTGTCGTCAGACAATGCAACCTAATTTTGATGTGCCTCTGCCTCTGACATGGAAAAGCTGCTCTCAAGGTTATCTTCAGGGCAGGGAGGGAGAAGGCTTTCATGCTTTCCTGGTGAGACTTTTTTTTTTTCCAAAAACAAAACAAAAACAAAAAAAACTAAACATATAAATTATTACTGAGAGAATCACTGAAGCAGCCTGGGCAAAAATGAAATGAGGCTTAAGAATTGTGAACATTTTTTAAATGCTGCACTTGGAACAAGTGCTCATAAAATTTTTTGCCTCAAGGAATCAAGAATGATTAATATTGATGAGTGTTTTGTTGTTGTTGTTAAACTTCATAAGCAAGGCTGTTTCCTTCCATGACCCTTTTGATTCTCATCTTTTCTTTTTCACAAGATGTTTGGAAATCTTCGTGATCTTATCTGACATCAGGAAGACATGCTTTTCCCTCCTGGCATGCTAGAGAAACAAATCAATTTCTTCTCCCAGATAGGTTGATGAAAGTCCTTCTCTGCAGTGCTTTCTATTGCTATGGTAACAGAAGATGGGATTTCCCAACAGAACTAGGTTTATATATTAAAAAACAGTTCTTTCAAAACTTGATCCTTTTTTTGTTGCCATATATAAAATACAATAAATGGAATAAACTGAGTACCAAAGGAAAAACAGTCACACCAAAACTTTTTATGTAGGTGTGGAATGAGACTTTCATTGTCTTGAGACTCGCAATGAAAGGGAGTCAACTGTAAAAGTTTTAATATTGTGACAGTGCTGTCGTAGCTAAAATAACTTGCAAAAGTTGCAAGTCTTCTTAGAAAAGCAAAGAATTAAATATATGGACTCTCAATAGGCAGATAGACTTAAAATAGAGATAAGTAGTGTCCATACTTCCAGTCATAACATGGTAAAGAAGATGACAAGAAGCCCAAGGTAGAATAAGCATTTTGTGTGATGGTGGCACTCTCCGCTTCTGTGACTTGCGCTATGGGAGGACACAATAGTTGGCCATTTCTCATGAGATCTTATCAAAAGCCCAGGGATTCAGGGGACAGGGTTCTTTGCATCACAGTCCCTCAATTATATGCAAAGACCTGACCTTTTAATCTGCTGGTTGACTAACAGCATGGCTGGAGGGTGACTTCTGAGGCTCAGAGCACTCAGAAAGGAGCAGAGAGCAATTGTGAGGTAGGTAGAAAAGGATGGACTTGGTTTCATTTGGGGAAAATTCAAACATAATACTTCCCTGTCATTTAAAATGCTTCTGAACTAAAATTCCAAAGATGTGTGGAATTTTATTTATTAAATAAATACTTATTAAATAAATCTGTAACTCCACCATTATTGATACCTTCTATTCTCTTGCAAATCTAGTGAGTAAAGTTCGTGAGCTTTTCTCCTTTTTTGAGGCTTAACGTGCTTTTGAAATGACATGACAAATTTAAAATAGAAGTAAATGCCATTTGGCTGTGCCCTGGATGAGACATGGATGCCATTTGGCTGTGCCCTGGATGATACATGTCACTGCTGAAAGGGGTGGAGTTTCTGGGAAGCCTGATGGGAAAGGTAACAAATAGTAAAGTGAATAAAGGTGGTTCTCTGTTCTTGCTATTCTTGACATGGACATAGATAAATGGTAACATTATGAGTCACTCTAAGCAATCATGTTACATCAAGCCAGAGAGGTGATGTCACAGACTCTGGCTCATGAAAGGAGAAAAAGCTCATTTTCTTAATGTACCCAAATGGCAAAGGAGGACTGGAGAAAGGGCTGTAAAGAGATGATTTAACAAACAGTGTGAAGGAACTTCTGGCAAGAAAAAAAAATTGCAATGTGAACTTTTTAGTAAATGTGGTAAATTTATGGGCTTCAATATGAATGAGAAGAACAATAACCAGCATAAAAATACTTTAAATCCAAAATGTGAGGTGTTTTGGGGTAGCACTGCTTATTGAGTAACTAAGGCTCGTAAGTTATTTGAAGACTTGTTGAAATCTGTTTATTCCATTCCCCCCAACCCCGTCATTCAAAGAACTGCAATAAATCAGGAATTATGGAATTAGAACAACTGCTCGGAGCAGTGATTTATTATTTGCTTCTGGATGCTTCAGAATCTCAAGAATCTAACAAGTATCTCAAGGATTTTAAAATAGAAGCTGTGATCACAGCAAAATAGTATAATTTATATCTCTTGAAAGTGTTTCTGGCCTTCCAGGGGAAATATGCTCATTCTTCATTTTCTAGTCCCTGGGTAGAACCTCTTGCCTATTGCAGGGGGAGAGGCAATATGGCAGCCAAGATGGTTGGCAGCATTCACTCCCTCTTCAAGTATTTTGTTAATGCCTACTCTGCTGTATGATGTTCCAGGAACTGTTTAGAGTGATGGAAGACAGCCCCTGCCCTCACGGAGCATACAATCTAGTCAATCCTCTTCTTCCTAGCCTTTAGGACTCCAGATGTGATGCTAACCTGAGCAGTCTCCTTGGTTTCCCCACTAAAAATTGGATAGTTAGGCCATCTTTTCCCAGGATCAGGCTCATAGGCTTCAAACTTTACTGTAGCCAGGCTCTGTGAGTTACAAACCTTGTTGCCCGCACAAAATCTTCTGTCAACTTTAATGTGCCCAAGCTTGTCCTTGAGTCTCAAACATACTAAGCATTTCCCCCTCTGTTCTCACCCCCAGTAGCTCTTGACTCTTCTTTATCCCCTCTACCCATGTCTTCCCTCCCTGTCTCTCCCTGGTCCCTAACTGACCACCTTGCCTCTCCTAACACCCCTCACAGATCTGTCCTTACCCCTGCATTTCATCACTGCTAGGATTACCTTCCTAAATTATGGAACTGTTTATGCTGTGTCCTGCTGAAAATAGTCAGTGGTACCCTAATTTCCTGGCCTGGCTAAGGCAGCTTTCAAGAGCTGCCCCTGCCTGCCTGACCCATCTCATTTTCTGCCATTCTCTGTAAGACTGAAACTGTGGAGGACATTGTCTTTTCACGTGAATCCCCTTTGCACCTTGTCTTTCATATGAACTCGTGTCTTCCCTAATGTCCTGGGCAGCTGGTCACTCCATCCTCCATCTTTCTCCATCCTCCATCTTTCTGTGTTACTGTGTATGTATATTGACATATCGTGATTATTTCTTTACATGTCTCTTTCCTCTGAAAGTGGGCTCCTTCAAAGATAGCAGTGTGATTTCTGTTTATATGTCTATGGTACTGTCCCTGACATATCATAGGTCCACAAGGGCCTGTTGAATAAGTGAATGAGCTAAAATATACTGGTTTATCAACAGGGTTTTCAAACTGCTTCCATCCACTCAGCTTAATGAGCAAACATGGCATGCCATAATCTTGCAGTTTTCTGGGACATCTAGGTACTTTGAAATACCAGGTGTGTCTCAACAAAATTGAGATTGGGAGGGTCCTTTCTTATTGATAATCTCTCACCAACTGAATGCTGAAGTGTTCTACAACCTTAAAAAGTTAAAAGCTTATAGCATTCACCTGTTGTGAAAAGCAACCCTTCTATATGGGCTATCTTTTTGTATTACTTGCTTATGAAGATTCCTGAAGATATATTTTCCAGCAAGCACTTTTCAGATGTCCAACATGGATTTAAAGTACATATGTTGTTTTTGGAAGCCATATTATATTCACACAGGCATGTTTATGTTGGTTATAGATATATAATGCTGATTACACAAAAGACAAAATTTGTATTCAGTGTTCGCTCTGTACCGGGCACTCTGCTAAGTACTCTAGATTGACTATATCATCTATTTTCTGTATTATCTGTATTTTTAGATGAGGAAACTGAGGCAAAAGATGAAGTAATTTGTCCAAAGAACCAGAGATACTAAGGGCAGCCAACATGCAAATCCAGTGTCTGATATCAGAACATATACTCTCATTAACACCATGCCAAACACTGAAAAAAAAAAAAAGTCTACTTCCATTTACTGTGTTAAGCAGATACTGAAAATTGGAATGGGAAAATTTGTATTTGTTGATTGTATAAGCAGAAGTTTACACAATGAGCTAGTTTGCTATATAGGTAATGTGCTCTTGATTCCCAACGTCTGTTTTTTAGAAAGACACAACGCCTATACACAATGAATTTAAAACATTAGGGTGATTTTTTTTTTTTAATCTAGGAAAAATACTTCTCAACGGCTACTGACTCCTTAAAATACCAGTTGGTATTTGACGAAGTTTCATTTTTATCGAACTACAGAGAAAAATTGCTATACAAACCACAATTGTAATTTGTAGTTCTTTGGTGTCACAGTGATCTATGTAAAATGGAAACTTTAACTTAAAATTTGTAATCTATAGCAACAGACACAGAAACAGCACATGACTCTGGGACCCATTCATGCTTTGAAATCCTAATGAGGATAGTATCTAGTGCTTCTGCAAGTATGTTTAATTCCAAGAAGAGAACCTTCCCCTAGTAACAACATTTAAAAAAAAATTAAAGTCAAAAGCTAACTTGAAAACAAGTAATATTTTGAATATCAATAATTAAATTTCACAACATAAAGCAATTATAAAACTATACAGACGATTTTAAATTGAATAATTACAATCACAACAGCACCTAATTTTCAAGGTAACCAATGGGTAAGACCAAATGAGATTGTCAGACTGTGCTAAGCCTCTCTGCTAAAGTGAACATTTCAATTAGTCAAATCAAGTAATTAATTACTTTGGGGACAGTTCAGACTCTTTCTCTTGAGATCACCTTGTTAGATAATTTAAATGAGAAACAGATTTGGATAAAAGGTGATCAGTGTTTTCTTCAGTTGGAAGATGTGAAAAGAAACCTTTTCTCTTTCAGCCTTGCCTTACACCCAGACAAAACTCTCGTTGCAACTGGCCAAGTCGGGAAGGAGCCATATATATGCATATGGGATTCCTATAATGTCCAGACTGTGTCTCTTCTTAAAGATGTCCATACACATGGAGTTGCCTGCCTGGCTTTTGACTCAGATGGACAGGTGTGTATCTTTTTTTAGTTGTTTTATTTAATGACTTCTCACAACTCACTTAAAACTATAATAGGAATAGCCAGTAGATTCAAAGTCCATCAACCCTTGCTGGTTCTTCTGGCACAGCCTCCTAGAATTTTTCACCTGTTTTTTCCCCTTTAAAGCTATGGCACTAACACCAAACTCTGGACAGGCCTTGGTTTTTGTTCCCCTAGTCCCACCATCTGGTTAAAAAGCATCCATAAAAGAAGTCATGAATTCATGGTGATCAGGTTCACCATAGCCCAGTAATTCTACTTTGTTGTCTGTTGTTAGCTTCCTATTTGGAGTAAGGGCTAGACCAAGCCTTATTCATAGACGTCAAGCCCTGAGCATGTCTGTAGTACCTCTTGCTTTCAAAAGATGACATCACCTCCTAATAATCCACTGAGAAGATTATCCTTGACTCTTTACCCCTTGATGTCACTTTTAGCTGCTTCTACCTGTCCTCTCCCAATTCAGTCTATCATCAATTCCTGGGTATTCATGTTTCTTTACAGTAACTGACATCCTCTCCTTTCCATTCTTCCTGCCACTGTCCTTTAAGTGCTAATAAGTCAGTGTCATGTCTGACTTAGTTGAATCTCTTAGTCTCCTCACAGGCAATTTCTTGCTAATGCATTTCATCAACTGAAAACGGTGTGAAAGCATTGTTTAAAACCAATAAGAGCTTGGAGTACTCAATGAATAAAGTCCACACTTTGTAGGTGGGCATTCTATTTTAGCCAACTTTTCTAGACTTTTATCCGTTGTGCCCTCATAGTCGAATTGGACAAATCTGCAAGACTCCTATAGCAGACCTTGCATGTTTGTACCTCTGGGCCCTGCCTCAGTCTGTCCTGTCCACCTGAAGTGTCCTGCTCACCCTTTTGCCCATTGAAGTGATTCAGTCTCCAAAGGTTTTCACAAAGCCTTGCCAATCCCTCCCAACAACATTTTCTCTTCTTCCTTTGACTTACAGCAACACTGGGCAGAAAAGATAGGTTGATACGTTCTAGAAAAGAAAGTAAAAACGGAGGGGTCATTCCTGGCTCCGGCTGCATTCATCTCCTCCCTAAGGCGGGGCCTCTTCTCCTCATCTCCCCAACCGCCTCCGTTTCCTGTGCCACCCTTCCTCTGTCTCTCTCACCCTGCGTGTTTCTGCCTGTTAATTCCTTCAATCTAATTTTTGACAAGTTTCAGAGTTAATTCTGTAAGTTGGTGCCATGCAAAGATCTGTGAAATTATTCATAGAGGCTTAACTGAAAGTCTGTGGGAAATTCAGTGGATTATAGGAGTTGACCTGGGTTGAGTCACTTTTGAAAAACAATTAGCATTTACTTGCTGTTTTCTGCTATTTTAAGAGAGCATCGATCACTAGTCATTTTTCTTTCTAGAACTAGATTTATTACATATGTAGACCCCTGGAATATATGTTCTTTATTTTACTCCTTTGTAATCTCATCCAGTTAGTCAGTTTAATGCATGCATTCCCTTTTATGGCTACATAAAGAGATAATAGCTGGATGCTAGTATTTGTTCAGGCTTGCAGTTATATTGACTTCCTGAATAAACTGAAGTGAATCAGAATCCATACACATGTACAAGTATAAATGTATGCTTATGTCTGTACTGGTATGCACCTTCTCTAATCGGATTTTGTTATTCAAGCAAGCATTCTTTATCAATTTGTTCTGAAGTGTCACAAGAAAATGTAATGCAGCAGAGGAAAATCCAGCTTTAAAAATCCAGCTTTAACTTCATTTTTGTCCATGTTAATTTATGTTAGAATCCTAGCTATTCTCCTTTAGGTTTCATTTTGAAGGATGGTGGGTGGGGGTGGATTGCATGGTACTTAACTGTCAGGTGAGAGAAATAACCTCTTGTATGTTAGCCATGGTGGATTTCCTGGCTTGTTGATGGCTATTTCTTCAGGTCCTCCTTACTCCCTGGACAGAGTTCACTGGAATCGAATGATATTTAGAAATGACAAATGGTCCATCACCTCACAATAGACAAAAGGCAATAAAAATGCTTTTCAGGTAGCTATGGGAACTGTCACTACAGATGAACAAAATAGGTTTCTTTCAGCTTTTTCTCCATCAGGAAATGTGGGTTTTACTTCAGTGCCCCTATTTGTGTTCACTGCTTTTTTTCTCTTGAATAAGCTGAATGGAATTCACCCATTCAGATTTTCTTATGAATAAAAATACAACCACATCTTGTTTCCATTGCTGAAACCCTCAGTTAAAAAATTATAGCAAAGAAATTTCTTAAGGACACATTAAAAAACCCTCAACGATGTGTGTTATATTAAAAATTCCTAATGGAAGCCATCTTTAGTGAAGAAAGCTGAAGAATCCCTGCATAACAGCACATGTATACATTTAACCATATGTGGCTGTCTGTTTCATCCACACTGTGAGTGTGCATATACACAGACACACTCTCGAATGTACTCAGTACTCACACACTCTTACACTTGGGGAATACCATATTTTTAAAACCCCTTTAATTTACATACTTCACTTGACCCATACAACAATCCAATAATGCAGAAGGAATGATTATTTTTTATACCCATTGTACAAATGAGAAAAGTGAGATTTAAGGAGGTTAATTTTGCAAGGTGTTATGTCTGGCTACTTAAAAGCAAAAAGAAAAGCCAAATCTACTTATAGTTCAGATTTCTTACATAATACTTTCTCCTTATAAGTGATATCCTGCAAGAAACTCTGATTTTGGTATGACTGTTGCCTGTTTTTCACACTTTTGGTTTTGTATATAATCATGTGGGTTGCATTTTATTCTTACTTTAAGGACAGGTTCTGACCTGAACCCAGGGAATTTAGGCTGGGAGGTGAAGTACCAGATTACTTCTACTTAGATTATATTATCTTGTAGTCACCTTAAATGTTTGTGAAATTATAGAAAACTAAAAATTAATGTTCATTTATTCTATTCGTCAAACCCTTAAATTTTAGCAGTTGGAAGCTTTTAGACTATAGAATTCTGGGTTCTATTAAATCTCACATTAAGATTTTACCTAAAAATTTTAAGTTAAAAATTCCAAATGCTGCTATCAAGTTCTGTTTCTGTAGTTTCTATTGACGTTTCAGAGATCTCCTGAGAGTTTATATGTATGTTTCTTACACTTAAAAAGGATAAAGGAGCTGTAGCTCTTAGGTTCTTGAAATTTCAGCATATACTAATGGAAGTCATCATCTATTGTGTTATTTTTAGTTTGGGGTTTAAGATGGGTTTTGAGAAATCGGTTTGTTATAAGAAATTCAATGCCTAACCCATAGTAAATAGTAACTATTTCTTAACGTGTCAGTAAGTCTTCCCATCACTTTTAGGTACTAAATTATTGTTCTTATTCTTAGCGTTTAGCCTCTGTGGGGTTGGATGCCAAAAACACAGTCTGCATTTGGGACTGGAGGAAGGGAAAACTTCTGGCGTCAGCCACCGGCCATTCTGACAGGGTAAGAACTTGTTGGATCAAGCTATGCAGATTTCAGAACTTGGGGGGACTTGTGATATCGCGTCTCAGACTTCTAATGTTTTTAACAGTAAATATTTCAGTATACATTTTTTCCTATTAAACTTATAATCATCCTCTTTTTTCATGATTAATAGCTAACTGTGTTAATGTGCTTCTGGTGATCAAGTACTTTATATGAATTGTTAGTGCTTTTCATAGGCAAAGCAAATTTTTGATGCTGGCATTTTACTTTATGAAATCAAAATGGAATTGAATTTGAAATTATGTGTAGTTTAGATGTATTCATTTAGAAATGGAAATAGTTGTTAGAAAATAGTCACAAAATATGATTACAAGGGTATGCATTTTAATTTTGAATGAGTGTAATGACAACTTCGTGATTCTTTGTTGTATTTGAGAACATAGAATGTGACCTGCTTACTCCTGTTGAAGTCAGTGTGATCAAAAATGATAATTCCATGTAGTCTTAGGGGATGAAGGGGGTATATACATATAACTGGTCAGAAATCTAATTTGCCAGTGTCTTGCATAATTAAAATAATTTGACTCCTTTATTATCTTGGTTTCTCTAAACAATGAATTTGCATGACTGTCTTACTTGAATTCCTAGTTGTTTTGTATTTCTGCACAATATAAGTGTTAATGTAGAATAGGCATTTCCAGTCTTTTGGCTTCCCTGGGCCACATTGGAAGAATTGTCTTGGGCCACACATAAACACCAACACTAATGATAGCTGATGAGCTAAAAATAAAATAATCTCATAATATCTTAAGAACGTTTACAAATTTGTGTTGGGCCGCATTCACAGCCATCCTGGGCTGTGGGTTGGACAAGCTTCATGTAGAATGAGGCTCTAATTAAACATGAAATTCACTGTCTCTTGCTTAGAAGGAACTCTTAAAAAAAAAAAAGTATGAATGGCACATTGATCTATGGAGGTTTGTAGTTGTAAGGAGACCCCACAGATGTTGCAAATTCTACTCCAGGATCAAGTCTTCAGAAAGCTCAGGAGTGACCAACAATAGAACCTCAGTACTGGAAGAGGCCTGGTACCCCTCTCGTCCAGTAGTTCCCAATCCTGGCTACAGATAGAATCCTCTGGGGAGACTTCACGGCATATATATACACTCATACATAATATTTTATCTGAGTTACTCTGCATTTACTGCTTCTATTTCTGAGTCATTTTATATAGTCTGACCTGAACTAGTATACTGTCTGTCAGAATTTTGGGCCTTATCACCTTGGAAAAAGTAGAAAACTAAAGTTACAAACAGTTTAAACCAGTAAAATCTCCTTACTTAGAAAAATAGCCTAATGTAATCACTTTGGCTTGTATAGAAAGAGCTTTTATTGTTAAATTATTACTGTTAAACTAAATTTGGCCTCAGCTGCCCTCCATATGGTAAGTCTCTACAAAATCAACTGCAACCTAGCTTGCTAAGTGACCAAACTGAAAATTTAGGGGTATACTTCCGTAACAAATAGCTGAGTGGCAGCCAGCTTCAGCCAATGGCAGGCTGCCATCTATTCAGACCATGCCCAAATAAAGCAAATTCGGTGCTGAAACTAGGAAAGCTGTTCCTGTACCTCAGTTCATTTTCCCCAGGATACATATGCCTGCCCAGTTGCAGAGCAGAGCTCTCTGAACCTCTTCTGGTTCTGAGGGCTGCCCAATTTGCAAACAGTTGTTTGCTCAATTCAACTCTGTTAAAACTTTAGATAAATTGAACACCTCTGGATATCATGTGACTTGCCTGTATGTTTCAGTGACTGTGCATGTGCTATTGCTGTGCTACCGCTTGCCAGTAAGGGTGAAATGTAAAAAGTATAATAGGACTATAGTGATGAGTCTGTAATCTTAGGATGTTTTAATGAAATGCTTTATTTGGAACACTGTTCTCCCAGACCCCATAATCTGTGTCACACATAATTTTGCTCTTTATTACTGATACCAGTATGAATTATTGACTGCTTATGATTAACTTCAAGATTATCCTCAAGATTATTTTAGTGGCACTAAAATACTTAATCCATTACATTTATATAATGAATGTTTTATACCCTGCAAAATGACTTTATATACCTTATCTTCATTGACCTTAACAAAACTTGAGGTGGTATTATCCACGTAGAGAAGATGAGGTTAAGGTTAGAGATGCTCAGACTTGCCTGAGCTTGAATGGCTGAAATGGATACTTGGACCAAGTACTTTTTCTTCAGTGATCTTTCTGGGGACCATAATTGCTCCTTTATATGTGATGAAAAGTTAGTGGTCTAGGTTATTTCTCTGGTCTAGACTTTGTCCCTGACAAGTAGTCCTTCCCTTTCTATCAGTGTGTCATGGAATGCGTTCCATGGATCTACCTCCATCAGAATCTCCTGGAGTCTCTTTAAAGTGTTGGGTATCTGGGCCCAATTCCAGACCCACTAAATGAGAGCATCTCAGATGGGCCCTGGAAATACCTGTTTTAAGCAATTGCTATGGGCAATTTGATTCTCAGGATTGACCTTTTCCTTCTTGTCTCTGGATTGGAAATAGAACTACGTGCAAACTGTCTGGTAGCTCTTGTTAAAGAATGACAAATAGGCCGGGCACGGTGGCTCATGCCTGTAATCCCAGCACTTTGAGAGGCCAAGGCAGGTGGATCACGAGGTCACAAGATTGAGACCAGCCTGACCAACATGGTGAAACCCCGTCTCTACTAAAAATAGAAAAATTAACTGGGCGTGGTGGCACGCGCCTGTAGTCCCAGCTACTCGGGAGGCTGAGGCAGGAGAATTGCTTGAACCTGGGAAGCGGAGTTGCAGTGAGCCGAGATCACGCCACTGCACTCCAGCCTGGTGACGGAGCGAGACTGTCTCAGAAAAAAAAAAAAAAAAAGACAAATAGTAGTTGCAGATATATTTTCAGTTCATTGGATAATTGAAAATACAATAGTATGTTGGGTCAGATTAAAATGATAGCCTGAGGGACTATTTAAGTTAGTGACAGATAAATCCCTCTGCCTTACGTTTAGGAATATTAACTTCTGTGATTACTAGAGACTGTTGGCCGCATTAAATTGTAGTTAACTATTGAATGTTTTCCTAGCTAAGAAGCATTTTATAATTCTTTAAATTTCTATTGAAAAGCTATCTCCAAAGTGTTAGCACTGTGGAGTGCTATTGAAAAATTTGATCAAAAATTTATCCTAAATTGTCCATTTGTTTATCTCAAATGGACAAAATTAAAAATATGACACCAGTTTGTTCTAAATAATTATGGTAAGTTCTCTCTCTACTCAGGCCTTAAGGTAAGTAGATATGAGGTGATAACGTGTGTGTTAGTTCCTGACTCATTCCAAGCCAAATCTTCCATTTTTATTCTGTGCAGGTAACATTGTGTTCTAAATGTTATAGTAGAGTCTTGGCAATTGGACTAGTATTGGGAAAAGGCAAAAATATACCAAATGATCAACATGGCAACTTTTAATGTTTTGAACAGATTTTTGATATTTCCTGGGATCCATATCAGCCAAACAGAGTGGTTAGCTGTGGAGTAAAACACATAAAGGTAAAGCTTTTTGTTTTTTAATTTTGGTACCTTGAGTGCAAATAATTTTAGGTGTTTGTATAGATAATTTGATGTTGAGAGACTGCTAGACTTTACATTTTTTTTCTTCAATATAGAGCCCTCTTACCTGTTTCTCTGCTCCTGAAGCAAACTAACATCAGCTGATGGGGCTCTCTCTTAGAAATGCAAAGTAATGACAATCAAGTGAAGTGCTCCGCAGGCAGCTGAAAAGGAAATTTTATGTTAATTAAATATCGAACTGAAGACTCATAATACTTGTGGGATTGCATGTTTTAAAACAGTGCTTATTTTAATGTTGTGAAGTAAGTTTTTCCATTATAATGAATATTTACATATTTGCATGTCAACACTTTGACATGTTATGTTCCCTTAAAAGAAAGGTGTCAAGTTGTGCTCTACATGGAAATAGAGGAATTCACAGTACAAACCTATCTGGACCATTGGTTTTTAAACGCCCCAATCTTCCTCTAGACTACACTCTCATCTGGGTAGACCTACATTTGCTTCTTACTATTTTGTTCACAAGTAACAAAATTAACTGCATCAACATGCTTTGCTCTGACATAGCAAAAATTTCTCCTGACCCCTGGGATATAGCCCAGGATCTTCTTTCTCTATAGGATCGTAAATAATGTAAGTTAAAGTCCATAAACAAGAGTATAAGGATTACTTTCTTGAATAGAGCATGCATGGATTCTGTACAAAAATGGTACATTTCTGTATGAATGAAGATTTTCCTCTAACCAACCCCTCCTATTTTGCAGTTCTTTTAGTCTAGTTTTTCACGATCCTTCCCATTAGTCTTACTTGGTTAGAAGGGGACAGAGGATAAAATACTCAAATAAGTATAAGAAATATGGAAGACTTACCTAAAGAATGTTACAAAACTCTGCAGAAGAATGTAAAACAATACTTGAACAAATGGAGTGACAATGTTGATTCTGGACACGTCTAAAATTTACAAATGTATCATTTATCTCCAAATTTATATTTGGTAGAAATGCAGTTAAAATCCCTATTACTTTTGTTTTTACCTGACAGAATTTCCCTTTAAATTATCCTAAATTAATCCGGAAGCATTAAATAATGACAATAACTATGAACTTTGGGATAAAGAATCATGAAGAGGATATATGTACCACTATTTACTAAAGCATAATAGAATTTAATTTAAATGATACAAGACTTGGATACAAAGAAATAAAAAAAGCTGAAAAATAGACCTTAATATGTATGACAACTTAGAGTATAATAGCATCTCTAACTGGCAGGCACAAATTTATCAATTTTTTAGAAAAAGTCAATACTTCATACTATACACTAAAACAAAGTCTATATGAATTAAAGAGGTAAGTTTCAAAAACTATAAAATAACTAGAGGAATATATAGGCAAATATTTAACTGCTCAAATTGGAGAAAGATTTTTTTAAAATGTAAAAGCAAAGAAATCGTAAGGAATAATACTGATGCAACTGTAGAAATATTAAAATATTCTGTATAATTCCTTTTTTCCACAAAAAGAGGGAAACCGCAAACTAGCAAAAGTATAAGCAACACACAAAATAGATACTGGGTTGTTCTCAAAATGCAAAGATCTCTTGCAAATCCGTAGAATGGACAAAGAACATAGAAAACTGACAAATAGAAACACTGTTGGCCAATAGACTTATGAAAATGTTAAAATCTAATTAAGGAACACAAATTTTAAAATAACAGCATTTTAAATCTATCAAATTTATGATTGAAAGTACCGTATCTTGGCAAGGATTCAGTGAATGACCACTCTCAAACCTTGCTGGTAGAGAGGGGTAAGCTGATAATGGTCTTTCAGCCAAGAAATTTGGAAATATTTATCCTTAGAAATGTCAATTCTCTTTGATCCAGTAATTTCATATCTTAGAATCTATCCCAAGCAAATTGTTAGAAGTATGAACCAAGAGCTGACTCATTGCTGAGTAACTTATCAATAGCAAATAACCAAATAGAAGATCTGAAATAAACCAAACAGAAGATCTGAAACCACTTAAGTGTCTCTAGGAAGTTGAATAAAATGTTACATCCATATGATGAAACACTGTACAATCATAAGTTATGTTTTAAATGATGATATTGGGAAATATTCAAAATCTATTATATGGGGAAGTTTACAGTTTACTTTGGGGGTTGGGTTATGGTGGGATTAGATTTGTGGCTTTTTTTTCTTTAAAAACATTTTTATGTGGGAAATACATTAGAAGGACTTCTCCAAATGTTAAGCAGTTATCTCTGGGTAATGGGTTGATGGATAATTTTATCCCTTGTATACTTCATTGTAAAATTATTTTACAACAATATATATTCCAAAATAAGAAAAAATTTAAAAATGGAGAACAAAAATTTTAGAGGTTCCACTACTCAAAAGTGTAACATATTCCATCAACACTTTAGGGCTTCATAAACATTTAATAATCCTGTACCAAGCCCTGATGTGTATATTTTTAATCTAGGAAAACATCAGCTGAAATCTAGGTAGTTTGCTTTATTAGCAGCAGCTGGAGGCTCCTTCTGTGCTTGGTACAGCATACCTGAAAGACCAAAAACTCATTCAGTTTAATATTTGAGTTTGTACTAGGTGAAAGAAGAAAAACAGACGCCACTTTCAATTTGCTTGAAGTTTAGCCATTAAAACATTAAGACAGAATGTTTTGGAAGAAAGGTAAAAATCAAAGCCCTCTATCGATAAAGATGACATCCCAGCTGGCTAGAAGCATGTTGTCAGGATGGAGATGCTGCTTAGGCTGAGCCTCAGTGGGTGGGTGAGTTTGGTAGGAAGGGTCGGGAGGCAGAACTAGGCGAGGGGTTGCACTTCTGTCAGGAGTTAAGAGAGGCATTGGTCACCCATGGAAGTGTGAGACTGGGGAGCTGGGTGGGTCCTTGGCTCATGATATGTTCCAAGATTACCAATGTTTTCATCACCAAAGAACCTATTCCATAGTTTTTTTTAGGGAACAAATATTTTGAAAGATGGCGGCCACAAAATAAACTAGCCAATAAATCACGGGTTCCTTAGCAATGTTTTATTAGTCAAAGATGTTATCTGCCAACGTGAGTTTCTGATCAGACTAAAATATGAAAATTGTTTCAGCCATGAGTAAAAAAAACATGTGAGTTCATAATGATCCTGATTTCTGTTAGGCTGTGGTGGGTTTCTGGAAATCTGGGACCCTATCCTGGGAGCCATCATCCATCCTGTACTCAGTGGTGAAGAAACCCAGGACCCTAGGGGGTTAGGTGGGAATCTGACTTTGATTTGTGATTGTTTCCCTCTGCTTGACTCTGGGCAACCATTTAATCTCCCTGAGGCTGAATTAATATTCATTCATTCATTCTCTCTCTCTCTCTCTCTCTCTCTCTTTCTGTCTCTCTCTCTCTCTCTCAGAGAGAGATCACTACCTCCTAAATTAAAGATAATTACATTAAAGAGTATGGAACCCAGTAGGGGCACAATAATGTTAATTTCGTTCCCCATTTCCTAGGGTCACAAAAATGATGGCACAGGTGAGATTTAAGCTCAGCCTCTGACTCCTATAGAGCTCTTTACACTGAGAAATTTCTTTAGTGAACTACCTTGCCTTAACTTTTTATTGGGTTCTAACTAGATTTGCTGCTTAATTGATAGAATTCTCCTGATTCCTTCCTATCTCTTTCTGTCCTTGGTTAACTCTAACTTTTAAATCGGTAAATTCTAAAAGCAGAAAAGCAGAGACAAAATTCTGAAACTTTATTTGAAACAAGAGCTACTTATCCTGTTTAAATTTAATTGTCTTAGCAGACTTGGACATTTTTTCTAAGCAAATACAAGCATTTTTACCTCAAAGAATCTGGAATGTCTACCCAGCAATACTTTATTAATTTTGCTTAGAAATATAATACATTTAAGCGGACTTCAAAAAATTATTTTTGCTGTCTGTATTCTCTATATCCAATTACCAGGATTTCTCCACTTTTTTTTCCCCAGAAAACCTACCTTAACATTGAATGATTCCAGTCATAAATTGAGTGCAAAATCTTTGTACTCAAAGAAAATACTTTCATCTGAAATTTGTATAGCTAGGGTGAAATCCTTTTTGGCTTTGTAAATCCCCTATGTTTTGGCAAATAGGAAAATTGCAATTATCTGAAACGAATGCTTGAAAAACAGTAACAGTTGAGCATCGGCTGCTTCACTGGTTTTATAGCAAATGAGCCTACCGGGTTTGTGGATACTGTTGAGCCGTCTCTAGTCAGAGACAGAAGGGACTTCAGGGACTACCTAGGGCTAGATGAACTCAAGGTACCTGCCAGCTCTAACAAAATTTGCATTACAGTCTGTGGGTAGAGACTGCAGAAGATAAACAAGGTCTCCTCATTTGATGTGAATTTAATGATGTGTTGCTACCCTAAACTGCCACTGTTTTCCAAGTAGGAAATGCTTCTCAAAAAGAGATAATATTTCAGGTATTTGCCATTTTCTGCAGAAAATAACATACATTTTAGGGAATCATTTGACTCTTTGGAATGTTTTCATGTGGGCCTTATACCATCTGACCTGGTGACTTGTCAATAAACTTTTATGTAGATCAAGTCTGAAGATAATGGGTTCTATTTTTTGTGACTGTCTGTCTGGAAATATTCAGATAACTCAGACGGGGGGTGTATATCCAAAGTTAAAGGACAAAATAATTATTTTAATCTTCATGCATGAGGAGGTGTAAAGAGAAAGGGAACTGTCTGCCTTAAGCATTGCTATGAACAGCAAGTTCTTTGGCATGTTGGTGCAACCAGTAATCATTTATGTCTAATAGTTTGTTCAGGTTCATAGTAACAGCTTAAATGTTTTCCAAAGCTTATACCTAACTAGCTTTTTCCTAGATCTCTTTATTCTTTATTAAAAAAAACTTTATTACAGGTGTGTGCTACCACTCCAGGCTAATTATTTTTGTAGAGATGGGGTTTTGCCATGTTGCCCAGGATGGTCTCTAACTCCTGGGCTCAAGTGATCTCTCTGCCTTGGCTTCCCAAAGTGCTGGTATTACAGGCATGAGCCACTGCACCTGGCTGCTTTATTATTTCAACATATACTTCAACACCTTTTCATTAATAATACCCAAAGAAATGAGTTACCAGAGCTGATACCTTTTTCTGAGAAGAGAATCCGATTTGGTCCTTCATTGTGTATCTGCCCTTCATTCTTGCCAAGGCATCCCTCTATTCCTTAACCCCCTGCCACGCACACACATAGGACAGCCCCCCACCCCCAGCTGCCTGAATCCTGGCCACCTTGGGGGTATAGCCATCCCAGAACTGTTTCCTCTAGTACCCAACTACTCTGAGAGGACCATGGTTTTTCCTCTCCTACAGGTGTAAAATAGTACAATGTTACTGATTTACTCCCACATGCCTGCCATGTGGCTTCATCTCATCCTGCTTCTCTGAATCCAGATGCAGTTTCTTCCTCACTGCTGATCCAAGTCCTACTCTTGTTCATTCTGTTTAATTCAACTTAGTTCTCTACCTTTGAATTTCCTGCCACCCGGGCACAGTCTGAATATGCTACCTTAAAATTATCTCATTGTTTCATTTGCCTCTGCATTGATTCAGAGTTGTCAAAGCAAAGACAAAGATTTCAGTATTTTTTCTAACCCCATTGAACCCTTATCTTCAGTGAGCTACTTCTGTTTGCTTTCCCTCCCCTCCAGATGGAGATGACCATCCTGTCTACCTTAGCCTATTAAAGGTTTTGATAGGATCAAATAACTTAGCATATGCAAATAGCCCTTATAACCTGAGGGGGGGCTATATCAAGGGCAGTGAGGTTATTCTAGTTGATACATGAAAACTATGTTAAGGTTTTGAGAGGCCAAGTGGGGCAGATCACCTGAGGTCAGGAGTTTAAGACCAGCCTGGCCAACATGGTGAAACCCCATCTCTACTAAAAATACACAAAACTAGCTGGGTGCGGAGGCACATGCCTGTAGTCCCAGCTACTCAGGAGGCTGAGGCAGGAGAATCGCTTGAACCCAGGAGGCAGAGGTTGCAGTGAGCCAAGATCGGGCCACTGCACTCCACCCTGGGCAGCAGAGTGAGACTCTGTCCCCACCTGCCCCCCCAAAAAAACTATGTCAATACAAAATATTTTGTGTCTGTTTAACCATAGGAGTGTCCTTACTGCCTTGTATAAAATTGCTGAAGCTTTGTGTATGGTCTTCTACACAATGGACACATTTTATGCAACTAAAACTGAAAAGCCGAGTCAATTATTTGGGTATATGGAAATATAACTCATATTTATGAAACGTTTCTAAGTAACATTTCTACAATGAAGATTTATAACACTTAAAGTTAGAAATTATTTCCAAATATATGTACACTAAAAATACCTAGATATAGCCGAGTGCAGTGGCTCACACCTGTAATTCTAGCACTTTGGGAGGCCGAGGAGGGCAGATTACTTGAGGCCAGGAGTTCGAGACCAGCCTGGCCAACATGGAGAAACCCTGTCTCTACTACAAATACAAAAATTAGCTGAGCTTGGTGGTGCACTCCTATAATCTCAGCTACTCAGGAGGCTGATACACAAGAATCACTTGACCCTGGGAGGTAGAGGTTGCAGTGAGCTGAGATGGCGCCATTGCATTCCAGAAGTTACAGACTATCACAATTTTCCTTTTTATACTTATCTGTGTTTCTAAACCTTTCTACAATAAACCTATACTACTTTTATAACTTGATAAAAAACTAAGCAAAACATGATTTGTCCACTTGATTCCAACTCTGAGAACATTATCTTCTATTAAATCACCATTAAACAATGAGCAAAGCTTTGAAATTTTGGAACTTTGAAAGTTTTAAAAGTGTTGTTATAGGCTTTTCTTATGTTCCTGGTAGTTAGCTAAAATGCTTTTGTGTTACATGTTGTTATGTTACAGCAAAGCAAATTAACTTATTTGTGCCTAGCTTGGATAGAGCACATTATGTGAAATGCACTGAAGTATAAATAAACACCAATGCAATACATCCGAATACTCTATCTTGGAGATCTATTTTATCACTTACATTGTAGTTTTGGACACTGTGTGGAAATGCCCTGACTGCAAAAAGAGGGATATTTGGCAAAACAGGGGATCTTCAGACCATCCTTTGCCTTGCATGTGCCAAAGAAGACATCACCTACTCTGGTGCTTTAAATGGTGACATCTATGTCTGGAAAGGGCTCAATTTAGTCCGCACCATTCAAGGAGCACATAGTGTAAGTATTACCTTGTGGAAATCTGTGGGTGACCTACCAAATAAGGTAAGACCACGAATCCCTCCCTGTATGTTTCCCTTCTTGCTTTAGAATCAGAGAACCCTGCTGAACACTCCCTACTCATGATAATTTCCCATATTACATTTGCTCACCTAAAGGAAAATATATTTCAAAAGCATACAATGTAATTAGCCCTCACCTTAACTATTAATTGCTTGATTTATGTCATCCACAGTAGTTTGACAGAACACTAGAACTAGCTCATCAGATTCATCTTATAGGCACTTCTCAAACTTTAATGTGCCCATGAGTTTCTGGGGAATCATGTTAAAATGCAGATTCTGGCTCCATAGGTCTGCGATGAAGTCGCCACAGCTCATCAGTGACCCATAGTTTGAACAGGAAAGGTGTAGATAACGATTGCTCTTGTATTGGTTGGTAAGATAGATTTTCCTCATTCTTTATGTTGAGGTGCCAGGGTGTCACCTCCACACCAGTGTCATGAGCTCTTAAGGTACAATCAGAAACCATTGATAACTACATATCTTCTGATGGTCTGCTCAGTAAGAACAAGGAGAAACTTCTTACCACTCTGCTCTCTTTTTTGACACACATGAAAATGACTACATTGTTGTATCTACAAATGATAAAATTGTCCCTATAAATGGGAAGATGATGTAAAAGGCAAAGCCTATCATAGTGAATGGAAATTGGGTAAAGATGTTATTGGAAATGGTAAGCCTTTAGCTTATTGCCTCCAAATTGATTCCCTATACCCTTAATATGAAGAAAAGTTTAAGCAACTCTTAGAGCTATGACATTTCAGATCTTTCACTATATGTTGCAGGTGAATTTTCTTGGCTTCACTAATTATGAAACAGCTCTTAAAATAATAGGTCAGTATTTGTCCTCATTCACAAAAGCAGCTGTCTTAGTAACCTAATTTCTTTTTATACTGGATCTTATGTCAACATTATATTCTTGCAGCACTTTTGAACAAACCAAATAAAGTATTTTCCTGTGGAGGAGCATCTTGAAATTCCTAAAACTATTTCCCATGTGAAAATCTTCAAACGATGCTTAACAAGCGAACACAAGTGCTATTTACATTTTCATTTAGGTTCAAGTGATACCTTTGTGAGCTCACTGAGGTACATTTTGGGCACTTTTGTGCCTATGAAACTGTTCATGTTCCTAGCCTCTTATCTCTACTTAATTATTTTAGGCAGCAACTTCCATGAAACACCTCCATAGTTGTCTTTTCTCTCTAAGGGCCACTTATCACATAAAATAATTTGATTCCCATATCTGCATTAATTATATTTTTGAATTTTTTTAAACTGTAATCTTTTTAGTAGTGGTAAAAGAGCACTTGAACTAGTTTGCTTTTATTATTATGATTTTTTAAATGTAGCTGAGATGAACAGTGTTATAAATGGCTACTTGGTCTATTGTCAGCATTTCAATAGAGAACAAAGGGGTTTTATTTTTGTTTTTGACTTGCTATGTTTTTAAATCAACATTCAACTGTATCTATTCATTATACTTAGGATGGTTGCACCATTGAGTATTACCTGTTTTAATCAACAGGCTGGAATCTTTAGCATGTATGCTTGTGAAGAAGGCTTTGCCACTGGTGGGCGAGATGGGTGTATACGACTGTGGGACACTGATTTCAAACCAATAACCAAAATTGATCTCAGGGAGACAGAACAAGGATACAAAGGTAATATATGTGTTAAGCTTACCTGTAACTCTGGATGTGAAATATAATGTGAAGTTCTGTATTCATATTTGTTTCTCTGTACCCCATTTTAAAAAGGCAGTTTATATAAATATATTGAATACAAGCAAAAGTATGTTAAAAGTAAATGGATGTCCTTTTTCCTAATTCGCACAAATGCATCTGCATGAACCAGCAATGCTGCAGCCAAAATAAGCATTCTGATGAAGTTGCTGAGGTTTCTTAGGAGATGGGATTGTCAGTGACAAAACTGAGACGTTCTAGACAAGTTGGTTACCATTAAAGTGAATGTACCCAGCCTCTGAAAACAAACAAATGAGAGGAGAAATGAGACAAATTTTGTTTTAAATAGCTTTAAAGTAGTAGATAATTATAGTAGTAGGGATTAAGAGCATGGGCTCAGTCATGTGGGGTGGGTTCAAACTCTTTTTACCTATGAGAGAGTTAAGAAATTGAACGGCAGTCTCAAATTTCGGGGCATCTGTTTCCTCATCTATAAAATGGAGATAATACTAGCACCAGCCTCCCATAGTTGTATGAGGATTAAATATACTTAGAAAATGCTCAGGATGAGGACTAAATATACTTGCAAAGCGCACTTAGCACTCAAACTGTTAGCTATTCTCACCATATATAGAGTGTATATATCAGAATACAATACATCTTTTAAAATTCTCATGGTAGGCCTGTTACCTTTTGGCAGACAAAGAATTTACAGCCGAGAAAGATTAAAGTGGAAAATGTAAATAGGTAAGACAAGAGGAAGTCATAGCACTGTTAATACGCTAAGCACAGGTTGGGAGGTTCTGTTCACTCCCCACAGGTGGGCCACAGACCCTGCGCCAAGGGAGGGGTACATGGTACTGTGAGCCATGGGGGTCCACAGGATGAAAACTTACCCATCGTTGTTGTGAAGGGGAATCTTTTTCAGTGCCGAGATGAGGGAGAAATTTCCTGAGCATCTTTTAGAGAAGACCCTGTGACATAGGGCTCAAAGTCCTCAACAGGCCTGAAACGAGTTGTTTCTCCTGGGCTGTTCCTCATGAAGCCCCCGCTGTGTGACCTGATGGCGATGCTGCCACAGAGGTTGTTCCATAGGCCAGATCATGTGGCAGTGCGCGGTGCTCTCTGCCGGCCTTAGGTAGATTTCAAAGGACTGGGAGAAAACAGCCTAGACGGCATATCCTTCAGGCCATCCTTAAATAGTGTTGTTTGCAGCAAAACTTTGCCAACAGTTGAGCAACAGGGAAATGAGCTGGATATTGTACTTCCTGTTTATACCTGGATGCCAGCTGCTTTATGTATCTGTGAAATACAAAAATGTGCATCTAAGTCAACTAATCCAGGATTGGACTCTTGTCTTCTCACGGAGGCTCAGGATGCTGGTGTGCATACGTTTCTGAATACTAGGCACAGAGTTTGGCATAGGAAGTTGTGGAATTTGGTGTCTACCTCAATGTAGGGACAAGGAGATCGAAGGCCTTAAGTTCTCTGCCATAGAGTGTGGGCCAGGGAAACTTGATCCGGAAAAAACATGCCAAACAGATATAAGCTTGCAAGTACCCGTAAGAGCAATTTTTTTTAAGTACAGTAGCCAAAAATGTTTGGTCCTGAACCATGAAACTTCTTGGTATATCTTTCAAGGTAAACCAGAAACCAAAACATGTACTTAGAGAGCAGAGTCAACTTGCCAGATGGGATTAGTGACCATAAACTGCCTAAACGTTGGGGAGTACCAACCAGGATTCATGACTCTTTTTGGCAGTTACTCCATTTAACTAATCCAAAAATTGTATCACATAATTAAGGCATAAATTTTAAAGCATGGGGATCAGCTAAGAAGCCATTGGTTTACGCTGCTATACTTTTCTGCCCAATACTGAGTCCTTGAGCCTGGCTCTCCTGGGAGAGTTCAGGGACCAGTTCTGAATGAGGATCTGTGTAACCAGGTGTGGTACTGATCACATCAGCCCCACAGCCAACTCCCATCTACAGAGTTAGGACAGTCAGCGACGCCCTCCGTTATACATCAGTCTCAGATTCCCGCCCCATCCTTACCAAGATCAAAGCACATCTGGCTGGTACACGGTGGACACTGGGAACCCGAAACAAGCCTGCACCTCATAGGATGTGCCTGCCCTGTGGTGCCTGGGCTTGGCGTTGACCAGGGATTGGTGTGCATCTTAGATGGCTTACTGATAAGGCGGTAGCCTGCATTTTGTAGGGAGAAACAGATTGTGCTTTTAAAGGATGGTATAGATCATGTTCCAGTTTGAGTCCCAGGGAGTCGGAGAGGGCACAGGGGCTGGGATGGAGCTCCTGGGAGAGTGGAGATGGCACTGCTTAGCATGCAGCCCCACAGTGTGGATGCTGTGGATGATGTTAATTTTAGAATTGCTGCTGACGACCAGTACTCTTAATTGCTTAGTATTTTACTTTAAACTGATTAATATATCTTTTTAAAACTTTGCTTTAAACTAATATTTGTGACATGAGTTTAATATGCTGGGGTTTAATTTTTGCCCTTGGAGCACCCACCTAAAATTATCCTCTCCCCCTGGCTTGGGCAACATTGTCACAAAAGGCCACTGTGTATCATCAAGCATCAAAAGAGATGCCTTCATTCCAGTCCTCAGTGAAAAAACAATGTACATGTAGCATCAAAAGAAGAAAGGCTCCTGGTTTGAATTACTGGTAACAACTAAAGTCTGGCCCACCCATTGCTTCCAACTTAGGGAGTTCTTGAGCCTGCATGGACAGGGTCATGTGGGGAAACTTGCTCTGAATCCCTCTCTAAGGTGCTCTGTTGCGCTCAGCCAGGCCTTGGTGCCATTATTGCACTGAAGCAAGGAAGGAGGATGTTGAGTTCCAGAGCCACCTTCCATAGCTCCGAACAGGGAGAGACTCTCAGAACCGGCCCTCCTGTGGTCTTGGAGGCTGGCTGCCTGGGCCATCCTGTGATGGGGCAGCCTCTCCAAGGCAAGTGGAGGTGTGCCCCAAATCCAAAGTGAGGTAGAAGACCCAACACAAGTGTAGGAATTAAAATACATAGGATTTGAGGAGATAAAAGTAATCAAGATGTAAATAGCTTTCTGGCGTAGCTCCCCCTTCAGCCAGGCAATACCATACCCTTGGTTGTTTCAACATTAGCAAAGAGCTGAGCAAATAAAAGGGAAGGAAAGAGGGTGGGAAAAGAGCAAAAGAAAGCAGAGTGGACAGAAGATGGTCAGGTGTCCTGTCCTCCCCACCCCCCCGCCAACCCCTCATCCCTTCCCTCAAAGAAGGCTTGGCCTTCTGCTCCACCTCTCTTTGCCTCAAACAAACCAAGTATATTCGAAAGGAACAGATTCAGGCAGAGCAGTGTTAGACTTCCTTGCCCTCAGTTTGGACATGAAGCTTCCTTGTTCTCAGTTTGGACATGACAGTTTTATTTTTATAAGAACTATCTTGATATAAATGAGCTTTCTTCTGTATTTTTGCTATTTGTGAAACAGCGACACTCGAATTCATTTCAATGGAAATGTAGCGATTTCTCATCTTACTCAAACAGCCAAATAGTTTTCTAAACAAATTTAGCAAGAGAATTAATCATGGCCACGGCCCAGTTCCCATGACATGGTATGGGTACTTTTCTATGTTCTATAAATTTAAAAGTATTAGCAAAAATTAAGAAATTGCTGCTTACTAGTGTTTAGGAATCTGAGGGTATTTATAAAGATCACACTTAGTGTGCCACCTGTAAAGACTTCTGTTGCTCCTCCTGTAGACATCTATAAGATTTACAAAATGAATCTGACAATTTCCAAGTTGTTTAATGGAAATCTTTGCAAGATTGGCATACATTTGCATCTTCTAATAACTATTAACTGTTAGCCATCAAGAAAGAAGTTTTAAAATGAACTAAGATGGATACTAAGCTCAGAAAAAAATGATATGGCTTTGTAATAAAGTGACATTATTAATTCTTTTACATCTTTGTAGTAGCTTGAGCTAATTAGGACACTTGACTTACAGTAAAAACAATTAACCCCACTTTAGGTTAAGCGTGAATGATTGGAGATGGGTCACATTCACATCAAGAATTGGTTAGTGTCAGATCTGATTCTCAGGGCTCCCTCCCTTCTCCCCAAGGGTTAGTCAAAGAAAATGTCACTCACATGATGAGGAGGGCCATCCCTCAGTGAAAGGGAATTGTAGAGTTTTATTTGCACCGGTGACTTGTGCATCTTTTGTGAGTTATTGCATTTTTGCTGACTGGGTGTTCAAACAAGTTTCTGTAGCAACAACAACACAAGATGATATAAACCAACAACCTAATTCACCCAGGATCCTTCATCTGCAATTCTCAAAGCCAAAAGGTTCAGAATACCAGAAGATTTTCTAAATAACTAATTCGGCAGCAAAACTTGACCTGATATGAGGCTACTGGGTGTCTTTATATATTTTGTTATAGAAATATTTAATTTCAAGATGCTGCCTCAGTTTCTGCTGGATATATTACAAGTCCAAAATCCACATTTTTCTGAATTCCAAAATGCATCTGGCACCAAAGGATTTCAGCTGTATGGGGTGGTTGTCCTCCAATATACATCTTAGTGAATATAAAATTCTGGAATTTTCAGGCTGGGAGACACCCTGGATGTAAGGCGGCGGTGGCGGGGCATGGGGAGAACTCCCTCACTTCATGGATGGTACAATGAGGCCCAGGGTCATTAGCATCAAGCTAATTGTAAACTGAAGTCACTCACTCATACCTCACACCAAACTTCACAACAGTGCATGCTGAGTCTGATCACTTTTAAAACACATTTATGATCTGGGTAAAATAATGAAGCTTGAGTAACTTATAGTGGTGGCAAGAAAAGCCAAAATTCTTAAAGTCCATCAACCAAAATGAATTACTTCTAGGATAATAAAACACTTTGGGTTAATGGTTATAAATGATTCTGTCTAAAGGAATACAGTAATTATTCACACAGTATAAGATGTATTATTTACTTATTTGTCCACTCAGTAAACATTTATTAAACATCCAAGTGCCAGATACGTGCCTAGGAACTGAATAGGAAGTCCTGAAAAGTATACTTCAGTCAAGATTATATTTTAGGTGTGAGTGGAGGTCGGGGGAGTTCTGTGGGTTTTAACTACCAACACATATTTATTGAGTTGTTGCTGTGTCTAATGGACTATAAACTCCGCATCCAGAAAGAACCTGCATTAGGTGAATCACTGAGCAAGAATTAGAGGCCAAAGTTCCAGGACATGAGATGCCCTGCTTAGACTTGTCACTATCTCCACTGAACCTTCTCTGGTCAGGCCACCACCATCTTTTACATAGAATATTGCAGTTGCTTTGTAAGTTGCATTCCTGCTTCGACCACCATCCTCTGCACAGCAGCTAGAGGGATTATTTGAACTTTATGTGAGCCAGATCACATAATTGCTTTCCTCAAAACCCTGCAATGATTCATCTTACCCACAGTCAAAGTCCTTATGGCAGCCACCACCCTCCGCATTGCGCTGCTTCGCCCTGGCTGCTCCTTCCCCTCGCTGCTTCTCCCTCTGCCTGTGACACTCTTGCCTAGAATCTGCATGACTACTTCCCTCCTCTCCTTCAAACCTTTGCTCAAATAAAGCCTATGCTGATGATCTCTTCTAGAATTGCAACTCATTCTGCCTCTACCACTCCAAGTATTCCAAATCCCCTTCTCCCGGGTTTACCTTTCACCTTGTAACATACAGTATAATTTCTGTGTTATGTTCTTGGCTATTGTCTGTTTCCACAAAGGTAGGGATCTTTGTTCACTGATGCCTCCCACCCACTTAGGACGTGCCTAGTGTGTGCTGGAGTCCTGGAAGTAGCTGTCAGGTGAATGAAAAGTGTCATAGGACTGGAGGGTGGAGCCTTGTGGAGGAGCGCAAGTGATGAGGATGCAGAAGGAGGAACAGATAACTTGGTTTCTTTGTGTCAACCTGTGACATGCAAGCTTGCACTCCAAGGGCCAACTACAGGAGGTCTTAGAGGTTTAGGCAGGCATGTGGCATAATCGGATCTCCACTTAGTTCTCCTGCCCCAGAGCAGAGAGCAGACTGGGGTAGGATAGGATCAGAGGTAGGAGCCCAGGTGGTTGTTCCAGAGTGTTCATGCTTATTACTGTTTTTACTCCTCTGAGTACTGCGATGGTCAGATAGTCTAGCAGCTCTCAACCAGGAGTGATTTTTTGGACATTTGGCAGTGTCTGGAGACATTTTTGATTGTCGCAACTGCAGAGTTGCGACTGGCATCTATGGATAGAGGCCAGGGAAGCTGCTAAAAGTATTACAGTGGACAGGAGAGCCACCACAACAAAGAATTACCCAGCCCCAAATGTTGATAGTGTTGTTGTTAAGATCCCTTGCAGAGAACGTCCAAAAGACCAACTCTCAAACCTGAGAACACCCTTGTTTACGATAGAAGCAAAATAAGCACATCCTATTCTCCAGTCCCGCGGGCGGCTCCATTACTTACCTCTTGACTCCTTGCCTCTGTCACCGCTCTCCCTGTGTGCCCACCATTTTTCTCTGGGCTTGCCCTTCAGCCTCACTGTTCTGCTGAGAAGGTAGAAGAACACTGCAGAGGCCCGAGCCTCAGGAGCTGGAGACAGATTTGCAGCCAGGAGATGTGGTGTCACTGTGTGCGCAAGTTCCGTGTGTGACATGGTGTCAGAGGGCTGCTGGCCTGGCTTGTAGTAATTCCTCTGTAAATAACTCTCCTTAGCCAGCCTTATGTAAAAGCTAGCCTGGGTGGGTTTCCTCCCTGGGTGGGAGGCCATGGGCTTGGCTATGTGTTCTCATCTTCTGATATCTCACTAGGCTTTGTGTATCTTTCACAGTTCCCGTGGCTGTAGAATTTTGGATCCTGCGGAGTGGGTTTTGAAATGAGCAGAGATTTTGTAAAAAGAAATCTTTCCTATGAATTCTGCTGGAGATTCTCAGGCAGGGAGCCTTTGTGAACAGGAGCAGCAGGTCATAGGCAGTCCACGCTTAGGATGACCTGCAGCCCCAGCCCTGCGACTCTCCCAGCTCAGGGTCAGTGCTGAATGCCCACTCTGTGGTGGCCTTTGTGGTACACACTCTACACACAGGATCCCATTTAATCCTCAAACTCCCCTGGGGGTCCCCTGGCAGGGAGGCTTCTCAGGCTGAGGTCTGGGCAGTCACACAGGGCCTGGTACTCAGGAGGGCCCTGCGGTTGGTTGCATGCTTTGCTGTCACTTGCTTGGAATTCCTAATCGTTTTTTAGCAAGGGGCCCCACACTTCTGTTTTGCACTGGGCTCCAAAATCATTGGTGTTTATGAATCCCTGGGGAGATGCATGTCTTTCCTCCTTCATTTCTTTCACATTTCCAAACTCTGTCTTCAGCATTACCCTTAGAACATCAGAAGTCCCTGCAAGGCCCAGAGCTCCTGTGCCCAGGATCCAGGCTCCCTAGGTGGCCTCAGCCACCCCTTCCTGAGGGGCTGCAAGGGCGGGGGGTTTTGAAGATCTCTGCTGTCTTTTCCACACCCTCTACCAATACTCCCTCTTAAGTTTGGGTGAAATTACTCTTCCTCTCTCTCTTGTTCTTATTACCTTTTAACCTCTTGCACTCAAGGCATTCCCTG
Source organism: Homo sapiens (assembly GCF_000001405.40). NCBI lineage: Eukaryota > Metazoa > Chordata > Mammalia > Primates > Hominidae > Homo > Homo sapiens. The sequence goes on from NC_000002.12 coordinate 54,837,140, forward strand.
GTTTTGCATCCTTAATAAGGTTAGGTTTACAGGAGACAGCCACAACCTTGTCTTGTTTCACCTTCAGTACCATGTCCTGGGCATACATTCACAGATACAGGAAATAACTTTGTGGGGAAGGGTATTAACTCCACACTTGAACTGCCTGAATCCTCATTTTTTTTCCCCCTATTGCTAGCTTGCTCTGTGACTTGAGGCAAGTAATACAAACTTTCTATGCTGTTATTTCCTCATCGGTTCAGCACGTATTTACTAGCCCCGTTGAGGGCCTGGCGCTGTCCATGGGGTTAATGATAATGCCACCTCCTAAGCACTCACGGGCACTCACGGGCACACGGCTTGGTTAAGTTGGTGAGAATCCTTACTGCCCACCTGCAGGGCTTGCTTGTTTATCTCAAAGTCGACTTCTCACAGGTGCTACTGTCTTTTTTGTCATTTGCTCATCATCTTTGGGCTTTCCGATCCAGTGGGGTAGAGTTTGCCAGCATGTGACTGAAGAACCACTGCATTAGAATCAGCTGGTGACCTGCTGGGCACTCTGAATTTTCAACAATCTGACATGCAAGAACACACTAGGTGGAGAATGGCTTGAGCAGGCAGTGGTTCTCAGCCCTGGGGAGCTAAAAGTAATGAAGTCTTGCTCTGGTCCAGACCAACTGGGAGGAATATCTGGGAGGGGCGCAAGCATCTGTGTCTTTTAAATGCTCTCTCTGTAGATTCTGGTGTACATTGAGGGTTGGGAACAACCATGCCTGGCCCTTTACCATATCAGGCCTTGGAACATGGGTTTTAAGAACACTATTAAATACGAGCCTCTGCCTGCTTTCAGTTTTCCCCTCTTGGACCAAATAATTGGGAGAAAAGGCCATTTTCTTCCCCAAATGGTTTGTTCTCTTTGTGTGCTGGAACATAGCCTTTTCCTCTGTGAGTTTGCAGTGCCAGCAGATCAAAATTATAATAGCAAATGACAAAAGCTAAGTTGTAAGATAAGGCAGAGTAACTAAGACTCTAGGAAAGGCCCATAGGGCACTTCATAGTTCCTGGCACTGCCACCTTACAGGGCTCGGATGTGACCACACATACAGCAAGTTGTTCTGTGCTGAGATGTGAACTTAATAGAAAGATCCTGACCTAGCACAAAACCCGCGGGTTAAAATAATAGCATAATGTATTGATTCATTCCTCAGTGCCAGACACTGGGTCATGTGTTGTTGTGTTGAATTCTCACAATGCTATGAAGTGTGAGTGCTAATAATCTCCACTTTACAGATGGAGGAACTAACGATATGAATGACTAAATACCTTACCATGTCACACAGCTGGCAACGGCTGGTATATAAATCCAGTTCATATATTTAACTGTTCAAAATAAACTAGTGGTAGAAAATAAGCAATGTCCCTTAGTAATGAGGTCTGATTTGATATTCACAGACTAGATCTCCCCATGGCCAGGCTTCAGGACTGTAGCAGAGGGAATTGGAAGGTTGCTGTTTCTCTTCTCTGGTCTGAGTATAAAATCAGGGCCACGGACTGGTGAGGATTTGGTCTTGGCATAAGAGGATTTTTTTGGTTTAGATGGGTGATTTGCTCTCTACCGCCATCTGCTGGCTCTCTGTACCAAGCATAGGCCCAAGCTCCACGTTTCTCATCACAAGTGGCACAGGGTATGGTGTCCAAATGTGGACACCTCATCTGTGTGGTGAAACGCCTTCAGTTCACAGTGTCAAAAGTAACAATGATGTGTATTTCTCCAGGAAAGAGAACTTCTGTGGTTTTAAATAATGAGGATGGTTTCTCCTGTTTCTCTTAACTACTGATGGATTTGTAACCATATTCCAAATACTAGCTTATATTTCTCTGACTCCCAGAGCAGAATAGAAAGCAGTATAAGACAGCTTCGTTGCCTTCTAATGCTGCAGCTGCCTTGGTCAGCCCAGCTGGGACATCATGATTACATTTCTGTTCTCTGGGTTTGTGTCAGAAGTAGAAACTAAGCCTGGATAGACAGGAGAAGGGAATTAATGTCAGAACTTTGTCAGGGATCTGCCATTCACCAAGGTCTCACCAGAAGGTTCCCAGAAGAGACTGTGTGGTTCTCTTTACCACTCTTGCATGCAGAAGAACAATTAGGTTAAAAAAGGATGGCAATGGGATGTTATTAGGAAACATGAATACAGCTTTTGACACACTGATGTCTTCCTTTTTAAAATGGTTATCTAAGGAATGAGAGTGACCTGGTATTGTATCTATTGCCTGGTGGACAGACGCCATGAGATTGACTTGTCTGATGTGACAAAAGACAATTGATGTGTTGAAAGAACTGAGTACTTAGGGAGAGACGCAGTTGCTCTCTGAGAGAAAATGTTCACAGCTCATTAAGTTGATATTGCAAGCAATGAAAATGTAGCAACTCCTTCTCTTGTTCTCTTCCCTTCCACCCATGTGTAGCCAGAAATAATCCTTGCTAAGCTCCGCCTTTACGTTGGTTAGTTCAGTGGAACCCTTTTTCAAATGAAATCGGAGATGGTGAGGTGTCAAGGGAAATGCAGCAGTGGGATCCTCAAACTCCCGCCTCTTGCTGTCCTATTTCCTGGCCCTCTCCTTGCCAGGAACCTGGCACTCTTCTGAGGAATGCAAGAGCTCCCTGGATATGGTCTGAAAAACACTGAGTGCCATGTGACTTGACTGGTTCATTAGTCTGGGCTGAGTTGGAAGGTTTTGGTCTTTGTTCCTGAGCCTCTTAAAATTTTTTAAAAGAGAGGATATATAGATATATATTTAATGTCGATATTTAATTCCAGGTTGTGGGTTATTATAATCTTTTTTCCTTGCTGAATTTATTCCCCCAAATAAGGTTAAAAATAGCAGGACAATAAATACAGTAAAAAAGTAGATTATTTAGTTTTTGCTGATGTTGGAAAATCATTAACTCTTTGCTTCCTGATAATGCTGAAGAGTACAGCATTAAATCCTTTCTGTAATAAAGCATAAATAGATACTTGACCAAATACAGCTCCAGGCCCTTGGGACAAATTCAAGTCATTTGGCCTTGAGAGGCCAGACATGCTGTTGGAGGCCTTGGGAGAACTGGTGTGTTCATGCTTACAGTGAAGCCATGGATTCCAGACCTGCCTGGAAAAGGGCCGTGTCTTTAAAACAATCAATGGCATTATAAAAGGACTATGATCTGAATATTCAATAACAGTTAAAATATATAACGTATCACTAAGATGTAATGTATATGTCTATATCTGTATACAATGTATGTGTATATAGGTACACATATACATTTGCATCACTTTAGTTTTTGATGCATGGATATCTGCTTACATATGTCTGGCCCCTTTTTCAAATGTAATCTTCATTACGGTAGGGGCCTATCTTGTTCACTGTTAAGCTCCACTGTCAGGCACAGAGTAGTGCTGAATAAAAATTTCTGAAATAAAGGAATGAATATATCCCATCTTTGAATGTTCTTACTGAGTAACAAGGGTGGTATCTTTTATTTCTTGGCATCTCCAAGGACTCAAATATTTGATTTTGATGTTTTATTTCATTTGCTCAGTAATCTTTATTGAGCATCTACCACGTGACAGTCACTGTGCCAGGTATTGAGGATATAGCAGTAAATAAAACTGATAAAACTCTCTTCACAGACCTTTCTATTCTACTGAGAGGAAGCAGACAATAAATACAGTAAAAGTAGATTATTTGTTTTTTGCTGATGTTGAAATATCACTGACTCTTCTTCCTTCCTGATGATGCTGAAGAGCAAAGCATTAAACCCTTTGTGTAATAAAAGTAGATGATGCAAAGCCTGCTAGGGAGACAACTAATTCAGCCCCTCCTCCCAAGCCCCTGCAGGAGCTGAGAAAAACACCAGGGAGAAAACGGGAATATGTTGACTCCTGAGTGGTAATGAAACCCCGAAAAGGGTAGGCAAAGAGATCAGGACAAGGAGGGGGGGCTGTGGCAACAGGATCATGGGCGCAAGGCCGTGTGGTTCTCTGCAGCTGAGCTGCATGCCCTGTCAGCTTGCAATGACATCCTGACTGCTTTCACCATACATCTGTCCTTCCCATCCTTGAAAGCCCATCCTGATGTTTGCAGTGGAGGATTTTGATTAATTGACCCTGAACTACTGTTGCCAGGGTGTCTCTACTCCTCCTGGCGGGAATAATACATCGGCCTGTGTGCTTTTTCCCACCATTTCAAGACCTGTAGCAATGAATTCAGAGGAAGGAGTAAAGACAGTTATCTCATGTATTTGTTTAAAGCCTTATGCCTTGAAAAACTACTTTCTCTTAATAAATGCATTTATCTCATTGGATCCTCTCGGGACCACAGTGAAGTGATTAAGATCAAGATTATAGTTAGGATGTCCGCGTACCCCAAATTACCCCTTCTGTTGTCCCAGCATCCCAGCTGGTTTAGTATTTGTCTTGGCTTTTTTTTTTTTTTTTTTCTTTTGAGACAATCTTGCTCTGTCGCCCAGGCTGGAGTACAATGGCACAATCTCAGCTCACTGCAAGTCCCTCCGCCTCCCAGGCTCATGCCATTCTCGTGCCTCAGCCACCCGGGTAGCTGGGAATACAGGTGCGTGCTACCATGTCCAGCTAATTTTTCTATTTTTAGTAGAGACGGGATTTCACCATGTTGGCCAAGCTGGTCTCAAGCTCCTGGCCTCAAGCGATCTGCCTGCCTCAGCCTCCCAAAGTGTTGGGATTACAGGCATGAGCCACCGTGCCTTGCCATTTTTTTTTTAATAGACTTTATTTTTTAGGACAGTTTAGGTTCAGAACAAAATTGAGAATGTAGAGAGACTTACCATATACCCCTTCCCACCCACAACACACATACATAGCTTCCCTCACTATCAATGTGCCCCACCAGAGTGGTACATTTGTTCCAGTGGGTGAAGCTACCTTGACGTGTCATTATCACCCAGATGCCGTAGTTCATGTTAGAGTTCACTCTTGGTGGCGTATATTCTGTGGGTTTTGACAAATGTGTAATGACATGTCTCCACCATTATAGTATCCTACAGGATAGTTTCACTGCCCTAAAAATCCTCCATACTCTGCCTGTTCATCACTCTGCCTATTTATCTCTCTGCCCCAGATTTTTAATTTTGCAGTAAACAGTTTTTAGAATGTTATAATTGAAAATACTTTGATAGAACTATTTAGTAGGTCTTTCAACATAAGAAAGCTGCTTCCTTAGTCAAATACTTCAAAGTATTATGTAAATTTAGTTTTAGAGCCTCTTAAAGGCGTTCTAATTGGAATGACAGATTACTTGGTCACCATAATTACAGTCTATATCTTAAGGGGAGAAAAATTGGTCCCCAGCAAGGAAAGAATACTCCTATGTCTAGCCAGCTGGACCTAGAGCAGGAGTAGAGGCCAAGTCCTCGAACGTCTGATACTTTCTATCCCAGAGACACAGTGCCTGCTGGGGAGGCAAATTGGAGCCCATCACATCCTGGCCTTGTTTTAAAGTATTTAGGAAATTGATATTGCTTCTGTATTTCTAATTCGGATTCAAAAACTCACTGCCTAAACAAATAACAAACCCAGTAAGGAACAGAACAGACTGCAAAAAATCCAAGATACTGAGACTCAGGCAAGTGAGGACCTGCCTAGGGAGGATGAAATAGTACTACTGAGAGGGACGTGTGGACTTTAAAGGAGTACTATGCTTTTGGAGAAGAGGCTTGTGGAGAAGATTCCATAAATTAAGTCGGTGAAGAATAGTATTTTCACTGATAAATGTTTGATGGTATTTTGAGATTGAAATTGGAGTTTCATTTGCATATTTCTGAGACATGGTGCATCTGTTTATTCCGTAGGATATATCTAGATTCTGATCAAATATGTATTAAACTTGTTTAATATGATCATCAGCTGTTCTGTAGTGTCACCCACGTATAATTTTAACACAATGTTATTCCTAAAGGTTGAACTGATTCTTCTCTGATAGCAAATCTGAAGGAAATTATTCTGAAGGTTAGGTTTTCATGAAGACCAATTTATCATCTTATATTTACTTGATGATATAGTATTTAAAATACATTCTACTGTTTAAGACCAGCCTGGGCACCACATAGCAAGACCTTGTCTCTAGAAAGAAAAAAAACTAGTCTAGGCATGGTGTTGCACACCTGTAGTCCCAGTTACTTGGGAGGGTGAAGCAGGAGGATTACTTTGAGCCCCGGAAGTCGAGGCTTCAGTGAGCTACAGTGCTACCACACTCCAGCCTGGGCAACAGAGTGAGACCTTGTCTCTAAAAAATAAAAACAAACAATCCTGCTGTAGAAACACATAGTTATCCTAAGTCAAGGAAAAGCAGCCACTCTTTTGCAAACTAGATTACAAGGGGTGGAGGAAACATCCAGCGCTTGTAAGAAAATAACACAGAATGGGCTGGGCGTGGTGGCTCATGCCTGTAAACCCAGCACTTTGGGAGTCCGAGGCGGGCGGATCACGAGGTCAGGAGATCGAGACCATCCTGGCTAACACGGTGAAACCCCGTCTCCACTAAAAATACAAAAATTAGCCGGGTGTGGTGGTGGGCATCTGTAGTCCCAGCTACTTGGGAGGCTGAGGCAGGAGAATGGCGTGAACCCGGGAGGCGGAGGCTGCAGTGAGCTGAGATCGGGCCACTGCACTCTATAGTCTGGGTGACAGAGCAAGACTCCATCTCAAAAAAAAAAAAAAAAAAAGCACAAAGAATGGTGGCAGAGTTGATTCTCTGCCTCCAAGAGTCTTTAAGATGTGTCACATTTGATGGTATCCTGGTTAAAGGGCATTTACTTTAGGGTTTTGTGTGTGTGTGTGTGTGTGTGTGTGTGTGTGTGTGTGTGAATAGTGTGAAGATTTGCTTTTGTTTTACTTATTTTTGTCAGGCCTCTCTATCCGGAGCGTGTGCTGGAAAGCAGACCGCCTTCTAGCAGGGACCCAGGACAGTGAGATATTTGAAGTGATTGTGCGAGAGCGAGACAAGCCGATGTTGATCCTACAGGGCCACTGCGAGGGTGAGCTCTGGGCTCTGGCCCTGCACCCCAAGAAGCCTCTGGCTGTGACAGGCAGCGATGACCGCTCTGTCAGGTGAGGCCCTACCGCCGTCACCTCTCTGACTTCTTTGAGATGGATTTATTTGCCCAAATTTGCTTATTAATAGAAGGATAAAGTGCAGAACAGAACCACACAGTTTCCAAATGAAACGTTAAGACATTTAGCTCATCAAGTGGGTTTTTGGCATTTTGCTCCTGCTGTTGTCTTTCTTGGCTGCATCTTAAATCATGGAAATGTTTTTTAGAAGTGAAAAATGCTTCAATACTGGTGATGCTGGCTTCCAGATCTTTCTAATTGGAGATTTATGAGCTAAGCACACTCATCTATGATGAAACCATATTGTCCCCTCGTGCCCTTGGTCTTCTGCAGGGGGCTGCATGGAGATTTTACAATTTTGTTAAAGGCTCTCTCATTCATCATCATTAGAACTTAAATTCTGATTCTCAAAATTGTCTTTAGCACATGAATAAGCTATTATTTCTTTTTAAAGTCTCAGATGAAATTTTGAACAGCATCATCAGATGAAAGAATCATGGGGCCTGAGAAAGTAGTTTACTCGGAGCCTCCAGCTTTCTTGCTGTGGATCATTTTTATTCTTTTGAGAGCCCAACTGGGTAAAATGAGCACAATGACTTATGATTCCAGTATTTTTGTACCTATTAAAGGAATGAACATATGACTTAAAGGTTTGGGATGAAGAATGTTACCCCAATTTCAGTATTTTATTACTTAGTGCTGAGCTTTAGATATGCTCAATGACAAACAGGCCAGAAAGAGGGAGAGTGTGAGAGGAACAGACTGATCAATCGATTGAATGGCTACTGCCTCTGGGTTTTGATAGCTAATATAGAACAATGCAAACTGGACTAAAGCTCACTAGTTCCCACCTCCCTTATTTTGTGTGTTTATGAGTCGCATCAAAATACAATTAGTGTAGTCATTAATTCTGTTTTTTCCATCTCTACCAAGCACGAAAACCTCATTGATCTAAAAATCAGTGAGAAAAACTAAAACAACTGTTGTTCTCTCCTTGTGTGACATAAATGGTTATTTGGTTTATACTTCACTTTACTCACTTCTCCTTTTTTGTTTTTGTCTTTCTGTTACTCTTGAATTTTCCCGCTTATTCAGACACGTGTGAAACTCATACCCATCCAGAAAGAAGTGATTTCAAGGAAGTCCTTCGCTTTTATGTTTCAACAATTGTTAAGTCTCAGAATTGCAAACATCCTTGAGGAGCCCTGACTGCCAGAATCTTATTCCCTTTAACCATTAATTTGACTAGAATCTTTAATACATTTTTACACTAAGTATTAAAATTTAGGAAGGCTAAAAGTCATAATTTCTTGAGAAAGATGAGCATAGTGACTTCAGAGGGATAGTACCATTTACTGAGGAGTGATGGTTTCTTTACTAGTAAAGCAAGGGTTACATTGCTTAAAATAGTACAAGGTTGAAACAGCATGAGATCATGCATGATGGATGAGGTATTGAGAACATACTCAGCTTGAGGCTGCACAGTACAGGCTGCCTAAGGGACCGGTAAGCTATTTACTGTGCAGCTCAGCATGGAAGGGATGTGCCCCATCCCTTCTGATGGCAGAATGCTTTGAGAGAAACCGTGCTGCATGTGACTTATTCTTGTCTGTCTGTTGCAGAGCTCTAGGTTCTCAGTCTCCCAGACACTAGTTTGTGTTATCAGAAGACTATATTTTAAAAAGTACTAATTGATGGAAGTCAGATACCACAATTGCACCCAACATGTAAAGCCTTATTTCTATCTTCAGATGTTTCATTCAGGCTCACTCAGTTTGGGGTGCCTGGATTTAGGTGTTGTGGGGATGGGAATGTTTGCTGAAAGCTTTGTTTGAGCTGCAATTGCCCCTCGTTTGCCACTTCTCCAGCAGTGACTGTGCTTACTGGCCAGGAGTCCTGTGAGGTGTCCACCCCCACAAAAGTGGACCCATCACTTGGGCGCCCAGGGAAGCTTGTGAGGAGCAACAGAGGGGGATATCATTTGCTCTTCTTCATCTTGGACACATTTTCTTCCTAGGAAGGCCAACAAATGTAACATATATTTCAATCTGTGTGTGCTGAAATAACTATTACTGGAAGCACTTTTATATATTTACATACATATATAATTATATTGATTATGTATACTGATATGTAGATATATAGATATATATTTATATTGATCTATATATTGAGAGATATATATTTGTGTTGATATATATTTATATTGAGAAAGAGATATATTGATACATAATTTTTTTTTTTTTTTTTGAGACAGGGCCTTGCTCTGTTTCCCAGGCTGGAGTGTAGTAGTATGAACATAGCTAACTGCAACCTTGAACTCCTAGGCTCAAGCTATCCTCCTACCTCAGCCTCCCAAGTAGCTGGGATTACAGGCATGCCCCACCACACCCAGCTATTTTTAAAATCTTTTTTAGAGATGGAGTCTCACCATGTTGCTCAGGCTGGTCTTGAACTCCTGGGCTCAAGCAATCTTCCTGCCTTGGCCTCCCAAAGTGCTGGGATTATAGGCATGAGCCACTGTGTCTGGCGCATACTTTTTAAAAAGCTAATAATAATGGCATCTTATCCTGTAAGTACTTTTTAACATGTATGTGTGATGAACAACCCTTGGTATACATAAAGGACCACTTAATTTCCAAAGTGAAAGTAATATTTTGTATGAAGTAGTATTTTTTTTTTTTTGGAGACAGGGCCTTGCACTGACACCCAGGCTGGAGTGCGGTGGCAGGATCAGCCTTGAACTCCTGGGCTTAAGTGATCCTCCTGCCTGTGCCCCCCAAGTAGCTGGGGCTACAGGCACACACTACCACATCCAGCTAATTTTTGTATTTTTTGTAGAGTCTGTGTCTCATTATATTGCCCAGGCTATTCTCGAACTCCTGGGCTCAAGTGTTCCTCCTGCCATGGCCTCCCAAAGTGCTGGGATGACAGGCGTTGAGCCATCATGCCCAGCCTTAAATTTTTTTTTTGTTCTGTGAATCTCAAAATCTTTGGAAATGTTACCTCATTTGATAATTCTTGCTGGTTTCCTTCAAATCATGAAAATGACCCAAAGATGCACTAAAACACCTTTCCACACTCGCTGACAGGCCATGATAAAGGGCTCTGGTGTGAAGTTCCTATGTCTTTTCTTGTTACTGTTGGTGTGGTGAGCAGCCCTTCTTGCCTTGGGCTGGCCGATGACCATGGGAAGTTGGTTTTGTTTTGTTTTGACTTCGTTCTTGTGCCTAGGCTGTGGAGCCTGGCTGATCATGCCTTGATCGCCCGCTGTAACATGGAAGAGGCGGTTCGCAGTGTAGCTTTCAGCCCCGACGGATCTCAGCTGGCCCTGGGCATGAAGGACGGCTCTTTCATTGTTCTCCGAGTCAGGCACGTACTGATGTTGAAAATGGTATTTAGAAATGCTCTCGTGTTAAATGTTACAATTTTCCTGGTCATAATACATGCTAGGACCTTAGGAAAAATCCATTTAGCCATTCAAATAGGAATACTATAGATCTACGATCCCCTATCTGTAATTCTGAAGTCCTAACACTCTGAAAATACAAAATTATTTGATAATTTGGCAGCACAGTCTAACCCAACAGACTGATGTGAGGCTGTTTATAATCTAGTAATCTCTTAGTAGAAATAATCATGTGTCATGTGACTTGCTGCAAAATTATTGTGTTTAATACAGATTGCTGCCCCAGCCCCCACTGGGGATGTTACATGATACATTGTGTATGAACCTTTCTAAAATCTAATGAATAATGAATTCCCAAGCACATCTAATTCCAAGGGTTTTGGATAAAAGATTGTGGGCTTTGTAGTAAGCCAAGAAAAGAGGAAGAAAGAATAAAGCAGCACCCAACAGCACCAGATGTTTAGAGGTGAGCTTTAGTAAAAGATTTCTTCTACCCATAATTGATACTAAAATGGAATATTTCCTATTTACTGACATCCTATATACTTTTTACTGAAAAAAATTATGACCCACTCTTGTAATTCCTCTGAATGCATTTGTCGTTCTCTCGACTCACATGTTTTGTAATTATAGAAAATAAATGCAGCTATAAAGTAAATATTTCCCGCTTTGCACAGAGAATTCTCCATAGCTTTGATTGGAGAATGGTCTTAGCACAGTTTATTACACTACATTCTCACTACCAACCACACATAACTCATTACTGAACTAGTGGGCAACATTTTCTTTCTCTGCTTAGTGACGTGTGAAAAGATGGCTGAGTACCAGATTTCTTTTTCGATGGACTTCTCAAGCTTCCACACTACACACACACACACACACACACACACATAAATTTCCAGACACCTATTTTATGACATTCTAGTACACCATAATGCTATTAATAAATGATAGCAGGTATGAGCGACTGTTATGTAGAACGATTATTTGCTATTCTTTATGTATTCAGTTTATTTGGAGTTGATGAAGCCATCTTTACTGGCTCAGGGGACCTGCTAGTTGTCATAATCCTGTCTCACAATTGTAGGGAAAAAACAACCCCAGTGAGCTTTCCAGTGTGAGCAGAAATTCTTAAAAGAATCTGGTCAGAAACAAAACAAAATATTCCAGTGACTCACTGTATTCATGACAGTGAAATGTTGAATGATTACATCACAATTTAACATTTAAAAAGGTAATTTTCTTCAGCTGCTTTTTTGACTTGCTCTTTTTGCGACAATAGGTATCAAGCTTAACAGTCACTCGTTTCTTAAAGTATAAAAAAGATGATTTATTTATGTTAATCTTGATACAGTCTCCCTTTCTCCATGGCGTATTTTTAAAACAATTTGACAAACCCCAACTTTTGAAACAAAAATTTTAGGGAAAAATAATATATAGTTAAACATGAAAGCAAATGTGCATTTCTTTTTAAAATTTTAAAAATCGATACATAATAGATACACATATTTTCAGGGTACATGTAATTGAATACATTCATATAATTCGTGAAGATCAAATCAGTGTAATTGGGCTATCCATCACCTTAAATATTTTTTCTTTATGCTAGAGACATTTGAATTATTTTCTCCCATTTGGAAATATCTGATAGATTATTATAACCTATAGTTACTCCACTGATCTATCAAACGCTGGATCTTATTTCTTCTATCACACTGCAGTTTGTGCCCATTAATCTACTTCTCTTCATCACAAATATGCACTTAATTAAATTTTTTGTTTTTACTTTGGAAGCCCAAAATATCATTTAAACAGTTTGTTATTCTCCTAAAATGCCATAAATTTTAAGACGGAGTCTTGCTCTGTCGCCCAAGCTGGAGTGCAGTGGTGCCATCTTGACTCACTGCAAACTCTACCTCCCAGGTTCACGCCATTCTCCTGCCTCAGCCTCCCGATTAGCTGGGACTACAGGCGCCTGCCACCACGGCCGGCTAATTTTTTGTATTTTTCATAGAGATAGGGTTTCACCTTGTTATCCAGGATGGTCTCAATCTCCTGACCTCGTGATCCGTCTGCCTCGGCCTCCCAAAGTGCTGGGATTACAGGCGTAAGCCACCGCGCCCGGCCAATGCCATAAATTTTAAATAATAACATTTTATATATTTACTCAAAAGTTAATCCTTTAATTCCTGCAGGTTTGGTTCTCTTTCAACACACTTCTTTTTCTGACACATATATTTTAAAACTTGGATTTTCTATTTGTAGAATTGCTGCTTATCGTTTTGCTTTTTATTCTTACAGAGATATGACAGAAGTAGTTCACATCAAAGATCGAAAAGAAGTCATTCATGAAATGAAATTTTCTCCAGATGGTTCTTACCTTGCAGTGGGATCCAATGATGGCCCAGTAGATGTCTATGCTGTTGCCCAGAGGTATAAGAAAATTGGAGAATGCAGCAAGTCCCTTAGTTTCATCACGCATATTGACTGGTCCTTGGATAGTAAATACTTACAAACTAATGACGGTGCAGGAGAACGATTGTTCTACAGAATGCCATGTAAGTCATGTGGAGGCCTTGGATGTTTCTGGAAAGCAAAATTTTGAACCAGGTGAAGGAAATACAGGACAAGTGTCATGGCTCTTTTAGAATTTGTACAGCAGGTTTTCTGGTTTTTGCCGGAAAGCACCCCCACCTCAGGGCAAGGAATGTTTTCTGTCGCAAGATCCTAAATAACAGACATTCAAAGGAAAGGTATGAGTTGGAACATGTTAAACTAAAAGTTGCTGCACAACAAGGGAGATCGTGAATGAAATGTAAAGACAAGGCATAGACTAGGCATAAATTCTTGCCATTGTTATAATGGACAAAAGATATATATCTAGAATATATAAAGAATGCCTAAGGATAAGAGCAAGGAAAAAAAAACATTAGAAAAATGGGCAAATCTCACATGACCAATAAAAGACTAGGAATCAGGGAAATGATCATTAAAACAACAGTAAAGTACCATTTTACACTATTTAGACTGGCAAAAGTCTGATGGCGAGAAGAGGGGAAATGGAAACCACATATACTGCTGGTGAGAACATGCACTAAGGCATGTGCGCACAAGGATGTTTGTGACACAATGCCTAAATGTTTATCAGCATGAGGAGAGTTGAGTTAAATGTGGTGTAGTCATATAATGGAATACTTTAAAGAACTTGAATAAATTAAACTAGAGCTACTTGCATCAGTAGGGATACATCTCAAAAATATGCTGAGCAAACAAAAGAAAGTTGTGGAATGATATATACAGTGTATGGTCATTTATATAAACTTTTAGCACATGAAAAAATTCTGTATTATTTATGACCATATACACATGTAGTAAATGTTTTAACAATGCATGGGAATGATACCTCATTCAGGATGTTGGTTACCGCTGAGAAGCAGAGATGATCTTGGAAAGAATAACCCAATGAGGCCAGGCATGGTGGCTCATGCCTGTAATCCTAGCACTTTTGGAGACTGAGGCGGGTGGATCACTTGAGGTCAGGAGTTCGAAATCAACCTGGCCAACATGGTGAAGTCCCATCTCTGCTAAAGATACAAAAAAAAATCAGCCAGGCGCGGTGGCGGGCACCTGTATTTCCAGCTACTTGGGAGGCTAAGGCGGCAGAATTGCTTGAACCCAGGAGGTGGAGGTTGCAGCGAGCTGAGATCGCACCACTGCACTCCAGCCTGGGTGACAGAGTGAGACTCCATCTCAAAATAAATAAATAATAAATAAATTTAGAAAAAAAGCCCAATGGATTTTAACTCTGAAACATTTTCTTTAAAATTCTGTGATAAAGACATAATGTTAGGATTTGTTGAAACTGTGGTGCAACACTTGTACACTATAGTAGTCTGTATAATTTTCTGTATGCTCGAAGTATTTCATAGTTTTTTAAAGTAGAGAAAATCTGAAACAATTGTAGAACCAACTTTCAGGTATTTGGATGTTCATGACCTGTTTAGTTCATTATCCAAGTCTTTTGCTTTATCTGTTATTTCTTCTTTATTCCTGATCTTTGCCCATTTCATTGTTCATTAATGTGTACCTAAAAAGTTGACTAAATGGTGATAATGCAAAATAGTCATAATGCTTCTGTCAGTGCCTTGCACACACAATTCTGCAGCAGGGTTAGAAATGAATGAAAATGAACTGGAGGTATCATCCGTGGGTTTCAGCTTGTTGGGCAATAATACTCCCATCGTAACACAGATATCCAGGGATAGTCGGCTACATTATCATTAGGAAAACTGGTTCCTGCCAGAATAGAAAAGAATAGTCTATTGAAATTTTAGAAAAAATGGCCCTGGGAGTATTAGAAACTCTGAGATCAGCTTAGAACTCCAACACAACATTTCAAGATTTAAGTCTTCAAAGATTTGAGGATCATAGTCCTTATTTACTTGGATTGTTTTAGTCCCAGATCTTTGTTCTTCATAATTGGAATCTCTTACTGGTTATTTGGTGAAATGTGCCCATTGGGATTTTTTAAATGCTATTTTTGTGACCCCACCATAACTTTTATAAGAGATTCATCTGACTTACATAATACTCATTTATTAACATTTAGTTTGTGTGATGCTAAAATAAATGTCACAAATAAGACTCTGCCTTATCAAATTCTTCAGTGTACCATTGCAGAAATATGTATTTCTTTGTTTTCTTTGCTTGACGTTACTTCATATATTTTTTCTATGTGAAAAAATATTAAACACATGTTTATCATTTGCAATAATAAAATACCATCCTGTTCAGGGGTGGCATCATAATTTACTTCATCACTGTCTTATTATTGGGTATTTGAGCTTATTTCTAGTATCTTTGTTGGTCCAGCTGTTGGAATTCCAAATGCCCCTGTACTGGTGGAATTTTCTCTCCTGAGTTACTTCCTAGGACTGTATTCTCCAAGGCAAGAACACTAGGTGAAAGACTGTGTTCCAACTACAGACGTTTTTATTTTGTTGTCTCTTTAATGAAGTTTTACGTAATGCTGTTACAGTCTAGAATTTTAAGGTGCCAATTTGATAATGCACCAGTATTATATAAGGGCATTTATTCTCACCAGTTCTTTATTTTGAAAATACTTATTCTGAGAGAGAAGTTAGGTAATATGCTTAAATGTCTTGATTTTGAATTTTAAAATTGTGTGTGGTTAAACACTTTCCCAAATGTATGTATGTTTGCTTCTTTGTGTGCTCTCTGGGGAACATCCCTGACCTGCTGTGGTGGGAACTGGGTAGTGGGCCATCCCCATTTGGGAATATACACAGCACAACGGTCGGGATTATTTTCCCGCGTGAATTACATTTTATTTCATCATAATCTTGTAGATTTTCAGTGCCTAGTACTTATAAATTTAAATAATATTCACTAATTTTTTTTCATTAATCTACTGAGCCTGAATTTTAAAGACATCACTTCTGAGCATCCTTAAATTATGAAAAATAGAAGTTCAGGATGAACTTAGCCAAAGTTTTTAAAACCTGGCAAAGCGTTGGTGACTAAACATGATGATACATGATAAAAGTCATTTCATTAATAATACAAAGCATAATACCATCTGTATCAAGGTAATTAAGTAATTGTTAGTAGCTTGAGACATTACATTTAGTATGATAATTTTCTTAAGTTTTTTGATACATTCATGTGTTTATTGGGTACATGTGAAATTCTGTGACATTCATAGAATGTGTAGTGATCAAGTCAGGATATTTAGGGATGCATCACCTGAATATTTCATCATTTTCTTTTTAATGTCTGAGTTTTGAGTGTGGGCTTTCTTTAAGCCACGCAAAAAAAGAAAAAATCGCAAATGGGATAAAGAGATTAAAATATGTAGTTTTCTGTATTTACAAAAGTTTTCTTAAAGTTTCAGATCTTTATAAAAAATAAATTAGAATAAACTTTTTATTTAAATGTAATGTTAATATTGATTATTTTCAGCTGGGAAGCCTTTAACAAGTAAAGAAGAAATTAAAGGGATTCCTTGGGCCTCCTGGACATGCGTGAAAGGCCCTGAAGTGAGTGGAATTTGGCCCAAATACACTGAGGTTACTGACATCAACTCAGTGGATGCGAATTACAACAGCTCAGTGCTGGTGTCTGGAGATGATTTTGGACTGGTTAAATTGTTTAAATTTCCTTGTCTCAAGAGAGGTAAGGCCAAAAGAGATGTTTCATTGCATAAAGATTTACTCTAAACTGTATACAGTACAATTAAGGCTGATCTTCCTGCTGTCTATTCCAATGCACTGTTTATTTTATCTTGTATATTCTTATTTACTTTTCAACAATTTTAAATAGAATGTGTTGATGTCTTCTACTTTTGACATCTTAAGATATGTGGTTTTGCAAATTTAAGAAAGAATTTGCTAATAGAGTTATTACCATATTGTGATTTGTAAGCCTTGTTTCACATTTCGAACAAGTCATATTTATGTAAATATTCATAGTTTATATATAGTCCGTTAAAATGTTGTAACTAAAATTCTTTTATGATTCAGAGCTATTGTGCTTATACATGGAAAAGCAAAGGAAATCCTTTCAGACATAATTAAAATCTGATCATGGTTGTGGTGATAATAGTTTATGGACCTCTCGTCATAGCAGTAATTTTGCAAACTAGATTTACATAACTGGTGAAATTTTTGAGAGAAGTTTGATTCAAAGCAACCCTCTTTGCCCTCATGTTTTGTTGTTTTGTTTTGTTAAAATTGTTTGACTTCAGTTATGTGGCACACTCAAGCGTTGTAGAAGGTGATGAATTAACCATGTAATGACCTCTTCTTCCTTTGCAAGTTTAGGCAAAGCCCATATTCAGGCTCTTCTGAGACTCCTCAACTGTGCCTGAAAATCCGATCTTAGAAAAGTAATCAACAGGGACATGCTACTGCCTGAAAACTCTTTCACTTGAACAATTTTTAGACTAAGCAAGGAAAGGGATTGAAAAATGCAATCAGAAAGTCATTTTCAGCTAACTGGCAGTTTTGAAGCAGTGACAGTTATGGTACAAATGGAACATAAAATGCATAACAAGACACCATCACTGAAACATCACAAAATGACCATCCGTTTAAAATGTGCAAGGCACAGAATTATCTCAACATGCCCAATTCATACTCTTCTTTTTCCCCACAAGAGCCCTTTGAGTAATAGGGCATATCTTGTTAGATTGAGTAGTATACTTGCAGGGGGTAAGTTAGGCCTCCAAGAAAGTACCTGGGAATTCAGAATTGAGAAGAAACAACATTGGGGTCAGTGGCAACACTACTGGTCTCTAGTGTCAGAACTTGGGAATAAACATAACTCGATGATAATTGATATCCTATACATCCCAAGTCTTTTAAGGTGTGCTTGGGTCTGGAAAATAGCAATGGAAATGTGGATCTATTAGAAAAGAAAGCATGTGTTAGTCTATTCTTACATTGCTGTAAAGAAGTACCTGAGACTTGGTAATTTATAAAGAATAGAGGTTTAATTGGCTCACGGTTTTGTAGGCTACACAGGAAGTATGATGCTAGCATTTGCTTGGCGTCTGGGCGAGGGGTGCTCAGGAAACTTACAATCATGGCAGAAGGTGAGGGGGAGAAGGTACGTCACAAAGCCAGAGCAGGAGCAAGACAGAGCTAGAGCAGGGTTCCTACACTTGTGAGCAAGCAGATCTCATGAAAATTTGTTCACTTTTAGGACAGCACCAAGAGGATGATGCTAACCTATTCATGAGAAATTCACCCCCATAATCCAGTTACCTTCTACCATGCCCCCCCCCCGCCCTCTAATTCTGGAGATTACAATTCAACATGAGGTTTGAGCAGGGACACATGTCCAAACTATATTACAGAGGGTGAGTAGTGCTGTCAAAATGAGTCACCGTTACATAAAAAACAGCTCTTTGGATAATGGCACACAGAGGGCATCTGCATGAATGAGGAGAGATGGACAGCCAGATGACAGTATGGTGAGAAGTAGCAAAACCCACCTCAGCAACCCACAGACATATCCATGTCCTCATAGCAAATGGACTTGTGTTCTACTTTTCATGACACATGGCTTATAAATCTTGTAATTTGCCTCTGAGACATTCAGGCTTTTGTGTCCTTTTTGTGCCAAAACTACTGGTGGGGAAGTGAATAAAAGAGTGGGAATTGTTGATGGGAATACTAGCAGTTGGTGGAATGTGTCTGTCTGTAATTTAGGTGACAAGGTACAAGTATTCCCTGTACATTTTGAACCTGTAAACAGCCAGATATGGGCAGGTGCTGATGACCATGAGCAGTTGTGGGAAATGAGCAAACATTATTGTTTTCCATTGTGATTTTTAAAAACTCACAACCAAGTTAATTTGACATGTTTGCAATTATATGTGTATAACAATCAGTTGCACAGTAATTAGACGTAAGTGTTCTGCAGTTAATGAAAATGACTGCTACTGTACTATGTTTACGTAGCCAAACCAATTTGTTTTTCTCATTTTGACAGTTTTCACATCTTAAAATAATTAGGATCAATACTGACAGCTTTCCCTGATACCACTTAGACTATATCCTGTTTGACCATCGCCACACAGACACTGAAACGAGGTAAAATCCAAGGCCTTGCTCAATGACAATTTTCCATGTCCTAATAGCCTTGGTACGCACCCCTACTCCAATGGGAGACTCAGAGGCTCTCCATGTTCCACCTGGTGCACCCGTTCCATTCCTCCTTTGCATTACACCTCAGCAACCCACAAAAGTATCCATGTCCTGATAGCAAATGGACTTGTGTTGTACATTTTATGACACATGGCCTATGGACAGCTTGAACAGCCACCTCCCATGATGAGTGTCCTGAATGTTAAGACTTGAGTTGCAGAAATCTTGGATCTTAGATCTTGGAGGGGCTGGTGCTGGCCTTCCATATGTCATGGATAAGCTTGATGCAGTGCAGAAGCAGGAAGGCCAGTGTGGCTAGAACTTAGTGCATGAGGGGAAGAGTTGCGTACCGTGACATTGGAGAGGGTGACAGGGCTGTGTCGTAAAGGGCCCCCTGGCCACTACTAGAAATCAGAGTCGTCTTCTAAGTGCAATGAAAAACTATGGATGGTTTTACATGGAGTGATGTGACCAATCCAAGCTTTTAAGACTGTTTTGATATTTTGTGGAATGGTTAGGAAAAGGGAGGTTTCAAGTAGAGAAGTTATTGCAGGAGTCCAGGTAAGAGATGGTGTGGCTTGGACAAAGATACTAGGAAGAGATACAGAAAGGTTGGTCGGGCTTAGGAAACAGTTTCAAGGCAGAGCTGAGGGTCTTACAGATGGACTGGATATGAGAATAGAGGAAAAGAAAGTAATCAAGGATGACTTCTAAGTTTGGGACTTGAGCAGTGGGTTGAATAGTGGCAGCATTTACAGAGCTGGGAAAATGAGAAAAAAGATATTTGTCTCTGGGAGTGCACATAAGGGGAAGAGGAATGTCTCGGTCTGTTTTCCTTGTTGTAAGTTAGGGGCCCGTACTGGGCATCCGGGTGGACGTGGCACAGAGCTGTCAGTGCTCCAGGGAGATGTCAGGGCTGGAGATGTGCACTTGGCAGTCACGTTGACAGCACTTTAAAGCCATGGGGGAGGAGGTTGATAGAGAAGACATGAGGGCTGAGGCCTGAGCCCTCCTGTGGTGCAGAGGACAAAGGGAGGTCTGGTGGAGTCATTCAGTGTCCCAGGGAAAGCCTTATGAGAGACAGGTGTGGCCTTCATTTATTCAAGAAGTGTTCGTTAAATGCTGTCCTACGGGATGGAGATAGGCCAGTGATGAAAACAAGCACAAATCCCTGCCCTCGTGGAGCTTTTGTTCTACTGAAGGTCCACAGTTAATATACAAGAAAATATAAACATCTGATTGTGAGAAGTGCTGTGAAGAAAAATAAAGCAAACAGTGGGAGCAGAGAATGCTGGAATTGGGCAGTGCAGTGTTCTAAATGAGTTGGTCAAAGAGGGGCTTGCTGTTGTGGTTTCATTTGACTTAGAACCTGAAGGAGAATGAAGGATCCAGCTGTTCAGATATCTAGGGAGAGAGCACTTCAGACAGAGGAAACAGCAAAGGCCTAGAAGCAGAGAAAATGCCTAGCATGTTTAGGGAATAGCAAAGAGACCAATGTACCCAGAGCAGAGTGAGTGAGCGGGGAGAGAGGGCAGAAAGAAAAGATGAGAGAGATAAGGCCTAAGTATTAATGACATTAATGCTTTTGCAGGTTCTAGTTCCAGCTTACAAAGGCTATATTAATTATCTATTGCTGCATAACAAATTATTCTCCAAACTTAAAAGTGTAAATGCACAAACATTTATTATATCATGGTTTCTGGGAGTCAAGGAGTCCCAAGAAGCTTAGCTGGGTGATTCTAGTTCAGGGTCTCTCATGAGGTTGCAGTCATGTGAAGGCTAGACTGAGGCCAGAGGATTCGCTTCTTCCAAGATGGCTCACTCATGTGGCTCTTGGCAGGAGGCCTCAGTTCCTGCTGTGTGAGCCTCTCCATAGATTGCTCCAGTGTGCTTATGACGTGGCATATAGAGATCCAAGAAAGACAGCAAGGCAGAATCTGCAGTACCTTTTATAACCTCCTCTTAGATGTCAGCTTCACTTTTGCCATATTCTGTTCATTTTGTATCAGAGAATTTGTGGACATATTTTTAAACCTCTGCAAAGAGATAGGCTAATTGATCTGTGAGGAAGGTATAAAGGTCAAGGAAGCAAAGAAGAGGCCAACACTTTAAGATCTAAAGAGAGTTGGGAAGAGCATACCCTGCTCCCCAATTACTCAATCATGAGCCAGCATTTCCAGCTGACCTTAGTTGGAGCCAGTTTGACTTTATTACGAAACTGATTTAGGTAACTCTTTGAAGTAGGCAAGTTTGCTTTTGAGACCCAATGCTTCCTTTCCCTTCTGCAGCAGAATTCCCCTAATTTTTCTCAGAGCCCCTGATATAATGAGGCTTATCTGGTCAGAGCATGCTCTCAAAAAATGTATGAGCATGACATGTAGCAGTAATTTTCACCTTCTTACAAATCATTGCCTCTCCAGTGGACATTTGAAATTTAAACATGTGATAGTTGAACAGATGGCCTCCCCCAACCCTAATAAAAGGGATTTCATTTAGAGAAACTGTGAGAAATAGAAATGTTTTTGAAGAGAGGTTGGGGTATTTGACCTCCTGAAATCTACCATGGACTTTGGGGTTCTAGGCCTCCATGTAAGATGGACCCTGCTTATTACTCGAGTGCCTTGATGCCGCTGTGTACTGAGCATATGCTGATATGCTGAAGGCTTTACTACTGTAGTTCAACCACAAATATCACTTCAAGTAGCTTTTTCTATTGCACTCACTACCTGGGGTTAGTGTTCACTGAGTAAAGCAACCAGTTTAAGGAGGAAAAAATGATTCTCCAAACTCTATGTCTACGTGACTCCAAACAATAATTTTATTTCCATAGAATTATTTTCTGTTTCCCTGTTAAACAGGATTGCCTGTCTTATCTTTCATTTAAATAAGAATGTGTAAGATGTTCATTCTCTGTCATTTATTTTCAGAATCAGTGAAGCAGTAGGCATTATTTGGAACAGGTTCAGATGTGTCTTTAGCCACAGGGCTTAAATTTTACGACCTATTTTTAGCTTACTGCATATTGGAATAATTGAGATATATTTTGAAGCATTTGGTTATTTGTTACAATATGTAAGACGGAACATCGTTTTCAGATATATTTAAAGATTTTACTCTTCAACATGAACAGAAGGGGGGTTGTTTTAAACTAATGAACTCTTCTTTTTTCATAACTAATCCTCTCAAAAAATATTCTTTCAGGAGCCAAATTTAGAAAGTATGTGGGCCATTCTGCACATGTCACAAATGTCCGCTGGTCCCATGACTTTCAGTGGGTGTTGAGCACAGGAGGGGCTGATCACTCAGTTTTCCAGTGGAGGTTTATTCCAGAAGGTGTCAGCAACGGCATGCTGGAAACTGCACCCCAAGGTAAACCCAGCAATAATTTCTTAACATCATTTTATTTTTCAATAGGCATTTCAAAGAATGGTCTAACATGTATTCTATAGGTAAAGGATTTAAGCAATTTTGGAAAATTGATTCCTGTAATCTTAAAATTTTAAGATAAGAAGAAACTTTAAAGATTAACATGGGTCAGTTGGATAATTTTCTTCAAAGGAAGTTGCTATACCAAATGCAAGTTGAGCAGGACGTCAGCAACGTGACATCTGCAATGTCAGAATAGGAAGCTCCTGACACTCCCTCCACTCATGGACACCAAATACACATTGATTCGCAGGTCCATTCTCTCTGAGAGAAAGTCATACAAGTTGAGAAACTCCTACCCACCAGGCAACTGAGAAAACATCCACATTGGGTAGGTAGGAAAAGCTGAGGCACACTCTGGCAGGAACCCTACCCTGCGCACTGCTTCCTGAAATCAGGACAGGAATCCCCACCACCCAACCTCTCCCTGTGGAGAGAATGGTTTGGACCTCACACATAGTGCCCTAACTCTAGGTTACCCGTGGACTGGCTCTTAATTCACCAACTCTGGGAGTAGAGGGAGTTAGACATTTGGGAGTCTCTAGACCATGGGAAAGAAGCCTCGGTTTGATACAAGTGCTCAAGCCTTCCAGGGACTTCATCCCCTGGAGCAGTTCTGAGAAGGAGCTTAAAAAATGCAGCCCAGTTTCTACCTAGAAGGGGTTTATGACACATTTCCGGAGGCTACTTGGCGGCCTGGCTTCTAACCAATATGCAACAGGGATTTAGAGGGGCAGACACACATTAACCCAGCTGGCAGCCTAAGAAACAGACCTCTGAGCCTCCTCCCATGACTCATCCCATCAGTAACTCCAGATCTAATAATATACTCTGGAAGGAGTTTGTCCACACATTGAGCTCCCCAACTTTTATAGCTTCCACTCAAGGAAATGCATCCTAAACCTCCCACTTCGGGGAGCAGAGGGGGCAAAGTATATGAATGTCTGTCTAGACCATAGAGAAAGGTGGCAGTTTTATATGGACTTGTAGGCACTTGCAGCGGCTTCTTCTCTTAGGAGTGGTGACGAGAAGGTGCTATAAGAATGCAGCTCCTCATTTCTCCCCAGATGGGGTTTATGCCATGTGTTGAATGCCCAACTTTTACAGCTACCTCCCAGAGGACTCCATCCTAAACCTCTTTGCTCTGGGAGCAGAAGGGACTAGGAATATTCTAGTCTTCCTATATCACAGAACAGAGATGTGGTCTTAAATGGGTTTACAAACACTTACAGGAGTGACATCCCCTTGGAGCAGTGCAGAAAAAGGTTGGGAATGTGCAGCTCCCATTTTTTTTCTCCAGAAGGGGCTTACAGCATACACTTCCAATGCTACTTGATGGCCTGCCATCAAATGATTTCCATCAAGGAGCTAACAGGGCAAACATATAATAGCCTTCCAGCAGCCAGAGCTCAGCACTTCATGAGCCTTTGCTCTGGCTCGCCCCAGTGATAAATCTAAGCCTACCCATACTTACTGGAAAAAGTTTGGTCATACACCAAGTGCCACACCTTCTATAGCTCCCACCTGTCTCCTTAATGAACTAGCTCTGGAAATTGATGGGGCTTCGCATTCCTGAGTGGACTTAAACCACAGAAAATGAAGAGGTAGAGGTACAATGGGCCCACTTCAGGAGTTATCTCCCCAGGATCAGAGGGTACAGCCTAAATGTGAGTACAGGCATTTGTCACAGATTCTCTACCTGGCTTAGTGCAGAAAAAGTGAGCGGTAAATGACTGTGCTCAGCTTCACTGTGAAGATAGAAGGAATTGAAACACATAGTCCACCCTCCAACCCTTCTAGCTACATCAAAAGTGTCTTGATGTCTTCCCCCCTTTACAGTCTTGCGGTACCAACAGGACATGGCACATCTTAAGCTCTAGGGGCCACCAAAACAGACAATAGTCTGGACAAACACAGATTTGAGAGGCACCTTAAAACCATTGGCCAGTCAGATTGGTGAGATCCTTCTCCTATACAAGGCCAGTCTGACGAGATAGGGAGAGGTTTTTTGTTTTTTTTTTTTTTTTAATCTAATGCACAGAAACCAACACACAGTGTCAGTGACAATGAAGAAATGAAATTCCAGATAAACGAGCAAGACATCTCCAGAAAGCAACCCCAGTTAAGTAGAGATATGTGATTTACCCAACAGGGAATTCAAAATAATAGTCATAAAGACCCTCACTGAGGTCAAGAGAGCAATATAAGAACAAATTGAGAACTTTAGAGATAGAAGGTGTTTTTTAAAACTACTCAATGAGTTTTGGTACTTTTGAAATACTTTCTCTGAGGATTGGCTGAGCACGTTGACTCATGACTGTAATCCCAGCACTTTGGGAGGCTAAGGCGGGTGGATCACTTGAGGTTAGGAGTTTGAACACCAGCCTGGCCAACATGGTGAAACACCCTGTCTCTACTAAAAATACAAAAATTAGCCAGGCAAGGTGGAGCACATCTGTAATCCCAGCTACAGGGGAGGCTGAGGCAGGAGAATTGCTTGAACCGGGAGGTGAAGGTTGCAGTGAGCCACGATTGTGCCACCGCACTCCAGCCTGGGTGACATAACATGACTCCATCTCTAAAAAAAAAAAAAAAAAAAAAAAAAAACTTTCTCTGAAGAGTACTGCCACTGAACTGAAAAATTCAATAGAGAGGTTCAACAGCAGACTAGATTAAGCAGAAGAAAGGAACAGTGAACTTGGAAAGACAGATTACTGGGAACCATCCAATCTGAGAAACAAAAAGAAAAAGAGTAAAGATAGCTTAGAGACTTAGGGTGGTCCAACAACTTACGTGTTACCAACATGCCAAAAAGAGAAGAGAGAGAAATGGGCAGAAAACATGTTCAAGGAAATAATGGCAGAAAAATTCCCAAGCCTAGGAAAGAAAATAAAGCCAAATCTAGGAAGCGCAAAGGACACGAGTAAGATGAATCCAAAAAGATGTACCCCAAGAAACATCTTAAATGATCAAAAGTTAAAGGCAGAGCATTATAAGTAGTCAGGGAAAAGAGAATCATCACACATAAGGAAACCTCTATAAAACCATCAGCAGATTTCCCAAATGCAAGTTGAAGGTCTAAGGTTTACGTGAAGAATTAACCCTTGGGGGATAACAGGAGAGGATACATTTCAGCTTCCTTAGGACAATTGTAACAGGCAGTGGGTCTGTTCAGTCAGGCTGCAGGGGAACAGGGTAACCTTTGAAATGTAAGTGGCCTTCAGAATGGGGCTCAAGCAGTGGTTCACGGTTGGGGCCTATGTGTTCCAATTCAGTGGACATGTATGTAGTCTTTTCATTTATCTCTGATGTCAGCAGGCATGAGCAGGTGATAAAATGAAAAATTATTTGAATAAATGTTGACAAGAGTTCTGTGGTGGTTTGGGCCATGACAATTACCAACACTTGGGTGGGCATGGTTAAAAGGCTAAAGAGGATCTGTATTGAAGTAAATGGTTGGGTTTATTTTTGCCCTAGCCTTTCACTTTTTAAAACCTGCCCATTTTACAAAACAAAGCTTAAAACCCAGGTATCTGCTATCTAATAGAAATGTGTAAATGACCAACCTAGGCAATGTGGTGAAACCCTGTCCCTACAAATAAAATTTAAAAATTAACTGGGCATGGTGGTACGCATCTCTGTAGTCCCAGCTGCCAGGAGGCTGAGGTGGGAGGATTGCTTGAGCCCCGGAGGAGGAGGTTGTAGTGAGCTGAGATTGTGCCACTGCGTTCCAGCCTAGGAGACAGACCCTGTCTCAAAAAAAGTATAAATGAGTTTAGTCTGCCTGGTGGGTGGTGTGGGGAAGGAAGTTGGCCTAGTCTGTTAATGTTCCTGAAAGGAGTGAAGGGTGGGCTGAACTAAACCAAAAGGTGAAAGAAAGATGTTTTAACAATTTATATTAAATGAAAACTATGGTATAGTTTTTATTTACTTTGCTAGGATAAAAGGAAAAATATTTTAGATAATTTCAGTTGCTCAGAGTCTCAGAATTTTTGCTTGTTTCTTGTGGGTTGTATCTCTGCAGAAGGTGGAGCTGATTCCTACAGTGAAGAATCTGATTCAGATTTATCTGATGTGCCCGAACTGGACTCTGATATTGAGCAAGAAGCTCAAATCAATTATGATCGCCAGGTCGGTAAGCAGGGAGCAATGAAAATTTGTAACCCCAGAAGGGGATCTCATTCCTGGATTTGGACATAGCACTAAAAATGACTGGCACTTAGACAAAGAGAATTGAGGCAAAAACAAGAAAAATAGTCTACTTTGTGCCTTTAAGTGCAGGTTAAAACCGACGTGTTTACCCAATCATACCATTAAAATTTATTTCAGCAGAAAGTAATTGCAAAGTTTGAAAACTGAACCCCTGGTATTTGGGCTTTTTGCCTCCCTAGCACCTAAAACTTTAAAATATATTTTGAAGAAAAATGTGCAAGTAAGCCATAGGTCTTTTTTCACTTTCTTAGCAGATTATGAAAGCATGTGTTTCCTTTACAAGGATGGATACCCTTGAGGCATGGTGGTTTGCATGTGAGCTTGTTAGCCCGGTTTTTCTATTAACTTACTGCAACCATTATCCATTTAATCAAAGTAATTATCTACTTAAAGTAAAAGCTCAAATAAAATGTGTATTAATCTCTCCAGTCAGAAATTACCTCTAGTAGGAAAGCTGATCAGCTGACTTCAGTTTTTTTGGAAGTTGACATATCATTTTAGCACTAAACAGTGTTAAAGCAATCCCTCAGCGGAATCTGAACACATACCACCTTGTTACAGCAATAACCATGGGGGTTCTCTTTTTCTTTCTTGTCACTTAACAAAGATATGTGAAGCAGATTCTGTACATGAATGTGGAATGAATAAGACTTCAAATTTCAGATACATGAACTGTAAGTGTCGCCAATAGAGATTTAAGATATAGGCCTATGGCAGCTACCATGTGTTGAAAGAAGTAAAGTAACTTGCCCATGTCCACGTTGCTTGTCGTATTAGGATAACAATGCTTACCTAGGCTTATCTCCAAAGTGCACATTCTATGCACTACTTGGTTTGCCTCTATATAAGCATTAAATTGGAATATTTTTCAGCCCATAATCATCAGTCATTGATTCAGAGTTTGAAAAATTGTGTTCGTACCAAGACAGTTTAATGGTTTGGGTCAGCCCCATGACGAAATCATCTTGACTGTGCATTGACACATTGTATTATGCAATATGACTACTAAAAAGGACTTGAAAAGAGATTATTGTCTGTGGCCATACAACCCTGAACGTAGTCAATCTTGCCTGAAAGGAAATTATTAATGTGGAAATATTATGCAAACACTAAACAATATTATACTCTGGTATCAGGAGACAATAAAATTTAAACACAATACAGAATTTAGGAAAAGAAATCTTTAATTGGGAAGTGTTTGTTTAATAAAATGGTGCTAGTAGAAGAATGAAAAGGGACCAGGCACAGTGGCTCATTCCTGTAATACCGATGCTTTGGGAGGACAAAGTGGGAGCATCACTTGAGACCAGGAGCTTGAGACCAGCCTAGTTAACACAGTCTCTGTATCTACAAAAAAAAAAAAAAACTGCTGGGCATTTGCCTGTAGTCCCAGCTACTCAGGAAGCTGAGGTGGGAGGATTGCCTGAGCCCAGGAGATTGAGGGCTACAAGCCACTGTACTCCAGTCTGGGCAACAGAGCAAGACCCTGTCTCTAAGAAAAATAAATAAAAGAATGAAAAGGTAGACTTAAAATTCATGCCTACGACT
This sequence comes from Homo sapiens, assembly GCF_000001405.40. Classification (NCBI taxonomy): domain Eukaryota; kingdom Metazoa; phylum Chordata; class Mammalia; order Primates; family Hominidae; genus Homo; species Homo sapiens. The sequence continues at coordinate 54,865,519 of NC_000002.12, forward strand.
TAAACAGTTTGAATATCCTTAATGTGAAAATCTGAATTCTCCAAAATCCAAAACTTCGTAAGTACTGGTTTGATGCTCAAAGGAAATGTGCATTGGAGCATTTTGTGTTTTGGTTTTGGATTTGGAATGCTCAACCAGTAAGTATAATGCAAATATTCCAAGATCTGAAAAAAATCTGAAATCCAAAACATTTCTGATCCCAAACATTTCAGATAAGGAATACTCAACCTGTATATTCTCCCTGACATGTCACTTTCCAATGCTTTCACCGATATTTGATTTACATTCACAATATTCCTGAGTTATTCCTTAACAGGGATTTTTTAACTCAATTTTACAGATGAGAATTTGAAGCCCACAGAGGTTATGAGACCCATTTAAACAATAGAAATATCAAGACTAGAATTCATTGCTCTAAAGTAAATAGTTGGTGAGCTGATGAAAGCATCATGAATTAAGTTGAATAATAATCTTTAGATTCTAGAAGCTTGGTTAATTGCATCTGTAGTAGACAAAACAGTAGTGAGAGTTCTTCTGACCTTTTACAAATGATTTTTGATCAAATCCTAAACAGGGGCCTTATATTTTATGATTTTTAAAAGAGTTTGATTAAATAAAAACTTGATGAAGATGAGAAATTATTACTAGATTGGATTTGATTCTCCACCTGTTAAATGGACATTTCTTGGTAGTAAAGTATAAATACACAGTAAACAACAGATGGGTTTTTATATGCGTTTAAATGGTACAATCAGCAGCACGTTTTAGGTCCCAAGTTAGACCAAGATTGATCTTTGCTCTGTATCTCAGATCTGTTAAGATGCATGAAGCTATGAAGTGAATGTGATTCCAAAGAGGGATTTCAGGAGAAAATTGTCATGACTCATGAGGTCCACATTTTTCAACTGTCAGAATCAGTAAGAGATTTCTGGCCTTAGAAGAAATAAAACAAACTATTTTATTTATATTTTACTGATACTTAATTTCCTTTAAAATTTACTGATATATTTTCTAGACATTAAGAAAACAGTAACAAATCAAGAAAGATTATTTTAAAATCCCAATTATTTAAAAAATAGTTCATATTAGTTTTATTCATTAGGAAAAAGTAATATTCATTCTCATGTCTTAAGTTTTCAAAGACATTTTATTGAAGCAATTAAAGATTTTACAAGAATGTCAAGATGCTGATATTTTTGGAACCTGATGAAAGGCATCTCACCCAGATGTTTCTGTTGTACTTTAAGGTTTACAAAGAAGATCTACCTCAGCTAAAGCAACAAAGTAAAGAGAAAAACCACGCAGTGCCCTTCCTCAAACGAGAAAAGGCTCCTGAGGACAGCTTGAAACTCCAGTTCATACACGGGTGGGTGGCCTGTCATGGGCGCCCGTATGTGTTCCTCTGTCTCTGCCTGGCTGTCACCAACCTTAGCACCAGGCTTAAGGGATCCCCTCCCCTCAGTGTCGTCCTCCTCCTGGCTAGCTCTTCTCTGCAATGTGCACTTGTACCTGTGGTTGCTATTTTAAGTGTGACTCTCTATCCACTTCCCTCGTTGATGTTCTGTGGCCATCACAGTGTGATTGTCTCTAGATTTCTCAGACTTCATATAATTCCATGACTTAAAGGGTGCTGCTGCTCATTGCTGCTGCACTTCTTTCTCATCACCATCTTCACTTCCTCTTTCTCCTTTCCCCTAATCCCCTGCTGTGTTTTGCTGGCTCCACCATAGGACAGTATTTTCTTCAAATATTTTCTGCACATGTGCCCAACATAATTTTGAATTTTGTAAAATTATATGCACCCTTGCATATTTTAAGTAGACAACTAAAACTTTTTAATGTCGGTTTAAATGGCTGAGAAGATACTATCTGTATTATGAATACATCAGTCCTTTAAATGGATGCAAAGGAACCTAAATGCCATAAATGTTTGATTCTCACTATGATCAACTTAAAAAATATGTGAGACCAGACACAGTGGCTCACACCTGTAATCCCAGCCCTTTGGGAGGCTGAGGCAGGTGGATTGCTTGAGCCCAGGAGTTCGAGACATGGTGAAATCTCATCTCTACAAAAAACTAGCCAGATGTGGTGGCGTGTACCTCTAGTCCCAGCTACCCAGGAGGGAAGTTGAGGTTGGGGAATCACCTGAGTTGGGGAGGTCTAGGCTGCAGTGAGCTGTGATCTTGCCAGTGCACTCCAGCCTGGTTAACAGTGAGGCCCTGTCCCAAAAGGGGAAAAAAAATACCTGAAGAAGTCCTTCTAAAACAGGAAGCTATTTTACATCATTCATATTTCTACCTAAGTTCACATTTCCATTCTAATTTTCCCATAAAATTTTACCCTAACATAATCTTTTTATGCTTGAGAGTCCTTTGTCACCATGTCATACCCTCTGCAAGAAAAAAAATTTTTCTGTGGTCCTAAGACTCTAACTCAGCCCAATACAATATCCACTAGCCACACACAGTCACTGAGCACTTAAAATACGGCTATTCTGAAAAAAGATGTTCTGCATGTGTAAAATGCACACCAATTTTGAAGACTTACTATGAAAAGAGGAATGTAAGATATCTCATAAGTTTTTATATTGATTACATGTTGATATAGTAATATCTTAGATGTGTTTTGGGTTTAAAATGTTACTGAAATAAATTTTTTTTTCTAATATGGCAACAAATTTTTAATTAGGAGGATCATGTTATTTTTCTGTTAGTGTTGCTCCATTAACAGTTTATTTGAATTATAGTTATTAGTAAAGTCGACTAAATCAACATGAATATATTACTAATTGTGACATATAATTATTAAGCACAGAAAAATTTTGTTGGAAATTATTTTAATATGATGGATTGGTTTTCAGTTGCAAGATCTGTGCATTTATATTACTTACTGTTAGAATGTAACAAAGTTTAATATTGAGTCTATTCTCAGTTCTCATTTTTGTATAGATGTAAGCAGTGAGAAAGTTTATTCTCTTAAATAATTAGGTAAGAATGGAGGCCATTTTATAGCAATGTTATTCAATTCTTCAGACTCCTGTGATAGGCCAAAAAAGTCATATTTGATTTTGATATATCACAAAAAATAATCTTTCAGCTGGTAATTCCATTAAGTCTCTGTACAATTTTGTTGAAAGCAAAGAATTGGAAATCACTTGATTTGCAGGATTCCTTAGCCAGTCATTAGAGTTGTTTTCTTTCAACATGCATACTTGTATTTTGAATTGTTCCTTTGTTTTGGTGCCCCTGGAAGGGTCTGTGTCCCGGAGTAATACAGTGTAATAGGATTCCAGATGGAGGAGAGGAATGGCTTTCTGCAGTGGGCGGAAGGCATTTATGAGAGGGGAGATGGGAAAGGAATACCTGTGCCTCATCACAGATGTGTTCTCAGATGATCGTTTTTAAGAAAAAGCGCACACAACAGCTGAGGATCTGCTAACAGATTCTGTTACAATGTTCAGTGCCCATGTGCCTTTTTGAGAGTCATCTCATGCCCTCAGACGGCCACATATCCTCATTTAAACATTGCTGTCCTATGTGACACCTGGGGTTCCACTTGTACATGTTCACGTCAATATGTTAGCCTTGCCTCTGACACCTCCTGCTCCATGCATTTGCTGTTTGTTCAACCACTATGCATTTCTTGGACCTGTGCTTCAGTTATAGAGGCTACGACTGTAGAAACAATCTGTTCTACACACAAGCTGGAGAAGTAGTCTACCACATTGCTGCAGTTGCTGTCGTGTATAATCGGCAGCAGCACTCCCAGAGGCTGTACCTGGGGCACGATGACGACATTCTCAGCCTGACCATCCATCCAGTGAAGGACTATGTGGCTACTGGGCAGGTATCTATCTCCTGTAAACTAGGGCCTAGCCAAAAAGAGAATTTAATTTTTGAATTCAGTTTACATATTAGAAATTCAAGAAATGCTTGGTAGAAATAAACATGAGATGGGAAGGTGAAGATTGAATGATCATTGGATCCTTCCAAGATCATGGGAGAATCAAGCAAAGCATTTTAGCATTATTGGGAGACCTCTGAGGAGTTCTTTTCCTGGAATGATGAGATCTATGAATGGGACCAGCTAAAACTAAAATGGTGAAAGTTTTGTCAAGGAGCAGCTTTATATACTTCCTCGCTGTATGCCCAGGATTTAGTATATCCTAGGTACTCAATAAATATTTATTGAATGAACCATTTAAAAATACTATAACATCTAGAGTATAATTATATTTGTAAGACTGAAAACCATAAGACTTTTGACTAATTTGTATTTTAGCCTTATAAAAACACCTTGAATTTTATCTGAACTTTTTTTTGAAATGCCTTAACCTTAGATTGAGTCTGTAATTGAAAAAGCTGCTAAAACAGGGACCCTCTACAATCATTTGGGAGTGTAAAGAGAAAAATAATCATTAACTTATTAAAGACTTTATTAAACACAGATGTATTACCTTGCTGGCAAAAGAGTAATATTGTCAAAAGTATTTTTAGTTTTATCTTTTCCTCAAATGTATAGATTATACTTTTGTTCAGTTTTTATAATGAGTGTTTAATTGCAGATAATACTTCAACTGGTATTAACTAAGTGGCAAATTCTAAGAAAACATTCTTGGTATAATGTCAAAGGTTAACATGAGACAAGCCCTTTTCCTGAGACTCGACCTGCAGGTGGTAAAGCCTTTGGACAGAGTTCATAACCTGGGGTTCATGAAATCTATGAATGAAAATGAGAACATGAGGGGAGTCAACCCCTTAAAAAGTTGTATTTGGGGGAAAAAGGATCCATAGCTTTTAAATTTTTTTTTAAAAGGGTTGCAGTCCTCCAAAGGGTAAGGGCTGACCATTGGTTTATACATGAATTTGCTGGCCCTCCAACTGAAAAGGTATATTTGGGGGAAAAAGGATCCACAGCTTTTAAATTGTTTTTTAAAAGGGTTACAGTCCTCCAAAGGGTAAGGGCTGACCGTTGGTTTATACATGAATTTGCTGTCCCTCCAACTGAAAATTAGAGACCTACTGTGTTAGCTGATGTTATAAGGTTTTACAAGTAATTGATCATTGCTTTGCTTTTTCACTTGCCCTTATTTTTTGTCTGTCTTATAAACAGATGGTGCTTGATTCACGTGTATTTAATAGCCTCTTTTTTTAAGTAAAAGCCAGAGGTGTTTTTTTTTTACATAAATCCCCAAGGAGTTACTGCACTCAATACTGTATTTGATGGAAGGTAAACCAGTGGCAAACAGTATTCCAGCAGCCACCTGCAGGAGACTGGGCCTCCACAGACCTCTGTAGGAGTGGCCTGGATTCTGCTCATTTATGCCTATGGCTTTATCTCCCATTTTTCCTTTTAAAGTCATCACACCCAACAGGTTTCCCCACCCCCCACTACATATTACAAGTGAGAAAAACCACTCTACTATTATAATTTTCTTTGTTGTTGGGGATTAGTGTGATAGAAGCTTGTATCCCTGCAAAGATAATCCACCTTACTGAAAGATAGTTATGCCATGAAAATGTTATTTCCCAGGGGGAGAAGCGGGGCCAGGCCTTCTTCTGGTGGGTAGCGTAACTGAGAATGGGTAAAATAACTCTGGATAGCGTCATGACAATGTACAAGTGACTTCCCTGACTGAGAAGCAGAATCTTGTGTCGAGCTGGGAAGGCAGGAGAGGGAATGGTAGAAGTAACTGACAAAAACAAGGCACAGTGGACATTTGAATTAGCCTTAAAGGCCCAGGCATCAGGTTAGGCTCTGTTGGAACTCTACCTGATTGCCAGGACAAGCCTCTTAGAGATACAGTGCCTCAGTTTCCTCATCTCAAAAATAACTGAATTGTAGCAGATGATTTCCTAGGGTCCTTCTATTCTCCAAATGGGTTTATCTTGGTTTCTGAGCAGTGTTGGACTCTAAGGAACAAAATCATTGTTAGTATAACGTGTTAGTAGTTAATAACAGTCATTCTGTTATTTAAGGTTGGAAGAGATGCTGCTATTCATGTGTGGGACACACAAACTCTAAAATGTTTGTCGCTGTTGAAAGGACAACATCAGAGAGGAGTGTGTGCACTTGATTTTTCAGGTAAGGTCCAGAGTGATTGACACATGGTTCTACGTTGAGAGAGAGAGAGACACAGAGAGAGTATGCCCCGCGCATGCGCGCACGCGTGTGTGTGTATTTAAACATGCTCCCACTTAGTCGTTCTGTTTGTATTGAAGTACAAGCTCTTTGTATGCCAGCTACCCGCTCTTATACTGAGAATCATACATAGGAATACCTCACCAAAAAATGTGGCCTTTAGATTACACACCGCTTCCCATCTTCCTCATTTTCTGTCTCCTAAGTCACTACCCAGAGCTCACACTGTGTTCTGTATTTGCTTGAGCAATTTGAAATCCAGAGCAGCTGTTGCTGTTGACTTAGTCGCAAATGTCTGGCAGTGACTCAGAACATCAATTTCATCTCTCCAAATAAGTGGGAGCACATCACTTCTGATTGAAAATACAAAGTACTAGAGAGAAGGCTGCAAATTATCTGCAGAGGGCCAGTTTACAACATTGGTATTTTGGAAATAACTTTTATATCGAAAAAATAGAACTGAAGTTTTCATCTCCTTAATTTAAAATTTGAACACAGTATCATAAAAAATAACTGATGAAAGTTAAGTTCCTTTAGAGTGAGTGTTCTTTAAGTTGGCATTTGAGAATGAGGGCCTATCACAAAAAGTATTTCTACCTAGAAATTTTTAATAATTGCAACTGTAGAAATTAGATCAATAGAAAAAGAATTCTAAACTTTGTACAGAATGCTGATTTTATAATTTTTTTCTAAATTTTATTCAAATGCTTAATAAGTATAACGTGTAATATTATTAAATTCCATGACTCCACAAGCCTGATTGTTCTCCCCTGTCCCTTCCTCTCCCCGTTCAAGCCCTCACTCTTTCATCTATGCTATGGTAGTCATGCTGGTCTCTAATTCTATCCCCTCTTCCTCAGTCCATCCCACCCTCTTCTGGAGTCTCCCAAAAGCATAGTTACCATTGCCACCACATGGATTCCCCTTGGTTGGCTGACTCATTGTGGAGCCCTTGGGACATCCATGGCCTTCCATGATCTGGCCTTAACCTTCCTTAGCAGCATTTTTAACCCACCAGCCCATTAGTGCTCCTTCACATCTGTCTAACTGTGGAGGCTACATGCACTCTTGCCCTTCTTTTGGCTGTGTTCTTTGCTCATGCTGTTCTCATGTGTCTTTTCAAGTCCTCCCGCCCTTTAAGGTCAAGCTGGAAGTTTTCTCTTCCAACTTTACAGGGAGAAATAACCTGTCCTTTTTTGTGCATCCCTTAGCCCTTTGTTGTCATTGCTCTTATGGCACCCATTGCTCTTGTGGCACTCCATGTGGCACACAGTTACTTGTGTCAGCGTCTCCCAGGCATTTCACACACAGTAAACTACTTGGCAGTAGAGCCCATCTGTCTGGTCCCCACTGCACATGTCATATTGCTGTGCAAATAGAAGCTACTAAAAAAAGTGAATGACTAAATGAACAAATGAGGTTCTGCTTAATGCACTTTGTCTTGCCTTTCCCTATTACTACTAGAATTTTACATTATAAACCACGTTTGGGTGAAAACTACCTTCATTGCCTGACCAATGCAACATGGGGCAGTTTTTAGTTTTTCTAACAGGCATGTTCTCACATACTGTAAATTACTCTACAAATCTGAGCTGCTGTATCATTATTAGAAGTTATTCAGTGCCTTCAGTGATTATCAAATTGGTAAAAATCAAGGTTAAACAGTTTATACTCTACACTGGTGACATGTGAGGTAGGAGAAGGCATAAGTGTCAAGGGAGAGAGAACTCCGCATACCACCTGCCAGCTGAATAACACAGTCAGTAATTCACTCAATAAACAGTGAATACAAAGTCCAAACTCCCGGAAGTGTGATGGACATGCAGTTTTAAAATAGGTGTGCTGTGTGTCACTGATAAAGCAGTGAAACCTAAAAGAAGCTGTAATTTTAGTTCAAATACGATTGTATTTCAAAGATGTGGATGAATTCCTTCTGCTTTTTGTTCTCCATAGTTCCACTCCTCAGTGGCCAAACTGCCTTTTTCCTAAAATTAATTTTGCTAGCAGACAAATATATGTATACTTAATATAAGTAATTAATATGCTTTAGAAGAGTGGTGAAATGCCCGTTAAAGTAGCAAAAATAAATAACAACAGCTAAATGTTTACAACATTATTGGGAATCCAATATATTCATTCTTTTGGCAGCACTGAAAATTGACTCAATTCTAGCAAACAATCTGGCAATGTATAACAAAGCTGTGATTCAAAATGACAAGTATGAAGATTGTATTTTATGCACATTTCAATGTATCAAGATAAAAGAAAAAATTGAACTCAAAATACCATCTATCACTGACTGCAAATGAGAATGTGCATATGTGTATTAGCATATAAATAAAGTGGCAAGAAATTTAGAGTAATATAAATAGAATTTAATCATTTGGTTATTTCCTCTATAGAGTTGATTAATTTTCTATTTTTTGAAATCGAAATAATTAGCTCGTGTTATTTTAAATACCTTTGGAAGAAGAGATTAGCAGATCAAAGACATTAACTATGAGATGAGTTGGTAGCAATAAGCTGGTACCCAGTAATGTGGCCTCTTCATTTCAGATAGCTAACATTTCTTCTGGGCTTATTAGTTTTATAGAAGAAAGAACAAGAAATTAAGTGAGCTTAGAAACCTTTTTCCCATAAGGCAGCCCTTCAGATCAGTGCCTGGGTAGAGAAATCAGATACTCTGGAGGAGGTGAGGAGCCCGATTCTGTAACTGCTTCTGATTCCCATCTTGGGCACATAAATTCCCAAATATGAAATGTTTTGTGCATAAGAAGGGTATTTCAGTATTTTAACAATACAGTCTCCATTCCCCAGATAACAATCACTGGGAAAGAGCCCATTTTTCAGCAAATGTGTTGTTTTTGCTTATGGAAATTCACCTTTTTGTCTTACAGGTTAAGTAGTATGTCAATATATAAATGGTAGAAAGGAATCTGATAGTTTTAGAAAGTACTAATACTAAGGACTATTGTGGAAAAACTTTGACTGATACGTGATTCATTACCATAAATGGTTACATACAGATGAATTGTAGTCATTGACTGGGGGTTGGGGTGAGGGTGTGGGGACCTGTGGTGACTCCTGAAAGTGTGAGCTGAGGCCTGTTTGGTTTAATTTCTATTGATAGTCTATGTTTTAATAATATAGTTTGAGTCTTAAATCCTTGCAACCACTTTATAGGCTGAGAATGGACATCCTGAAGTTTGGTGGGGTGGCCTGGGTAAAAGTGAACAGTGGCCGATCCAAAGGCAGAACCCAGGTCCATTGTGAGAGCCACCAGGCCTGGGTTTGTCAGCAGGCAGGAGGCATGCCAGGAGTTCTCCTAGGTGTCAGGCCTCCTCCAGCCGCTTCCCTTTGCCGATGCTAGTGTGTACACTTGGCAAGAGTGTCATACCTGGGACACTCAGTGTGCAGGCTCACTTTCTGCTACCTGTGCCCTCCAGTAAGCTTGTCCATCTGCCCTTCCCACCCTCCACTGTAACTGTGGAGTGGACATGGTAGTGCATAGAGGCCCCCATGTGGAACAGCCCCAAGTGAAGAGAGATCCCGTTCTAAAACAGCCCAGAAACACACACTTACCTGAAGTATGAACAAGGGCAACTAATGCTACCATCCTTTGGAAACTGATAGAAAAGTGAGTAGCTCAAGTAGAAATGTTGAAAGAGGAGACTACGTAGACCTCCTTGTTTAACGGTGTAAACAGGGCACTGACGTGACACTCAACAGTTACGATTTAGCTAGTGCTCCATCTGTGTGCCTCAGGACTCCTGTCGCTGCCCATCTCTTAGGAGTTAGCTCTTTTGGGGGGTTTTATGGACACCTACTGATAGCGTGCTTGTCTCTTACTAGAGAATAAATTGTCCTGGAAATATAAAGCAGGCAAACAATGTGAAAACTAGATAACAAATAAGCACAGTTATGTGTGAGGATTTAGATTGTTCTTGCCACTTTTCGAAAGCAAACAAAAGACATTTTTAGTCAAAAACATTTCTTGGGCAAAATCTGTAACTGGGCTACAAGGACAAGAAGGAATGAATTTATATTATCTCAGTTGAGAACCTCTTTTAACTCAGTATTTATTACTGTCTAGGGGAAGGGGAACCATTTTTGTTTTGTGCTTGCCGTGAGGAAAGTGCTTCCATATGAATAGAAAACCAGATTAGAAATAGAAAAGGTCAACCACAGAAGTATTTTCTAGCCTAAATATCAACCATATAATTTTTTTAAAAGCTTCGTAGAATAATACTGATTTCCATAAGGGCACATCTAAGACTTGATTTCATTGTGTTCAGTAGAAAACCTACGCATTTTTTATGAGTCCTGAATAGAGAGACCAACTCATAATTGTCTGAATAAAACTTTGTCTAATTCACCCTTTACTACTGACATTAAATGCCTTCATATTATTTCTGGACTATGTCACAGACATCCATAATTAATGCATGCTGTGACTGCAAAGATGGGAAAGGACATTACCTAAGAGACTAAAAACATGGCTAAAAATAAAAAACTTCAACTAACTGGTCAGAGAGTAGATTTCCAAAGCTAAGACCACGGCTTACAGGGAAAGTGAGAACTGGGAAAGAGTAAAAAGGTAGCCAATTTTATTTCCAAACTGTGTAGTATATACACAGAAATAGCCCACACCCGCAGAACTCGGGGAAGTCACCATCCCAAAAAAGAGGTATGGCTGTTGAGGCACCTCTGGGTTTGCACTGCTGCTTCCATTGCTACCCACAATCAGAATACCTTTTTTTGGTTTAGAAAGGTGGTATAACAGTGAGGATAAGCTGACAGGGCCTTGCAGAAATTCTCCTAAAATAAAAGCTCACCTCTTACCCCGGCAAAATCAGCTTATCCTTAGGCCTTCTTCAGATGACATAAAACTTTATTATTTTAAATGTATTTGTGCTTGCATTCCAAGAAGAACATAACTACACAGATTTCAAAAGAAAACATGAAATATAGTCAATGAATGCAACAAGACATTGAATATTTGTACAGTGTTTTTGAAATGGACAATTTCTTTAAAAATCTGTTTATAATTAACACATAATTGCAAATGTTTACAGGGTAGAATGTGACATTTCAGTACATGTATATATTGTGTAAGGATCAAATCAGAGTAGCTATCACATCCATCACCTCAAACATTTATCATTTCTTTGTGGTGATAACATTCAAGATCTTCTTTTCTAGCTATTTTGAAATATACACTACATTATTAGCTATAGTCACCTTAATATGTAATATAACACCAGAACTTACTCTTCCTAACTGTAGCTTTGTACTCACTCTTGACTCATCATCCAAAAAAAAATTTTTTTTTTTTTTTGAGACAAGGTCTCACTGTGTCACCCAGGCTGGAGTGCAGTGGCATGATCATGGCTCACTGCAGCCTGGACCTCCTGAGCTCAATCGATCCTCCCAACTCAGCCTCCCAAGTATCTGGGACTACAGATGCACACTACCATGCTTAGCTAATTTTTTTGTATTTTTGTAGAGAGTGGGTTTCCTCATGTTGCCCAGGCTGATCACCAACTCCTGGGCTCAAGGGATTCACCTGCCTCAGCCTCCCAAAGTGTTGGGATTACAGATGTGGGCCACTGCACCTGGCCAAAATCTTTATAGCTATATAACGTAGTACATTCTATTTCAATTTATACCATCCACAGGCATATTCTGTCTTTATCTTCTTCCTCATCATCAGTGTCACCAGTATCATCAACATTCATTGAAAACTTGATTAGTGTGATACTTACAAAGGAAATGTGATAAGATTATTAAAAGTCTTAAAAAAAAGCTTATGATATTAAAAAAGGAGAGAGAAAACACCAATAAAAATAAAATCAAGTGCAGAGGCATGCCAACATAGAAACAACCAGACCATATCAAGAGATGTGGAAAAAGTAATGTTGGTAATGAATAGGAAGTCATTACCAATTCCTTCTCCTAAATGCTAAAGAGGGACCTTGCCCAATTTAAAGCCTGGTAACATTTAAGCATAAGGGGATATCATTAGTTGTTTTTGAAAGACGTAGTTTATAATAATCACCTGGTGATGATTTAGCCCTTAAGGAAAGTGTTAACGTCTTCATCTAATACTACAGCCTAGTAGCTTGAAAGGGTCAGGTAACTTTCAAATCCTTGCCTCATACTTCGTAGTGATGGAGGGTTGGAGAGGATTTGGTTTGTTAAACCAGACTTTTTCTTTCTCTGACTCTCCTTCATCCAGAAAAGGAGGAGACTACCATTTCCAGTTGGTTGGAGGAGGGTCTCTTGCATAAGCAAGGGCCCTCAAAGCATGGGCATTGGTTAGCAATTGAGATGGGGTTGCCAGATTAAGCCAACAAAATTTTAGGAAGCTCAATTAAATTTGAGTTTCAGGTAAATAATTTTTGTCATAAGTGTATTCCATGCAAAATAAGGATAAATATGTAATATACATATAAATATTGCATGGGACATACTTGTACTAAGAAATTAGTTACTGCTTACCTGAAATGCCAGTTTAACAAGGTTTTCTATATTTTATCTGGCAACCCTAATTTGGGGTATACTGCAGGTCTGCCTTTGAAAATACCGGTTGGGACCTCCGAGTGGACTGGCAGAACTGGAAGAGGCAATTTATCACAGACCTGTGTTGCTTTATTTACCCTCATGGCTGGCCCTTGGTAGTCAGAGAAGAGCCCTGATATACTGATGCAGGATGAGCTTGATCACTCGTCTCCTAGCAACCGCACAGCTAGTGGAAGGGAGACTGCTGACCCAGAGATGGTTCTGTGTTGAATCTAGCCTTGCAGGAAGGCAGCAAAGGAAAGGCTTTTTGACTATACCTCTTCTTTTGTCTTGAAGGGAAAAAGCAAATTAAGTGTTTTTATTTGAAATTTAATTGTGCATTCAGTATATTTTTAAAACAATTTTTGGGAAAATAACCTAAATGTCCAAATTATAGTAATCATGGATAATTATTATTCTCTTAGAGAAATAAATTGTCCTGGAAATGTAAAGCAGACAAGCGATGTGAAAACTAGACAATAAGCAGTTATACATAGGGATTTACAGTAATCTATTCTTGCCACTTTTCTAAACAATTATAAGTAATATTTAATACTAAAGGAAAATGTTCATGATATAATAGATGAAGAAAGATAAGATAACCTGTTCATTATTATTCTGGTATTGTTTTTTCTAAGCACATTTGTGTAAAGATTGGTAGGATATATATCAAATGTTAGCCTAGAAATTGGGAAGATTTAAAAATTTTCTGTATCCATATTTTCTAAATTTCCTATAACAAGTACACTACATTTGAAATAGGGAACATAAAATTTTTAAATTGTAAAATCATCTTTTGAAAGAATTTTTTAAGTTAAATTTAGTTTCTATAATGTTCCTAATTTGGAGAATTAACTGAACCCAGTTTTTAGAGCTGAAAATGGTCTCAGGATCACAAAGCCAAGTGGTACCTCAAGTTAAATGTCATGAGATTTGTTTGTCACAAAATAGACATAGTTTTTGTAGCTTACCTGAGAGTCTCCCTCTAGCTCTGTGTCTCAGAATGTCAGGTCGGCAGTTTACTTCGGCAGCCCGTTATGCATTAGGAAGCTCGGCTATCTCTAGTCATGCATTTCATTCAGCGAGGTCCATTTAGTATATGATACCCCTTATGTATTAAAATATAATTGTACATGTTTATAGAGTATAGTGTGATGTTTCAGTACATGTATACATTGTATAATCAAGTCAGGGCAGCTATCACATCCATCACCTCAAATATTTATCAGTTCTTAAGATCAGTTACTTATTCCTCTTTACAGTGTATGAAATGTTTTGTTTTTTCATGGAAGAAATTTTGACATTTGTGTTGTTTTCATACAGCCGATGGAAAATGTCTGGTGTCGGTTGGTTTAGACGATTTTCACAGTATTGTATTTTGGGACTGGAAAAAGGGAGAAAAGATAGCCACAACAAGGTAAGAAGCTGCCGGGATCTTACGGTATCCTGCTGATACCACGGTTCAGTAAAGGTCAATAGTTTTCATTTTCTGGTAAGATTTCATCTTCAAACTCAGGTGAAATTGACGTAGAAGGCTTAGCACCTAAGTGAAAAAATACTGCAGTATTTCATGGTGCCAAACCTGACTTAGAGCAGGTCATGTTTGTTGCGGTGAATCAGAAAATTCCGAAATCCTCTGCAGAGAGTCATTCACCGCTTCATTTTGAGTGGTCTGTGTAATCTGTATCAAAGCACTTCAGCAATAGAAAAGCAGCTTTTCTCAGGCTGGTGCCTTGCCCCTTGTTTTTCTTCTGTCCTAGCATCTGGTGAAGGATTGTCAATGTCACCAGAATCAGAAGCACCGTTTGTCATGAGGCTGCAGCATGCTGGAAAGGAGGCCCCACCGTGTGCATCTGCCACTTGCTTTCAAAGCAGGCAAATTGTTTCCCTAATCTTCCGTCTTATAAATAGATTTTTTGAGACCGACTGCTGTTTATAGACCACCTGTCCTCCCTTACCCCAGCCTTCCTGCCTGCTGAATCAGCACTAAGTCTGAACACGACTTTCCACTCCTACTTACATTGAGCTCAGCTGTTTGCCCAACCCTGATCAGGGGTCAAAATAGTTGGCAGCCAAGGCCCAGCAATACAATTTGTTGCCGAGGCGTGTTGTCAGTGTACCTCCCTGCTCGTTCTTCTCTGCATTAATGATGTCCTTTCTGTCTTGCGATATAAAATCATTTTGAAGTTAATAGCCTTGAACCCCAATATTCACTTTTTAAAGTAATATTTTCCTCTACAATATTAAATAGGAAAAAAGTTTTGTGGGGATTTAATGAATGAAGATTTATAAATTGCTAGAGACCTGGAGGAGCAGCAGATGGAGGCATGAGGACTCCAACTGACCATCTTCGGAGAAAAAGGGAAGCTTTTCTGATGACTGCTGTTGAGATTGAATTCTTGGCAACAAATGACAGCTCATAAATCTGCCTGCCCAAGTGGTTTTTCTTCTGGTCTTTGTTTCTAGTATTCCTCACTGTCATTCCACTCCCTTCTAGTAGTACTCAGATTCAGCTTCTCATCAGAACTCTGTTCCCCCCAGACTAAAATACAGAATTTAAGTTTAATATTTCTGATAATATACCATCTGCCTTTACAGATAATTTCAGGGAAAGCACATTTCTGGATTTCAAAAGCAACAGAAATGCAATTTTCCTGCTAGAAAACCCTCTGCAGCTATGGGTGGCTCACCAGTTTTATGCCCGAAACATTAATAGAAATGGAAGAAAGAAATATTTCTTAATATTAAAATAGTATATATTTTATATACTTGTTGGATAGTGTTACTGCCTCTATTTAACACAAAGTTGACTTAACACCATTATGTTAATAACACAATTCATATTTGGAATTGCTCCCAAGCCTTATGACACATTCCCAAAACAGGATACCTGCAGAATTGCCCAGGAGAACATTTTGGATTGACATTAGCCAGTGCTGTTTCCAAGCAGGAATATCAAGGATTAAAGTTCTTTGGAAGAACAGTAGATTTTACAGTAAAAAGTAAATAAAAGTTACTTAAATATCTATTTGCATAATATTAACAATGATACATATTTACATAAATACATAAGAAATTTAGACAAATAAATAAAGCTTATATGTATGGCCTTAGAGTGCTTAAGTAGATAGAAACTTTTAAAAACAGGAGGCCGGGCATGGTGGCTCACGTCTGTAATCCCAGCACTTTGTGAGGCTGAGGTGGGCGGATCTCCTAAGGTCAGGAGTTCGAGACCAGCCTGGCCAACATGGTGAAACCCCGTCTTTACTAAAAATATAAAAATTAGCCAGGCGTGGTGGCGGGCGCCTGTAATCCTAGCTACTCAGGAGGCAGGAAAATCGCTTGAACCTGGGAGGCAGAGGTTGCAGTGAGCCACAATTTAGCCACTGCACTCCAGCCTGGGTGACAGAGTGAGACTCCGTCCCAAAAAAAAAAAAAAAAAAAAAATTTAAACAGGGGCATGATAGAAGCGACAACGAAGTAATCCTTAACGGAATGATACCTTGCTTCCAGGGTCATCTAAGCTCCCAAGAGGGCCTAATTCACAGAGAAGCTGATTCAGTCCTACCCCTCACTTTACACTTCTGTGTCTCGATCACTGCCAGCCTCATTTATAGAGCAAGGCTGAACAATTAACCTGCTTCTGGCTGGCTGTGCTGTTTTGGCAAGGGTGATTGTTCTGTACCACTCATCGCCCAGGAAGTGAGATTTCTCCACAGAGGAGGAGCATGGTTGGTAGCTGTGGTGGCATCGTCAGCTGTGCTGCTGGTGGCTGTGCTGACGTGTGCCAGCTGTGCAACCAGGCACTCAGAAGTTGCTCCTCCCCTGATTGGTGAGAATATTTTAAATGAACCTACTCTTTAGCAGCTCACAGAAACTAGAGAAATTCAGAATTGGACCATAGAGATCTTATTTACAAGATACTCAAGATTTTATTTTCAAGATCTCTGTGAGACGATCCGATCTGTTTAAACAATTTCCCCGCATGCAATCTTTGCTAATTTTTATGAGTGATTTCGGTTACCTCCATTACAAATGAATTTTTTAGTCTTTTTTTTTTTTTTTTCCCTAAAGATCATTCCAATTTTAGTCTAGTATACAAGTATCCCATTTAAGAACCAAGGCTGATCTCTTATAGAAGTAGTTACAGGGTGTAACATCACTGTCAATCAGGGCAGAATAATGCAATGATTAATCAGGTACATCTGTGCTCCTTTATTTGTGCTTGTGTTACTCTGGTAGTGTGACTAGGGGAACAATGAATAGGAGGGATCTTGGACAAAAAAGAATTATCAACAAGAACACTTCCCAGGCTAATCTGAAAGTTTTGCTGCTAGAAAGCTTAGGGACAAAGGCCGGGCGCGGTAGCTCACGCCCGTAATCCCAGCACTTTGGGAGACCAAGGCGTGCGGATCACGAGGTCAGGAGATGGAGACCATCCTGGCTAACAGGGTGAAACCCCGTCTCTACTAAAAATACAAAAAATTAGCCAGGCCTGGTGGCGGGCGCCTGTAGTCCCAGCTACTTGGGAGGCTGAGGCAGGAGAACGGCGTGAACCCGGGAGGCGGAGCTTGCAGTGAGCCGAGATCACGGCACTGCACTCCAGCCTAGGCGGCAGAGCCAGACTCCGTCTCAAAAAAAAAAAAAAAAAGAAAGCTTAGGGACACACTAAGCTTATGCATATGGCAGGCGTATCGAACTTCCAAGTAAGCACTTCTGTATTAGCTTCATCGCTTGATCTATTTTAGGTCCCTACCTTTACATGCATTTAATGACTATGATAGAGTCTCCCGCATACCATATGGGCCCCTTTTCTTTTTCACTTTGTTTTTTAAAATAACACTTATTCTTTCCTCTGTTTTTCAAATAATATATGATCATTATAGAAAAATTAGCAGGGAAAAGCACTTAATAAAAGGAAAATCATCTATAATTCCACTACCCAGATGTAGCCATGGTTAACATTTTAGCATATATCTTTTAGTGTGTATTTTTCTAGTATTTGTATTCATTTTTATTTACATGTGGAGTATTGTACATATGCTCTATAACTGGTTTTTTTCACTCACTAATACATCATCTCACTGTGTTCTAATTTGTTACCTGTCTTGTTCTATATTATTCTATATTTTCAGCCAATTTAAATTTTTTTTGGAGTTAGTATATGTATCAAACATTCATCAGTCTTCCTGTTAAAGGCTACTGCCACAGAAAGGGAGAACAAAATTACACACAGGACTGGGCCTCTATGCAAACAGAGTTCTGAATGGACAGTATGGAAACCAAGTCACCCAGTGTGCAGTTGCCCTTGGCCTCTGGAAGAGGCTCCTTCCTTCGTGCTTGCTGGTGGGTTTATATGGCCCTATGCGGTGAATTCCTTGTGATGGGGCGTGAGGAATCATCCAGTGTTAGGACAGCAGCACAGTGTGTAAGTTCTTATTCTCGCCATCTAAGATCTGACAAACTCTTTGTATTTTGTTTTGCTTACACATACACACATGCACATGTGTGCACAAACACACCTACACTTGCAGGCAACTTCCCTACAAGTTTAACAAGTGTGTATAAGAAAAATGACAGGTATGCAGTGTGTTCTTTATTTATATATTGACATTAGCTAAACATTTACATGCCATCATTAGCCACTTTATAACTAGCCACAACAGAAATAACCTTGGTGTTTTTATGACATAGAGTAGGACAACAAAAGCTCTCACCCAAACTCAAAGTGCTTTTTCCGTTTTCTCACTCAACAACAATCTGCACAGAGACTTCTGTGACCAAACTTGTGGGGATTTCTCCCCACCAGCAAGCAAACAATTCTGTTTGCTGAGTATTCTCTAGTTCCGTTCTATTCTGACACTGTCTACCTGGAGGTAGCCTCAGATGCCACAGGTTGAGGGCTCAGTTTCTGAGACCGTTCCCCTCATCCCACCTTGGGTTCGATTAATTTGCTGGAGTTGCTCAGAGAACTCGGACATACTTACTTCATTTGCCAGGTTATTACAAAGGTTATGGTTGGGAAGCTATATAGGGCAAGGCACGTAGGAAGGGGCACAGAGCTTCCATGGCCTCCCTGGGTGCACCTCCCTCCAGGGATCTCCTTGTGTTCAGCTCTCTAGAAGTTCTCCAAACCCTGTGCTTTGGAGTTTTTACTGGAGGCTTCATTACATAGGCATGATTGGTTTACCAACTGGCGATGGGTGAGCAACTTATCTTTTGATCCCTCTCCCTTCCCTGAAGGTCAGGAATGGGGCTGCAAGTCCCAATCCTCTACTACTGCTTTGGTCTTTCTGGTGACCCATCCTGAAGCTACCTCTGGGCTGGCGGCCATCAAGTCAATCATGAGCATACAAGAAGACCTCCATGGAGATCCTAAGGATTGTAGGAGTAGTAGGTCAGGAAATGGAGGGGGAGAATTGAAGACCACATATGTATTTTGTAATATCACAATGGCACTAAGAAATCAGATGTAAACTAAAAAGTTCTCACAAAAAAGATTTTTGTAAATGTTTGGCATTGTATAAATACAAGGAAACAATCTTTTATCTCTAGGAAATATAATTTTCTGTACTTGTTATTTTCATTTTGGTTTTCTCTAGTCTCTCTAAAGTATATATTAATGATTTTGTATCTAGGGAGATTTTCCTCCAATCAAGAAATCATTGGGCTGGGCATGGGGGCTCATGCCTATAATCCCAGCACTCTGGGAGGCTGAGGCAGGTGGATCACTTGAGGTCAGGAGTTGCAGATCAGCCCGGCCCCCGTCTCTACTAAAAATACAAAAAATTACCCGGGCATGATGGTGCTGTAGTCCCAGCTGCTTGGGAGGCTGAGGCATGAGACTCATCTGAGCCCGGGAGGCAGAGGTTGCAGTGAGCCCAGATTGCGCCACTGCACTCCAGCCTGAGTGACAGAGTGAGATGCTGTCTCAAAAAAAACCTGGCACGGTGGCTCACGCCTGTAATCCCAGCACTTTGGGAGGTTGAGGCGGGCGGATCACCTCAGGTCAGGAGTTTGAGACCAGCCTGACCAACATGGTAAAACCACCATCTCTACTAAAAATATAAAAAATTAGCCAGGCATGGTGGCACATGCCTGTAATCCCACCTACTCAGGAGGCTGAGACAGGAGAATCACTTGAACCCGGGAGGCGGAGGTTGTAGTGAGCCGAGATCATGCCACTGCATTCCAGCCTGGGCAACAAGAACGAAACTCTGTCTCAAAAAAAAAAAAATTTTTTTTGGATGCTTAATGTTTTTATGGTTATCTGGTTGATTTCTTCTCTTGGTGTTAAACACATTTCGTCTTTAGATCTTTTTCTCCCCTAATTGTTAACGATATGTCCAGTAATGTATCCTAGCTCCAATATCCATATTCACTTTTTGATTTTCTTTTTTTCTTTTTTGATGGAGTCTTGCTCTTTCTCCCAGGCCAGAGTGCAGTGGCGCTATCTCGGCTCACTGCAAGCTCCACCTCCCAGGTTCACGCCATTCTCTTGCCTCAGCCTCCTGAGTAGCTGGGACTACAGGCGCCAGCCACCGCGCCCGGCTAATTTTTTGTATTTTTAGTAGAGATGGGGTTTCACCGTGTTAGCCAGGATGGTCTCGATCTCCTGACCTCGTGATCCCCCTGCCTCGGCCTCCCAAAGTGCTGAGATTACAGGCGTGAGCCACCACGTCCAGCCCACTTTTTGATTTTCAAAGAGTCAGAGCCCCAAAATTCCATCTCTTCCTTGCCTCTCATCGTAGGGTTCACATTCATGTAGCCATAATGGATCAAGAGACATTCTATTCTTTTTATTGTGGAAAATTTCAAAGTTATGCCAAAGTAGAGGGAATAGCATAATGAACCTTCTGTACCCATCACCCAACTGTGACAATGATCAGCATACTACACATTGCACAAATGTTTCCTTTTTTTTTTTTTTAACCTTCTTTTTTTTTTTTTTTTTTTTCTTGAGATGGTGTCTTGCTGTGTCACCCAGGCTGGAGTGCAGTGGCGTGATCTTGGCCCACTGCAACCTCTGCCTCCTGGGTTCAAGTGATTCTCCTGTCTCAGCCTCCTGAGTAGCTGGGATTACAGGTGCCTGCCACCACGCCTGGCTAATTTTTTGTATTTTTAGTAGAGATGGGGTTTCACAATGTTGGCCAGGCTGGTCTCTAACTCCTGACCTCCTCAGGTGATCCGCCCACCTCAGCCCCCCAGAGTGTTGGGATTACAGGTGTGCGCCACCGCGTCTGGCCTCTTTCTTTCTTCTATTATTCAGCTTCATCTTTTACATTTAGATCTGGTGAGAATGGAAAATGGTGCAGCAACTTGGAAAACATTAGTGCCTCAAAATGTTAAACACAGGCCTCCAACTTCTCCACATTCTGGCCAACACTTGTTATTGTCTGTCATTTTTATTATAGCCACCTCATCAGTGTGAAGTGGTATCTCATTATGGTTTTCCTAATAGCTAATGATGTTGAGCATGTTTTCCTGTGCTGACTGGGTATATTTTCTTTGTAGAATAGAGTGATTTGTCTTTTTATTATTGAGTTTTAAGAGTTTTAATATATTTTGAATATAGGTCCCTTATCAGATATATGATTTGCAAATAATTTCACCCATGTTCAAGTTTTTAGGCAAGAATGCTTTATAGGTACTTCCTGTCACATCAGAAAAGATAAAATCGGTGGTATACCAGAGAGTAGGGAGGCAGTAGGCATGGTCCTTCCCAGATGCAAGCAATAGGGGTATATTATCTGTAGAGAATTTGAAAATAACTAAAAGCCATACTGCTTTTTATTATTCCCATTATCTGGCAATTCTAAACAATGTTAGTGATGGAATTCCTTCCCTCCAGGATGGACCACTTCCCCTGCACCACCCTTTTGTACACTACTGCCCAGAACATCTAATTTTTCTGCTGTCAGTAATACTCAGCTCAGTTGGTGGGTTCTGGGAGCATTGACCTGATCCTTTCATTATACAGCTCCCCATCACCACATTTTCTAATGGTTGTAGCATCAGCTGACAACCTTGGGCTAAATTGGTTACTTAGTTCAGGGTTCAAAGTGGCAATTTTCTAATTTTATCATTCATTCTTCACGTTAGCTAGAATTATTTTATAAACAATTTTCCCTCGTGAACCATTTGGTTTCTCTGAAATATAATTCTCACAGAAAGTGATTCTTTAAATGTTAGGGTTATTTGAGTTTTGTCTATAACTTGCTGATTTTTTTCCCAGTTTGTCATTCATCCTTTGAATTTGCTGTGGTGTTTTTCATCAAGCAAAAGGTTTATATTTTTATGTGGTTAAATTTATTAATCTTTTATTGCTTTAAGATTTTTGTATTTAGAAAAATACTGCCCATTCTCACATTAAAAAGAAATCACCTATTCTTCTAATGTTCTATGGCTTCATCTTTTATATTTAAGTCTCTAAATAGTTTAGAATCTATCCTAGTATCTGAGGAACAGGTCCAGCTTTCTGTTTTTTCCATATGGCTACCAAGGTGTTCCATTTTTTCCCTTTTTAAATAGATTTTATATTTTAGAGTGGTTTTAGATTGACAGCAAAATTGAGCAGAAAGTAGAGAGAGTTCCCATTACCTCCTGCCTCCTCATATGCACAGCCTCCCCTACTATCACCCTCCTGCACTAGACGGTACATTTGTTACAATTCATGAACCTACCTTGACATATCATTATCACCCGAAGTCCGCAGTTTATATTAGCATTCACTTGTTTTGTACATTCTGCGAGTTTTGACAAATGTATATTGACACATATTTTTCATGTAGCGTTACCAAGCTAGCAATGGGCTTGCTGCCCAAAAAGCATAGACGCCAATACTATGCCACCAGCTTTTGTGAAAAGAAAGACTTTATTGCAGTTTGACGGGCAAGGAGACAGGAGGCAGTGCTCAAATATCTCTCTCGAGCTGGGGGCTGGGGCAGGATTCATAGCAGAGGGTAATGAGGCATGATCTGATTGGATCTTATAATGCAGTGTGGCCGGGAGACATGATAGGACTGGATCATGCCATGAGGTGTGTAGTTCTTAATTTGGTCCCTGTTCCTTGGGCCAAGCACTAAGGTTCCACCCATGGTTGCATGCTTGGTTCATCTGGGCATGATCAGGTGATGTAACTTGCAACCTGGGTTACATGATAACTGAAAAACAACTCACCATTGTATTATATAAAGTTGAACCAGATTGGGCTGATTCTGCAGTTACAACAGTATATTCAGGAGAGTTTCACTGCCCTAAAAGTTCTTTGTGTTCTGCCTATTTATCCTTTCATCCCTCCTCCCTCCTCTGTATACTGTGGCAACCACTAATTTTTTACCCATGTTAGTAGTTTTTACCTTTTCCAGAATGTCATATAATTGGAACTATATAGTATGTAGTCTTTTCTGATTGGCTTCTTTTACTTAATGATATATATTTACATTTCTTCCATGTGTTTTCATGATGTGGTAGTTCATTTCTTTTTGGTGCTGAATAATATCCATTGTCTGGATGTACCACAGTTTGTTTACCCATTCACCTGCTGAAGGACATCTATGTTGCTGCCACATTTTGACAATTATGAAGCTGCTATAAATATCCATGTGCAGGTTTCTGTGTGGACATAAGTTTTCAGCTTATTTAGGCAAATATCAAGGAATGTAATTGCTGGTCGTATGGTAAGAATATGCTTAGTTTTGTGAGAAATTGCCAAACTGTCTTTCAAAATAGCTGTATCATTTTGCATTCCCACCAGCAATTAACAAGAGTTCTTAGCACTCCACAGACTAGCCAGCATTTGGCATCAAACACCATTTATTTTAAAAGTTCATCTTTCTCTTGCTATTTATGTAAAACCTTGTCTTTGTTATACACTACATTTTTATATTCATTTGTGTCTGTTTCAAGATTTTCTGTTTTGCCATTTGTCAGTCAACTCATACACAGGTACTATACTGTTTTAATTATGGAGCCTTTATAGATTGTTTTAATACCTAGGAGAGCTACTCTCTGCACTCTGCTTTTCTGTTTCCGTTTTCCTGGTCATTCCTGCTGGCTTATTCTTCCATGAGAGCTTTAAAATCAAATTGTCTAACTCCAGATTAAACACACACACACCCCGTGGTCTTTTTATTGGAACTAAGTTGAATTTATAAACTAAGGGATAACTGCTATCTTTAGGATTGAGTTTTCCTTTCCAAGAACATGGGATATAGTTCTGTTTTTTAAAGTCTGCCTTTTTAATCTTACTTATCAGGTCTTTTTTTCTCTCTTCACTTTTATGTTACATGTATCTCGTTGAGTTTATGCCTTGTTATTTTTATTGTTTATAAATAGAGTCCTCTCCTCCATTATATTTTTCAACCAGTCACTGTATATACAAAGGTTATTGATTTGGTATTCAATTTTATATACTGTACCTTTACTAAAATGTCTTATTTGTAGTCATTTTAAAATTTCCTTTTTAATTTTTTAGACATATATCCTTTGCAAATATGAATAGTTTTAGCTCTTCCATTCCAGCTCTTGTGCCTTTTAAAATCTCCTCTAGTTGCATTAGTTTATATGTTCAATACGATGTTAAATGGTAGTGGTAATTATCCTGACTCTATTGGGAATGCCATTAAGTAACAGTCCTTGGAGTGTGCACACACAAATATGACGAATAAGCTATTCCAGTGTGTTCTATCTTTAAAGAAAAGATAATGACACATAGCATGTTTGGAGAGCCAGCCTATATGTAGTTAGCTTGAATAAATCTGGGTTTCTCAATGACAAAGTACAGGGAAATACAAATGTCTAAATGACAAGTCTGAAGCATCCTTTAATTTCTACTGTATTGGGTGTTGAGTGGTTTATTTTTTAAATCATGGGTGACTGTTAGGTTTTTGTCAAATACCTTTTCAGCATCTGAAAATGATAATATGATTTTTCTCTTTACATCTATTAATATGATCAATTGTATTACTTGATTCCTTAATATTGAGCCACCCTTGTGTTTGGTCCTAATGTATTGTTTTTAATATGCTTTCAGATTCTGTTTGCTAATATTTATGATGTTTGTCTCTATATTCGTAAGGCAGATCGGTCAGTCATGTTCTTCTTTTTAATTGCTTTTTTTACATTATTAAAATTATGTCCTAATATATCAAAGACCATCAAATAGTCCCTCTCATGCTGTGAGATGCCAAGTCTACAGCCCAGGTCTACAATGGAACTTTGCACTTATGTTTGTCCTTCTGCCCCTTAGGTTATAAACCTACCTCTCTGTGCAGCATTCCAAAGTGCCTCGAATCAATAGAAGACATCCTTTCTCTTTCCATAGCTGTGGGTCCAGGGCTTCAACTTCTAAACAATATGTTTCCAGCTGAAAACCCATTTAACCCAGAGCAATGCTTTCCACAGCAAGAGTGATTCATGTGAAGCTTTTCGTTAATACTCTCTTTCCTCCTGCACAAGAGGAGGAAAAGAGAAGTCAATACTATCTCTTTCCTTCTGCACATCCCCACAATTACTTGCAACCCCACAGTGGTGGCATTAATTTTATCTTATGGAGACATTACAATATGTTTTAAATATTTCATTACTTTGCTTAAAGTATAAGTAAATAAACTTTGGCAGCAATATTAGGATAAGAAGAAAGGGTTCAAACATGCAAAGAAAAGCCAAAGCTCGTTATTTTAATGTAGATGCCCGTGTGGATTTTAAACCATTTTCTAATTTAATGGTCCTGTTAGATGTGCTTAAAATTAGACCAAATGCATGCTTTTAATAAAACTGTTACTGCTTCCATCCAAACTAGAATCTTATTTCCTATTTGTCTCTTACAGAGGACATAAAGATAAGATATTTGTGGTAAAGTGTAACCCACACCATGTTGACAAACTGGTTACAGTTGGGATAAAACACATCAAATTCTGGCAACAAGCAGGTACTGTCGTTTGGGTTTATCATTTATGTGATTGAGAGCTTTACCCTAGCTGGAAAGAAAAACAAAACAAACTGTTGCTACTACCTCGCTTGTCTCTGCAATCTAAAATAAAAATGTGCCTAAAAAAATTATCTCCCAAGTTCGCTTAGAACGCTTGAAGCTTAGAACACTCTATATGACGCTATGCATATTCATCAATACCTAGAAAGCTTTGGAAAATGTTCTGCTGTGAAAATAATCATTTTTATATTTAGTCATCTGTTCTGAAAGCAGTAATTATGTTAGACTACTGCACAGGAAATAAAATAATCATTTTGGTTGAGTGAATAAAATTTTATCTATTTGGATGGTTCCTTTATTTATCTATTACTGAATTTAAACCTGAATTAAACCCTGAGTCTGCCCACAAATAGGTGGTCCAATAAATATTGGTGGATTTAATGTTGATAATAATGATGAGTAAATAAGCATGAGAAAACATAGAGGATATCTCATTCTTCTCACTAATAAGTCAGACTTAATACAATTGAATCTGAATTCTTAGTATCAGCTTTGGTGCCAAGCCCTAACTTATTATGCACAAAATGTGAATAAGGTTCTGTTCCAGTGCATTTTGCTTTTAAAAGAAGGTAATGCCACCCAGTATGTCTGGAGAGCCAGCCTGTGTGTAGCTGTCTTGAATAAAGCTGGGTTTCTCAGTGACAGGGAGTGTGGGGAAATGTGAATGTGTAAGGGACAAATCTAATGGCTTGTCCCGTATACTACCTTTTCCTACAAAACAATTCTTTTTTCTCACCCCAAAATAGCTGTTATAAATAAGCAGAGCATATATAACATGCTTATATTTTACATTTACAGTCAGTACTATTTTTATCGTTTTTGGTCAGCATTCATGAAGACTTTGCTTGCTCCTTCAGGCACTTAGTCACTCTTTCTCTTGGCTGACACAGAACTTGTGCTGAGCCTCAGTTAGACGCATGTCTTGGACTGAGATGCATATTGATTGCTCTCTCCAGCCAGACTCTGAGTTCCTTGAATACAGGAACCCTCTTTTCATCTTCATATCCCAACAGTGAGCGCTGCACTTACCACATGTAGGGATTCAGTAAACACTGAGTTAATGAATAAATGAGAAATATTCTTAGAATATTTTTGTTCATGATGTTCTCTGTCACTTTTAGACATCTTTACATAAATACCTAATGAGAGACACCAGGTTTCTCATGGAAGTAGTCCTTCTACATGCTTATAGGAAGTGCCAGATTTTATAAAGTAATAACTGTTCTTGGTCCACTCTAGGTGGGGGCTTCACTTCTAAAAGAGGAACTTTTGGAAGCGTTGGAAAATTGGAAACAATGATGTGTGTTTCTTACGGACGAATGGAAGATCTAGTGTTCTCAGGAGCAGCTACTGGAGATATTTTTATTTGGAAAGACATTCTACTACTGAAGACAGTGAAAGCTCATGATGGGCCTGTGTTTGCTATGTATGCACTGGATAAGGTATGGCCTGTGTATCAGCATTCATTTTCCTCATCAGCCTTCTAAAATTATAAGGTAGTCTTAGGATGGCCCAAGAGGATGCCTGTATCTAAAACAGGCCTGTCTGAATTAGGAAGTAGTTGTCATAAAGCTCAGTCAAGAGACAATAGGGAGGAAAGCAAAGATATTTTTATAATTTCGTTTACAGTTGTTTCTTTATATGCAACTTCTCTGCACTTTTTCCACACATGCTCTTCCTGGCGCCCACTCATGAGAGTCCCTTAAGAAGTGCCAGGATAAATGTGGACACTTAGCAGCAGAAGAGTCCTGAGAAATACTTCAGCATTGTCTTCCTCCTTGGTGACACAATGGGCAGAGACCTGAAAGTACCAAATGGTTACATTATTGTTCCAGACGTCCATTTGCTACGATAAATTTGCATCCATAACCAACTTGCTCCTGTGTAGAAAGGCTCAGCTTTAACAAGAGTGTTAGAGTGAAGGCTGTTCATTGGCCATATTACAATTCAAGCTCATCATAATTGCCCTGGTCTGTCTACTTGCCTTGCAGTGTCCCTCTACAAAGATTACACTTACCTTCTCTCAGTCTGTTTTTGCTGCTGTAACAGAATTTCTGAGACTAGGTACTTTATAATGAACAGAAGTTTATTGGCTCACAGTTCTGGAGGCTGGGAAGTCCAAGAGTAAGGGGCTGCAACAGGGAAGGGCCTTCTTGCTGTGTTACCCAATGGCTGAAGGGCCAATAAGAGTGGGAGGGTCCGAAATCATCCTTTAGTAATGAACCCACTCCTACAATAATGGCATTAATCCATTCATGAGGGCAGACCCCTCATGGTCTAGTCAACTCTGAAAGTTCCCACATCTTAGTACTGTTACAGAGGCAGTTAAATTTCAACATGAGTTTTGGAGGGGGCTAATATTTAAACCATAGCACCTTCAGTGTTTTAAAACACTTTATTCAATCAACTTGCCAGCAAATATCAACTTCTTTTCAGTTATTTCCAGGTTGCTGGTAGTACCACTTCATCTGTGCCCTCTGACCTCCAGTTGAAGCCACCTACTACTCCTAACCCATGTCTCAATTTTCTTTTACCTGTCCTTAGGCAAATGTGTTGATTCTACTACAAAAGTAGGTTCTTGTTAGGTATGCAACTGTAACGGTTGTTTTGCTGGCAAAGGTGTTGTTTTGTTTTGTTTTGTTTTTTTATTGGTACATATGTTTTTGGTTAAACTGCAAGTATTAGAAAAGATTAAAGAAGAAGAAAGAATTTCTGTAGGCCCAGAAGTAGATATGGTGTAACTTGTTTAAGCTCTTGTTGTTTGGTAAATTAAGCTGCAAAATCATGAGAAAAGACAAGGATATCACAATATAATATATTGCATTTTAATTTAATTTGGGGATTGAATTTTCCTGGGTACAAATTCTATATAAGAATAAGGATATTTAGTGTTATACACTTGGAAATATTATTTCTTTGTAAACTTCATAAAAATGCATTAAATTAAAAGTTGCTAAGAAAGCAGTGAATTACTCAGCTTTTTTCTTAGAAAAAAAAAAAAACCTCTAAGAACAGTTGGTATATATAATAAATTACCAGAAAGGAAAACTAGTACAGCCAAAAAATTATAAGCTTAGAACAGGAATAAAGATCACTGTTCAGTAAAAAATATCCAATATGTTAAGCTTTTTACTTTCCAGGTTTTTGTAAAAATTAATCTGGATTTTAATTATGGAAATTGTGTCTATTGAATGAAATAGGATCGTTTCATTATATAAAGTACCTAAGCTACTCTTAATAAATAATGATGTTTTCTTCTGGACATGACTTTTATTTTTAAATGTTTAACAATAATTTTAAACTGTGATGTTAACTTCAATCCATTTGGTCAGAGTATGTGAGATACCAGAAACTCTGCTAGGTTTTGAGGCTGGTTCCATTCTGTAGGAACCACATTCTGGTTGGGAGACTGGGCACAAGCAGAGCCATCCTTGATCAGTGGGCCAGCTGCCAACCATTGTTCTGAGGAGAGTGCAGTGGACACATGCTGAGAACGTGCTTAATCTTGCTTAGGGAAGTATGGGAGAAATGCTCCCAAAAAATATTATTCGAACATTGTTATCACCAGAGTTTTCCATCTCATATATTTAGGAAGGTAGCATCCACAAAGCTTCCTTACCTGCGGGGAATCCTCCTGGGGCCAAGTGGGTAATTGGTCATTTTGATGTGTATATAATACCTCTCATGTGTGCCTTCACAGGGCTTTGTAACAGGTGGAAAGGACGGCATCGTGGAGCTCTGGGATGATATGTTTGAAAGATGTTTGAAGACTTATGCCATTAAAAGATCAGCATTGTCGACTAGCTCAAAAGGTGCCACTCCCAAACATGTAATAGAGATCTTTGTATTCATAGGGATGGAGAAGATTGTACTAAAGTTTTTAGAAAACTATTAGCAAATCAATTTTCTCCCTCTTCCATGTTTAGAACTCTCTTCCTCTGGTAGAAATGTCAAGGCTGACTGCCTAGTACCTAGTTCTTTGGAGCTATAAAAATTGAATTTATACTAATAAGCAGTTGTTTTTGTTATTGTGTTAAATATACCATCCCCTTCCCCAGGCTTGCTTTTGGAAGATAACCCTTCAATTCGTGCCATCACTTTGGGACATGGACATATCCTGGTGGGAACAAAAAATGGAGAGATTCTGGAAATTGATAAGAGTGGCCCAATGACACTGCTTGTTCAGGTACTGTTTGTATGTATTCTAAACTGCAGTTCACATCAAGGCTGGGACTAGAGTGAGGCAAAGTTGATGCTTAGGTTGCAAAACTTAAGGAGGCACTCACTCTCAGGGTTGCACAAGAGTTGAACTAGTTACCTATTGCTGTGTAACAAATTGCCACAAGCTTAGCAGCTTAAAACAACACACATTTATTTTCTCACAGTGTCTGTGGATCAGGAATCTGAGCACAGCTTAACTGGATCTTCTGCTTAGTGTTTTATAAGGTTGCAATAAAGGCCAGGGTTATGGTCTCATCTGAGGCTAAACTGGGGAAGATTTTTCCAAGCTCACTCATGTTGTTGGCAGAATTAAGTTGCTTGTAAGTGTAGGACTAAAGGCTTTTTTTTTTCTTGCTGGCTGTTGGCCAGAGGCCATTTTCAGCTCCCAGAGGCTGCCCACAGTTCCTTGCCACATAGGGTTTCCCAACATTGCTGCTTTCTCAAAGCCAAAAACAGAGGGGAAAAAAATAGATACTACAATTTTATGTTACATAATTATGTCATCACATATGTGGAATCATAACATTCCATTGCCTTTGCCATATGCTGTTGGTTAGAAACAAGTCACAGGTCATACCACACTCAAAGGGAGGTGATTATGCAAGAGTGTGAAAACACAAGAGGAGTATGAGGGTCACCGTCACTGGCCACCCTCTGGCCACCAGTTATTCATGTCCCTACCACATACAGAATCCTTTACCTCCACCTCCAAGGTCCCCAAGAGCCTTATCACATTACAGGATCTGCTCAAAGTCCAGAATCTCATTATCTAAATTGGGTCCAGGTGTGGAAGAAGTGCCTTAGATGTAAGTCCTGTCAATCTGTCCGTCCATAAAATGAACAAGACAAATTACCTGCTCCCCACATGCCAGATGCACCTGTGCCCCTTTGGAATGTGGGCCTCACTATAGTCTCAGCCTTGGTCCACATAAGCAAATTGCATCCTCCTTAGTCCCTGTCTTCCCTCAAAAGTCATATTTAGGTAAAATTGAACTAAAATAAATGTAACAGAACCTTTTAGGAGCCAAGAAATGATAAAATCTCACCTCAAGGATGGGGATGTGGTAGGATGTGGAGGTGCGTTAGGTAGTCCTGCCCAGTTTGGTGATGGATAAGACCATATTTAGGTGGAAGAGGCATGGTGAGGGGTGAAGGATGTGTGTTCAGAAGTTGGAGAGAAAAGAAAATGCACTGATCATATGAGCAGTCAGAACTTCCAAGATTCCAGTGCAGGAGCTTCCCCTCCTTGCCTTGATCTCTGAGTGATTGATGCCTGCAGGCTTGCTGTATTACGAGTGAATCCCCAAATCCCACTGAGAGGGTCCCTCTGACTTACTGTATCATGGAAACACATGTGCATATACACTATGGCTCAGGACACTGCAAGGCTTTAAAAACACAGGTGCCCAAATCCCACCCTGGATATCCTGAACAAGTCTGTGTTTTTAAAAGAAAAAATCTATGTTAAAAACAAACCTCGAAAGCTCTGCAGCTGGTCGTGCCTTGCAGCCAGGCTAGAGAACTAGGCTGGAGATGCATCCTTGAGGCAATGAGGTCTTTGTTCTCCAGCTGTTCTTGCTTTTGTTGTTTTCTTCCAAACTAAATCTTTTTTTTTCTGGCCATAACTTCTAATTTAATTTTACTGAAAAGTATTTATTTACTTTTTAATCTCCAAATGTTTGAGAATGTAAATTGTTTCCATGTATGCTATATTGCTAGATATTTTAGAAGATTTATGCCCCAATATGATTTAAATAATACTGTAAGATCTAAACTTTGTTTTCTCTCTTATTTTGTTACACTTGAGGTAGTTTGGTTTAAATATGTTTTATGCTTGACCAAGGCTTTTCACTTCTTAATTCTCTACAATTCTATTCTTTCCTATGTTTGTTTCTATTGCTCTAATAAGAAAAATAACCACAGCAATCATATATTGAGCACCTACTCTGTGTCAGGCAATACCGTTGTACGACATTTGTCTCATCTCCACAACAGATTGGCTCTGTTACATTGTTTTATAGATGAGGGACCTAAAGCCCAGAAAATTACCCACAGTCACATGCTAAGAACTGCAGAGCTGGGATTCCAACCAAGGTTTGCCAGAGCCCTTGTTCACCTCACCAGGCTGTTCCCCACATCTCTTAGCTTGGACACTTCAGGAAAGCCCCTGAGCTATGGGGTGGCTGGTTGAGCTGCTGGAAGCTTCAGACCAGATGTTAGTTACCATCTTTGCCACCTACATGTGTACCATTCTCTCCCTTTTTTTTTTTTCAGCATCTTTTTTTCGTCTTCTGCTCTCTCATTTGCTATTTCCTCTTAGGTGGATCTCATTATTTCAGTTCAGTCAATGTTTGTTGGGCTCCTGCCCAGGTCTGCTCTGTGCTGTGTATATGTGCAGTGGAATAAGGGCTTCCTGCTTGCCCAGGACCGTGTCACAGTCCTGTTCTGAGAGATGATAGAGACAGCAAGGGAAAGTGAAGGAACTGTAGAGGCAGTGTGAGTGAGACGATGGGCTGTCCTGCCGGAAGAAGATTTTAGATCCACTTTGCCGGTTTTGGTGGCACGGCAATCCAATCACAGTTGGAATAGACTGCTTATTTTTTAAGAGAAAATAAGGTTGGGGGAGGGGAGAATGGCAGGTGATGGGTTGTGGCATTTCCCGTCATGTGTGCTTTGAAGCAGTCAGCTCGCAGTTGTACAGCTGTTTATGATCAGCTTTGTGGGTGATCAGCAGCAAAGCAGGATCCTAAGCCCATTTCCTTGAGCCATTCAAGGTCCTTCAAGCCTGCCTCGCTTACTGTCCGATCCTGTGTTACACGGGGATTAAAATAAACAGATTAAGGAAATACAATTTTGATGTCAATATAAGGCAGTGGTTTAAAAGGATCTCTGGGTCCCACAATCTTGTTCTTAACTAAAATACACAAAGGGGCTCAGTCTATAGAAGAGCTTCAAGCAGAGTCAGTCTGGGAAGATGTGAGGTTGACCCCTGAGCTGTACCCTGACTGTGACTCTGGGGCTGGGAGGCTTCCAAAGAGAAGGCTAGAAAACCGGGGATGTAGGGTGTCCTCAAATCCAATAAATTCAAAAACAATGTCTGTATCCTTCAGCCCTCATTTTCTCATATTTGAATGTCAGTTGTATTTGGAACTTTACATCTTCTGCCAAATTACTGTTTTGCTCAAATAGCTTCTCAGTTAAATTGGAATCATCCAATTTCTCTTTGGAAAGCCACCTGTTCCCCAAAGCATTCCAGCTACAAACACCTTTCAGATGCCTGTGTGTGGGCTTCCTTTTTGCTTTACTAAGCAAAGCCTTTTTGTAATTAGCCATTAAAAAGCCAAAATTCAGTAAACAGTTAATCTGGTCTGTTTTATTGCTCTGTAGCACTAATCTTTACACACTGCATTATAGAGTGAAAAATTATGAGAATCAAATTCATTTTCTCCCTGTTAAGTGTTCGTTATAAAAAAATACTGCTTTCTCTTAGTTATTATTCTAAGCCAGCCAAGTGTGTTTGTGATAAGATACAGATACATGGAATTGGTCCAGTGCTTATTAAGCACCTTTCAGTTTTTGATGTTCATTGTTGGCACATGGACAGACCAATTTGTGAACAGACGCAGAACCTGGGCTACACCGAGGACGCTTGAAATGAAAATTTAGCTTCCTTTACTTCTGCTCTGCCGAATGCTACACATTCAAAGGACTAAAATTGCATAAATAATTAGAATATTGCTCTTCAATTTCACTGACATGAATGGGTCGTACCTGCATCTTTTAGAATATGATTTAACTGAAGGAAGTGGTTTGTGTCCTTGTGATTAAGCTGCTTTACTAGGAGGGTACATATATACTATGTTTATTTAGTATGAAACAACAGAAAAGCAGGCATTTCACCATTTACCTGGATGTTTCTAAATGGAAAGATGTTTGGCATCATATAAACAAAACCAATAAGCAATGAGTTCATGTTTTGCTTTGCAAATGAATGATTTAGCATCGTGTAGGTCTAGCTGTAGATTCAAGTTTAAATGAAAAAATTATTTCGGGTGATGATTTTGGTTCAAGGAAGCTCAAAGTGTGTTTATTCCTATTTGTGCTTTTTTGTGGTACTCTTGGACTGAATATGTAGCACCAGGCTAAAGAAGGGCTAGCCAAACAGCATAAGTAGAGTTTATGTTGCCCCTTTTCCTCTCCCACAGGGGCACATGGAAGGAGAAGTGTGGGGGTTGGCAGCTCACCCTCTCCTGCCCATCTGTGCAACAGTGAGCGATGATAAAACACTTCGCATCTGGGAACTATCTGCCCAGCACCGTATGCTGGCAGTACGGAAACTCAAAAAAGGTACATAACACCACCTTACACATCTGTCAGAGTATTTACAAGTAACAGAATGTGTCATATTTATTCACTCAGTTAATATTTACTGAGGGCACGTGTTATATGCCCATAAATATGCTGGGCAATGAGAATTTTATATTGGTTGCTACAGTCATAACTAAGCACATGTAGAATTATGCCAGAAGGCTGGCCTAATCCAGCTCCATTTTTCACTTCATTTTCCTTGCACTGCACAGATATTTGCCACCTGGGGGCAATATGTCCTTCCTCTTCTCATTGAGAGCTGTGGGAGTCAATTGAAATTCATCAGCTTTTAAAGAATGCTATTTATTTTGTAACAGTCTCCAGAACTTATTTTATGACTTGAAAACAAACATCAATTATATAGAAATATAATACTTAAGAAATGAGTAAATATGTCTTGAACACCTAAATGCACTAGAACTATGAGGTGTACTGAGAGGTACAAATTCAGCAAACATTTATTAAGTAGCTTCTGTGTGGCAGGCACAGGGGATCCCATGATGAATGGTCCCATCTCTAGTGTCAGAGATAGACAGGACTTGAACAGAGTCTCAGCAACATATCCATTCAAATTGGGTAATTCGAGGAGAGTCTTTAAAATGGGACTATTTATATAAAGGGATGGGGAAGGTATGAGGAAATGACCAGGGATAGTGCAGCACTATGCAGCTAGTAATGGCGGCTGCTCTCACTGGCCCTGGGCTTGAAGGGACAGGAGGAGAGGACAATTGCTGCAACCTTGAATATGAGAGCCACATGAGATGGCAGCCTGAGAGAAGCCACGACTGATAGCAGGGGACTCTGCCAGCATGCAGTGACCCTGCGGGAGGCAGCCAGGGAAATAAATGGCCCGGCCTCCCTATTCTTCCTCCATCTCTCTAATTTCCCACCAGTGCTCCCCGTTGGCCAAAGTCAACCTGAAACCAGAGGACAAGGGAGCCCATTGATGCTCTCCATGCAGACCAGCTTCAGGCACAGAGCAGGGTGGACAAGGGCAAAAAGGGGATGTGAAAGGACAAACTAAAGATATTTGGCACAAAGTACCCTGGAGCCTCAGAGGACATCTACTGCTTGGAAATGCTTCATCAGAGAGGTGACGAGCTGAGGCTTGAAGGATCTGTAAAAGTTCTTAAGAGGGAAGGATGAAATTGAGGTCTGACCCTAAAATATTTGTACTGAGTAATTTTATAAGCAGACATGAGGATTGTATTCTAGGGTAATAAAATGAAGAAAGGTGTCAAAACAGTAGTAACAATAGTGATGGTGGCTAATATGGCTGAGCCAACAACTATGCCAGCTCTTTCCATGTAGTCTTTGTAGGAACCCCATGAGTAAGGCTATTATTATTGCCACTTACAAATCAGAAAACTGAGGCACAGGAAGCTTAATTAGTTTGCACATTTAGTAGGTAATGGAACCAAATTCAAACCCATGCAGTGTGACTGTGAGAACACACCTGTGGCCACTGCTTAACACTATTTCCCTCTGCCGTGTTGCCTGTCTTTACACTAGGCTCCTGGGGAT
This sequence comes from Homo sapiens, assembly GCF_000001405.40. Classification (NCBI taxonomy): domain Eukaryota; kingdom Metazoa; phylum Chordata; class Mammalia; order Primates; family Hominidae; genus Homo; species Homo sapiens. The sequence continues at coordinate 54,901,328 of NC_000002.12, forward strand.
TGGTAAATGGTGGAGGCAGGATTTCCCAAATCTAAGTCCAAAGCCCATGCTCGTAATCACTACAGGCTAGAATCATTTTGGCTACTAGTTTATATCGGGGGAATGATAGGCCAAGTCCTCACTGTGAAGGACTTGAATGTCAGTGAATGGACTTTATTCTCTAAGTTAAAAATTAGTTGAACAACTATTGACCCATCTTAGATAGGATAACCATTCAACCCAGTTTACCCCTGTTGTTCTGGTATAATTATTAATAGCTTTCCTTTTCACTCTCAAACGTGTCTTGGTCTGTACGATAGATTGTGATTAACCTAATCTTGATGATGCTCTTCAAGGGCAGGCTTGTATTTTCATTGTCTCAGTACTGGCACGTCAGTTTTGAGCATGAACACAGCTTTCAGCATACCATGAACAGAGGAGTTGGTAAAGAGGCTCGGTATTAAATGCCCTGGCACAAGGCCACCTGGCTGTCCTATCCCTGGGGTGTGCTTACAACGCTCGACAATAAGAATGGTGGCAGAGGGTAGGCATGTTCTTGAATCAGTTTCCTTTTAGACATACCTTTGCAAAGTCCATGCTCCTGATTCAGAAATGTCTTTGTGACCCTACAAAGGAGTAGAGAACATGGTTCATGGAGCACCATCACCCTAGTGCCAATTAGTTTTCCAGAAACCCCTTGGGAGAATGTTCAGATTCCATTCTTCGCGTGACAGAAGAGGCAAGAACAACATCTTTCACCTCTAGAGTTATACATTACAATCCGTGGATCAGAGAATTGGAGCAACTAAAAGAATGAGGTCCTCTAAAGCAAGTTGTATGTAAGGCTTAATATTTAAAAAAAATGGTTTCTGGAAATTTTATTATAGAACTCCTATTCTTAAATATTACCTCTTTTCTTCGAAGCAAAGATACTGGTCCTATTAACCCTATACTCCTTTTCTCCATTTACCCCACTTATTTTTTGGAAACCCCAGGTATTTAAATACTCATAAATGAATGAATAAACCTCATGGAAGTTGAAAATGTATTTTTGATATTATGATCTTTTTCCTTGGACTTGGGGAGAAGAGATACTTAATTTTATTTTCTTGAGACAGGGTCTCCCTCTGTCATCCAGTCTGGAGTGCCATGGCATGATCACTGCTCACTGCACCCTCCACCTCCAAAGCTCAAGTGATCCTTCCACCTTGCCTCCTGAGTAGTTGGAATTACAGGCATGTGCCACTATTCCTGGCTAATTTTTGTATTTTTTGTAGAGATGGGATTTTGCTGCGTTGCCCAGGCTGGTCTTGAACTCCAGGGCTCAAGCAATCCACCTGCCTTGGCCTCCCAAGGTGCTGGGATTACAGGCATAAGCCACTGCACCTAGCTTATTTCTTTACTTTTTGTACAGGGTGGGTTTCGCCTCTACAAAAAATAACTTTTCAACTAATTTTTAACCTACGGAATGTGGCCCAGACTGGTCTCGAACTCCTGGGCTCAAGAGTTCCACCTGCCTCGACCTTCCAAAGTGCTGGGATTACAGGCATGAGCTGCTGCGCCCAGACAAGAGGTGTCTTAAATTAGGAAGTTTTAGTTCTCACAAGTGTAGTGTCAATTTAAAGGCAGTCACGTGTCCATACATAATGCACATCATCAGATTTCTTCATCTTTTCATGTGGTTTGCTTGACAGTGAAGTTTTGGATAATAAGTGTTTTTTGTGGATTCTTCTGTAGGTGGAAGATGCTGTGCCTTTTCCCCTGATGGGAAAGCCTTAGCGGTTGGCTTGAACGATGGGAGTTTCCTGGTGGTAAATGCTGACACTGTTGAAGACATGGTCTCTTTCCATCACAGAAAAGAAATGATCTCTGATATTAAGTTTTCAAAAGGTGAAGATGACAGCAGATACTTTTTAAAATAGCACAGTCTTGGGACAAAAAATTACAAGAATGAACTATTTCAAATGTTTCTTTGACCATTTTCCCACTTTTAAAATACTAAGTTCCTGGAAGTAAATTCCTATATAAAATGCTTCGATGTTAACCCCACATTTTTCTTAACAGATACGGGAAAATACCTTGCCGTGGCATCCCATGATAACTTTGTGGATATTTACAACGTACTTACAAGCAAAAGGGTTGGCATCTGTAAAGGTGCTTCTAGTTATATTACACACATTGACTGGGACTCTAGAGGTAAAGTATGTTGTGGCTTTTAAAATAGAATTTCTGTGTTTAAAAAATGTCCATTTATGCATTGTTTCTAGAGAGAATGGCAGTTGAGTGTTAGAAATGGGAAAGGGGAATCCCACAACAATATAAACGACTGTAATTTTACAACCCAGAGGCAGCTGCTGCTAACATTTTGAATACTTTTTCCATCTTTTTACGCTTAGGATGATTATTGTCACTATTGATTCAAGCCATTGAGTTTTAAGACAGTTAAAGATACATGATGCCTTTTGTTATCATAGCAAGCCACCACCTCACCTTTAGTTGGGAGTGCTTTCTCCTTGTCTTGGGTCCCCTCATCCTCCTCCTGGCTGGTTTCCCTTTTCCACCCAAAGCTCCACCTCTTGGAGAACCGCCCAAAAAGGCTCAAGCAAATTTCCTCCTCCAGCAGAGGTAGAAATCTACATTCAGCCTGCCTAAAATTTCTCTGCTCTATAAAACTCCCAACCTACTCCTACCTCCTCCAAGTCATGCCCACAAATGCCATGAGGATTTGTCTATTTAATAACTCTAGCTTTTATGGTGTTGCATAGTCTTAAGCTAGCAAATGTGGAGGCTCTGGAAGTGAGTAAGACATGGTTTCTGCTCCCTGTGGAGTTTATAATTGAGTGAGGGAGATACTTATCCATAAATAATACAAGAGCACAAAATGGGTACCGTGTGAGTAAGCAGTGGTGAGTCACAAGGGAAGTGGTGAGCAGGGACTCCGAATGGGCCACGGCAGCATTCAGTACCCAGGGTGGAACATTGCACTATAGGGTGAGTCACTCGTAAATCCTATCCTCAAGACTCGGCTGATGTTGAGAGTCTGGAGCGGGTACTTGGGAATGGACAGCATTCCCACCTTCAGAGACGTTGTAGTCCACTGTGGTAGAGAAGCACCAAGCCCAATGTATGCTCTGAGGGAAAGCTCCTTGGAGGTAATCCATGGAGCCTCTGTAGAAGGGAGTGACCTTTGAGGTTGATCTTGAGAGATAAGGAGAAATCCACCAGATAGCGCTATCAAGGAAGAGCCATTCCAGGCAAAAGGAATATGGCATATGAAGAGTGAAGGTGGGAAGAACCAGGGGGTGATGAAGAAATAGAAGTGCTCAGTGGCTGAGGGTGTGAAGGGAGGGGAATGTGGAGACACAGGCTGGGATAGAGCAGAACTTTCATGCTGAACTGTGTACTTGTAGGCACTATGTAACTCTGAGGGATCTAGCGTGGGGCATTCCCTCCCATCTTGGGGAGAAGAAGTGAGCCTGGAGTTGGAGCAATCAAATTAATCAGGAGAACGATGATGAAGGCCTCTGCCAAAAAGGTTATTTCAGAGTATTTCTTGGAGTAGTGGCCATAGACCAGGACTTGGAAACCCTTCTGCCTGGCAGGTATTTAGTTGTAACTATACTTGCCACACTGGAATTTGGACTTTATTTCAGCTTTACAACATTCAGGAGTTTTATACGGTGCAGTAGATAGAGAAAAAAGCATGTGATGCATTGCATTTATAAAAGGTACAAGTCCCAACAAGGGCAAAGGGAGATCAGATAAGTCTGTTTCGCTTTCATGTCAGGGCAGTGCTGGCCAGACAAAGTGCCGAGGGCTTTGACCGGCATTTATGACCAGGCAGGGCACTGTGACTTTATCTAGGAACTGGTGAGGCCGATGAAAGCAGCTGCTTCTCAGACCCTTCTTTGATATTCTCTGCTTTTTTTTTTAAAGCAGTGATTTCTCCCTATTTATTATCTTGCTATTCTCTTGCCAGGTAGAATAGGGTCTGATTAACTTTATTTAGAATCCGACACACACACACACACACACACACACACACACACACACACACACACACACACACACAAAATACCTGATACAATACGTGAAATCCCACCACTCAATGACTATTAGGGATTAAAACCCATTATTGTTTCTATTACGGAGTGAAGAGTCCAGAGAAAAGAGGGTATATATAGAGTAAATTTTGACTGGGAAGATTTCTTAATTATTTTGAATTGTGAAGTACACATAACAAAAATGTACCATTTTAATCATTTTTTAAGTGTACAGTTCAAGGACGTTAAAAACATTGACACTGTTGTGCAACCATCACTGCCCCCATCTCAGAATTCTTTTCATCTTGTAATACTGATGACATTCCCATTAAATGATAACTTTTCATTTCCCCAACACCTGGCATCTACCATTTTACTTTCTGTCTCTATGAATGTAACCACTCTAGGTACCTCGTATAAGTGGAAGCATACAGTATTTGTCTTTCTATAATGGGCTTATTCCACTTAGCATAATGTTCTCAAGATTCCTCCATGTTGTAGCATGTGTCAGAATTTCCTTACTTTAAAGACTGAATGTTTAATTTTATGTATAGACTGTATTTTGCTTATCTATTTGTTGAGGGGCACCTGTGTGGCTGCCACATTTCAGCCACTGTGAGTGATGCTGCTATGAACATGGATGTACAAATATATCTTCAAAACCCTGCTTTCAAGTATTTGAGGTATATGCCCAAGGGTGTAATTGCTGAATCATATGGTAGTTCTATTTTTAACTTTTTGAGGAATTACTATACTGTTTTCCATAGCAGCTCTACCATTTTATATTCCCACCAGTTGTACACAAGGGTTCAAATCTCTCCACATCTTTGCCAAAGCTTATTTTATGTGTTTATTTTGATAATAGCTGTCCTAATGGATATGAAGTGTATCTCATTTTGGGTTTCATTTGCGTTTAGGGAGTTTGTTTGTTCTTAATTCTGCAAATGTATAGGCCCTGTGTCAGATGGTGGGGATATAAAGAGAAGTAAGTCCCAGATAGAAAGCACAAGATCTCGGCCAGGATCAGGGGGATGCTGCTGTGGAGGGGCCTGGGGGAAGGTCTGTGTAAAGTCCCTCGATATGGAGCCATCACTTGGTGGAAAGAGAAGCAAACCTCCCTATTTCCATAATCTTGCCCAAGGCCAGCCTCTTAGAGCTCAGGATGCTGAGGGAGGCTCCTGGGAATGAGCAGGAGAGGAGTGGAGTCAAAGGTCTTTGAAAAGCCACCATGCTTCTCATTGTAAGGGTCCCTGCAGGCAGGTGAGGGGGTCAGACCAAGTGCTTTCTGTGGATTGAGAGTAGTAGAGACACTTCTGATTTTTAGGGAGGAATTACACCATCTGGAGAATAAGAGCAAGAATACCTGTGAATCTTCCTTGATCTAACTCCACTAGCCATGAGACATGTGTCATCCTGATATTCCTGCATTCCCAACACCTCAGTCCCCAAAATGCCTGATCTCGAGAATGTGCCATGCTGCCTCAAGACCAGCCTAGCTTTCACAGCAGGGGCCTCCAGAGTCTGGCAAGGTTGAGAGCAGAATTTAGAAGCAGGGTTCTGTTTCATGCCTTTGATCCTGTCGAAAATAGTGAAAGCATTTGCCAGAGCCAGCTGGCTTCTCAGGGTGGGGGATGGCACAGCCGCCAGCCTCAGCAGCCTCTTGTGCCCATGGCAACTACAGGTCCTTGGAAAACCAAAAAGTGCACTGGGCTTTTGCAGGAACATCAGCTACCCCTGAATGAAAGCTCCAGCATGGAATGCTTGAGAAAGAAAAAATGTATGGAGGGAGAGAAAACATAGAAAGGGTATTTTCTAAATGCTACAAGTTCATTTCTAGAAATATCAGGCTATAACATCCTTTACAAATTAACAATTTGAAGGCTGGGTGCGGTGGCTCACACCTGTATTCTCAGCACTTTGGGAGGCTGAGGTGGGTGACCTGAGGTGAGGAGTTTGAGGCCAGCCTGGCCAAAATGGTGAAACCCTATCTCTACTAAAATTACAAAAATCAGCCAGGTGTGGTGGCGGGCGCCTGTAATCCCAGCTACTTGGGAGGCTGAGGCCAGGAGAATCGCTTGAACCGGGAGGCAGAGGTTGCAGGGAGCTGAGATGGCACCACTGAACTCCAGCCTGGGTAACAGAGCGAGACTATGTCTCAAAAAGTAATAATAAAAATGACAATTTGAGCCATAATAGGACATTTCATTCCCATTTTTGTTGCAGATGGCCTGATACTTGGTATATTTAGTACCAGTTGTTAGAATTATTCTAACTTGTAAATTATATAGCAGCTGGGATGATGTATGTGGATCACTTTGTGGGCTGCAAAGCTCTATGGTACCCGCAAGATGTGTGATGTAAGGACATGGGTGTCTTTCAGTTTTTAATCTGTGTGAGCAGATATTTCCAGTGAATAAAAATGTGATTCTGAAAGGATTACTGTTATTCAAGAGCAATTATAAATGCAAACAGAGTTTTTGTTCTTGCTTCTGCTCCTCATCCTCAGAATATGTCAGTGGTGAGACAGATAGATTAGATAGATTAGATAGATTAGATAGATAGATAGATAGATAGATAGATAGATAGATAGATAGATAAGATAGATAGATAGATAGATAGATAGATAGATAGATAGATAGATAGATAGATAGATATCACAGCAGGCAGAGAGAAAAAGGAGTGGTGACCTAAATATTTCCTCATGCTTAAGAAACATGTATTAGCAGCAGTAAAGAAAATTTTGGTTTTAAAAAAATACCCTTAATTATTCCTTTCTAATAGAAGAATAGCTTTTTGGTTTGGTTTTTTCTTCTTGACATCCTTGATTGCAAAGAACAGAAACCCACTCAAACCAGCTTAAACTTTTTTTTTTTTTTTTGAGACAGGGTCCCACTCTGTCACCCAGGTTGGAGTGCTGTGGTGCAATCTCAGATCACTGCAATCTGTGCCTCCTGTGCTCAAGAGATCCTCTCACATCAGCTTCCCAAGCAGCTGAGACCACAGGTGCCTGCCACCATGCCCGGCTAATTTTTTTTCTGTATTTTTAGTAGATATGGGGTTTCACCATGTTGCCCAGGCTGGAAACCAGCTTAAATTTTAAAGTAATAATAACAGATGAGTTTATTGGAAAGATACGGAGATATTTTATAGAATCCAAGAGCAGGAAAGAACACCTGCCAAGGAACTGAGTTTAGCAATGAACTAGAAAACGCACAGGAACCAAGCAAGCAGTTCCTCTCCCCTCCTCTCCCACTCTTAGGCAGCTAGTTTCAGCATCCACTGCTCTTCTGGGTCTTATCTCTGCCTTTGACCCCTCTCTCTGCACAAGCAGCCTTTCTCTACTTCATCTGCACATGGCCCAGCCTCGGCTGCCCCAAAATGCCACCCACAGGCCCAAAGTCCACATCTCATCCCTGTAGGCACCAACTGATTCAGCCTCTCAGATTCCAGTTTACCAAGAGAGAACTTTGATTACCCAGCCCAGTGTGAGCCTGGCCCCTCCAGGATCAACATCTGCCCGCAGAGTATAAACATGACCGCGGGGGCAGTTCTCGGGGAAGGGGCATGTGCTAGATAGGGGACCCTACAAGCTGTCTACAATGCTACACAGCACTTACGGTACTTGTCTATGTGTTTAGATTCTCGAATATTTTTGCAATCATAAATTACTTCACTGAGAGATTTTTCTCATTTTTGGTTTTAAGTGAAGTATGATCTTTGAAACTATGGTGTAAAGTGAGTTGTTGGGATTTATCTGAGGATTACAGTCCTCTGAATTATCTTAGTATCTCATGGCCAAATATCATCTAAAATTAGCCATATTCAAAGAATGTGTTCACTGAATAACCGTCCACGTGCTTTGTCATTTGCAATCACTCTTGAGTGTCCTAAAAATAGAATTACTTTACAGATGTATTTAGTTCATCGGAAAAGTATTGGTTACTCATTTTCTTATAATTCTAAATAGTCAAAGATAACTAACTCCCTTTTTTCTTTTCTCACTTACATATATTCAGCCATAAAGTCAGAAGATGTGCCCATTTCAGGGTACACATTTTCAGATATATTTGCTCAAGTCAAGGAAAAATCCCCTAATCACTGTGTTATAATTCACCAAATTAGAAATGATTAAAGTTGTCAGTTTGGAAATGAGAGAACCTTATTTTTAGTCAGGTAGAAGTAGATCTACAACTTCTTAAGATTAGCCAAGCTAGGCTGAGCATGGTGGCTCATGCCATATAATCCCAGCACTTTGGGAGGCCGAGGTGGGCAGATCACCTGAGGTCAGGAGTTCAAGACCACCCTGGCCAACATGATGACTCTCTGTCTCTACTAAAAAATAGAATTAGCCAAGTGTGGTGGTGGGTGCCTGTAATCCCAGCTACTCAGAAGGCTGAGGCAAGAGAATCGCTTGAACTTGAGAGGCAGAGGTTGCAGTGAGCCAAGATTACACCACTGCCCACTGCACTCCAGCATGGGTGACAGAGCGAGACTCCATCTCAAAAAAAAAAAAAAAAAAAAAAGATTAGCCAAGCTAGATTTCAGATCAAGGTGGTGCCTATTTAAATGCTAAAGAACACGATCTAAACCAAAAAGTTCTTATTTTGGTATTATTTTTCTAAGAAAGATATTTCAAAACTACTAGATATACATAGTTATGGGAAAAAACAAAAGGAGAAATATTATGTATATGTATACTGAATTATTTATAGGTGAAATATTATGACGTCTGAAATTTGCTTCAAAATAATCTAGGGTGGAGGTTCATGAAACAGGGTTGGCCATGTGTTAATAGCTGTTGAGGCTGGACAGTGGGCATACAGGGGTTCTTTATACTCTTCTTCTATACATGTTTGAAACTTTCCATAATATTTAAAAAATGGCAAAAATACTGGAACATAAATACCTTGAGTCATTTACATTTTAAGCCTTACAAGATTGTTGCCATTGTAGGAGGAGAATTAGGAAATCTAACCTTTTTCAACGTCAAATCCAAGATTATAATTGTACATCAGACTGAAAGACTATTTTTGCCCAACATTTTCCTTGGGGAAAGTCCTGGATTTCTTTTCAAATGTTCAAGTAAGACCAGAGGGTGGGGAAGGAATGAGCATTTATAGTTTGTGTGTTCTGTTTCTAAACTTTAAAGGCAAATTTAGAACTCAGTCCTAAGTAAATGTGAATGCTCACAGTAAGTGTTTTATTTCTAATTGCCATAATCTTCCAATGACATAATTCTTGCCAACACAGTTTGCTGAGAGGCAACTGGGAAAAACAGGGGGAAAACTGATTTTTCTCAGGCTTTGGAAAACTATATTTTCAGTGCAGCATATCAATAAAACATATCAAGCTTTATTCTTCTGTTATTTGAAGGATGTTGAAGATCAAATATTATGAAGTCCATATTCTAAAAATCACAGCTTTGGGGTTTGTACCACATCATGTAATTGGCTGTACATGCCCTTCTGAATAATTCAAAATGTATTTACTCAATTTGTGAGACTTTGATTAAAATGAATCAAAATAGCACCCATGCTTCTCATTTTATAATAAAGAGATAAAGTCAGATTTTAATTATCTCTCTACTTCGTTCTGTCGTAACAGGAAAATTATTGCAAGTGAATTCAGGTGCCAGAGAACAACTTTTTTTTGAAGCTCCAAGAGGCAAACGGCATATAATAAGACCTTCAGAGGTAATAATCATACACAAAGATTTTTAAAGATATTTTGTGAAGATTTAATATGTGCATTTTAATAAAACCTATCACGTTAACCACTAATATGGGTTATATTTACTATACCTTTAAGTTTGATCGTGTCTTCAATCTGATTGCTTAATCTGGTTTCCAGGTTCCCAGAACATATGGATTTATCACACCACTGGTGTAGCAATGTACAGTTGGTGCTCTGCTTAATTTTTCTCTGCCTGAAGACAATGAATAAGCTAGCAATTTGGATGTTATATATTCCTTTTTCCATTTGACATGTCATTTTGTGCAAAGCTTTTTATGAACATATATTTTGAAACATGTTTTCTCAATGGTTATTTGTAATTATGAACATTATTATCTATAACAACAGAATTTTTTTTTTTTTTTGAGGTGGAGTCTTGCTCTTTTGCCCAGGCTGGAGTGCAGGGGCACCATCTTGGCTCACTGCAACCTCCCCCTCCCAGGTTAATGTGATTCTCCCACCACAGCCTCCCTAATAGCTGGGATCATAGGCATCTGCCACCACACCCAGCTAATTTTTTTATTTTATTTTTTTAGTAGAGATGGGGTTTCCCCATGTTGGCCAGGCTGGTCTCGAACTCCTAACCTCAGGTGATCCGCCCACGTCAGCCTCCCAAAGTGCTGGGATTACAGACGTGAGCCACCGTGTCCAGCCTGGAAATTATTTTTTGAGACAAAAACAATCTGCAATCTGACCATTGTATTGTATCAAACTGTTTTCTTTTTTCCATGTTTCCTCATGTCCTTAGCTACATACACGATTTTTTAGTTGCTGAAATCAAAGCCTAGATAAAATTTTTGAATCCCTAAACTAACACCTCTTGAAAGCTAGATGGCTTTTGTAGATGCGTACCTCTTTCAGGGTGTACACATAATGAGCCCTGGTCTAACTGTTGATGAGGATGAGGAAATATTGCTTCCTTAGAGGAAAAGGAGGTAAGGGTATGCCACTGAGTGGCAGGCATCTGCCTCTCCCTCGCTTCAGTTTGCCAGTATCTTAAACTGTCCCAGTATTGTAAGGTTCTCCCTAAGACATTTGGACACGTGTACATTTGCATTGTCATTGTTTGTAAAGGAAGTATATGTGTAGTACTTAAAAAATATACATCGTTATAGATCATGGCATTGTATTAATGGAAACTGTTCACTGAGAAATTTGATCTCACTCCCCTCCCCAATTCCAATTTATTTGTCTCTGATCCGTCCTCTTTTTAACTTTTTTATATGGAGAAACTTATGGCCTTGAGTAAGAGGTATTTTTAATTACGTCCTTCATTCACTGGTAATTTGTTGACTGCCAGATACTTTATACACCTTTATTTTTAATTTTAATTTCAGCTTTGATTTTAGATTCGGGGATACATGCATAGGTTTGTTTCATGGGTCTGTTGTATGACACTGAGGACTGGCATACAAATTATTGCATCACCCAGGTAGAGAGCACAGTACCTAGTAGATAGTGTTTCAGCCTTTGCCACCTCCTCTCTCTGCCCCCCAGGAATCCCCAGTATCTGTTGTTCCCACCTTCCTGTCTGTGTGTACCCAATGCTTTATTCCCACTCGTGAGAACATGTGGTATTTGGTATTCTGTTCCTGCGTTAATTCTCTTAATATAATGGCTTCTAGCTACATCCATGTTGCTGCAAAGAACATTATTTCATTATTTTTTATGGCTGCATAGTATTCTATGGTATATATGTACCACATTTCCTTTATCCAGTTGGTCACTGATGGGCATCTTGGTTGATTCCATAGCTTTGCTATTGTGAATAGTGCTGCAATGAATATATGAGTACATGTGTCTTTTTGGTAGAACAATTCCTTTTCTTTGGGGTATGTACCCAGTAATGGTATTGCTGAGTAGAATGGTAATTCTTTTTTAAGTTCTTTGAGAAATCTCCAAACTGCTTTCCACAGAGGCTAAACTAATTTACATTCCCACCAACAGTGAATAAGCATTCCCTTTACTCTTCAGCCTTGCCAGATTCTGTTTTTTTTTTTTTTTTTTTTACTTTTAATAATAGCCATTCTGAAGGGTGTGAGACAGCATCTTGTGGTTTTGATTAGCATTTCTCCAATGATTGGTGATAAACATTTTTTCATATTTGTTGGCTGCTTGTATGTCTTCTTTTGAGACGTGTCTTTTCATATCTTTTGCCCACTTTTTTTTTTTTTAAGACCCTTTTCTAAGGGTCTTGCTGTATCACCCAGGCTGGAGTGTAGCGGTACCATCACGGCTCACTGTAACCTTGACTTGCCGGGCTTAGGTGATCTTCCTGCCTCAGTCTCCCGAGTAGCTGGGACTGTAGATGCACACCACCATGCCCAGCTAATTCTTGTATAATAGTTTTAGTAGAGCCAGGGTTTTGCCATGTTGCTCAGGCTGGTCTCCAACTCCTGTTGCCCTCTTTTTAATGGGGTTGTTTTTTGCCTGTTGACTTAAGTTCCTTTTAGATTCTGGATATTAGACCCTTTTCAGGTGCATAGTTTGCAAATACTTTCTCCCATTCTGTAGGTTGTCTGTTTTCTCTGTCGATATTTTCTTTTGCTATGTGGAAGCCCTTTAGTTAATTAAACTCATCAAGTCTCACTTGTCAATTTTTGTTTTTGTTACAATTGCTTTTGAGGACTTAGTCATAAATTCTTTCCCAAGGCCAATGTCCAGAATGGTATTTCCTAGGTTTTCTTCTAGGATTCTTATAGTTTGAGGTCTTACATTTAAATCTCTAATCCATCTTGAGTTAATTTTTGTGTATGGTGAAATGTAGGGGTCCAGTTTCGTTCTTCTGCATACGGCTAGCCAGTTATCCCAGCACCATATATTTAACAGAGAGTCCTTTCCCCATTGCTTATTTTTGTTGACTGTGTCGAAGATCAGCTGGCTACAGGTGTGCAGCTTTATTTCTGGGTTCTCTATTCCATTGGCCTATATGTCTTTTTATACCAGTACCAGTCTGTTTTGGTTGCTGTAGCCTTGTAGTATACTTTGAAGTCCAGTAATACGATACCTCTGGCTTTGTTCTTTTTGCCTAGAAATGCTTTGACTATTCAGCCTCTTTTTTGGCTCCATATGAATTTCAGAATATATACACCTATATTTTAATCCTCATAACAGCTTTACATGATAGTTGTCAATCTGGTTTTACAGATAAGGAAACTAAGGCTCTGTAAGGGCAAAAGACCTACAGCACTGTGATCTTAACCCAAAGGCATCTATGTGTGACTCCATGGCCTACACCATGAAGCCTCTCAATTTCTCCTGTGGATTTAAGTGTCATTTCACATCACTTCAGCTGTACTTTCCCTTCCGGTTTTAGTGCCCCCAAATAAGTATACTAAAATGAAATGTAATTTAACCAAATGGTAGAGGAGGATGAGGCTGGCTTGGAACAGATGAGCAATTATTATATAAAAGATAATGCACAAAAGGAAAATTCATGTTATAATGCTTCCCAAAGTGACAGGCTCTTGCTCTGAAGAGTTAAGAGTTAATTTGTTACCCTGTGGTGCACATTTGTTACTCCAGAGGCTGATTCCTGATGATGTTGGTTGCAGAGTCCTTCCAACTGATGCTTTCTTGGCCAACTTCCCTAGTAGTGCCGCTACTGAGAGCATTGAAGAGGTAGCTCATCATGTTAGTCCCAATATTATAAGGCCCTTTGACTGAGCATGAGGGATTTTGGAAAATCTTTTTCAAAGAAGCAATTTTTTTTTTTAAGAAACAATCATGGTAAACTAATAAAAAGCTTACCCAGCAAATTGTTAAAATATGACAAATGTTAAAATGCCCATTTCAAATCCATCTGATACAAATGGTACAGTTAAAGCAGCACCATATTGGGAGGCAAACTCTCTGGAGCAAACCTCCCCCTTCGGCTTCCTAAGCATGCTGTGACTGCAGTGATGTAACCTGTCTGTGGGCCTCAGTTGCTTCCTTTGCAAAATGATAACATGTCTACCTGAGGCAAGGTGCTAAGGAAGGGATCCCTTGAGGACTCTCCTTCCATCTTAGTTCCAGCATTTTCAACAAGTTTATTTAACCCTTTTGCATTGACGGATTATAGGTATCATTTTTAATGCTCCATTTTAAGTGCAATTTCTGTAGCTTCCAGCAAGTTCGACATTTGCTTCCCCTGGAGAACACGGTGCCCTGATCTGGCCAACAGTGTTGTGTTGGGGTGTCTGCCAGGGGAGCAATACCAGCTCCCTTTCCTTTCCTGCTGGGATGAGGCCAGCATCACTGTAGGGATTGCGAGTGGACTAGGAGAGTCTTAGAGATGGAATCTAGAATTTGGAAGGGAGTCAATGGCCAAAAGCATGCTTCCAGAACCAGCAAGGGATGGTTCCCTGCTTCTCTTCCTGTGAAGGTTAGGTTAGGACATCATAAGGGGTTGAGGGACTCCAATTCTAAAACTGAGGTGATTTCTGGGGGAACCACCTTGAGTCACCTTGGTCTGTGTTCCTACCCAAGGCCCCCAAGTCACAGGACCAGATTCAGATTTTTGTTTCCACCTCTGTGTGCCTCCAAAAGAAACACACAAGATTAAATGAGAAATTTGAGGGACTAACAAATGTATAGCACCTTACCACGTTGTGACTAAAACTCCTGGCTGCATCTTTATCTTGTAATTTCTCTTCTAAGCAATAACAACAAGCAGAAATTAGGCAGGGTACATTAGCAGCGTGCAAAACAGTTTCAAATTCAAAAAGAGAGATCTGGGCTTTAATTTTAGCTACAGTTCTCTAATTTCTTTTACTCCAGTGCTTTCTCTAAAGAAACTGGAATATTAAGGTATAATAGCAGATGTTGAATGAAAGTAAATGAGATAAAATCTCCCAGAAAGCCATAATGTTGTTGTTATTGTCTATTATTGTTTTAAGAAAGTGGAAAGAAAAACCTCAGTCTTATCAGGATTTAACCTATACAAATTACAAATATTCTAGCCAAGAATTTCAGACAAAACAGTTTTAAAGGATAAAAGATTCATGGCAATAGAATATGAATAGCTCTTCAGATTTTTAAAGTAGTCTCTCTAGAGCATACAGGATATTAAGCTTGCTGCAGAATCTTATTACTTTTTCCTCCAAGGAAGCAGTCATGTTTTTTAAAGTTGTGTCTTGTAACTTTTTAAAATAATTGGCTAAATGATCATCTCCATTGATCAGCCTAGGTCAGTGATTCTCAACTGAGAGCAATTTTGTTTCCCAGGAACATTTGGCAATGCCTGGGGACAAGGGTATGCTACTGGCATCCAGTGGGCGGAGACCAGAGATGCTCTAAACATCCTGACACGCACAGGACAGTCCCAACAACAAAGAATTTTCCAGCCTAAGACATCAGTGCTGGCGTTGGGGAATCTGGATCCAGCTTATGGCTTATACAATGATAAATGTCTAGTTAAGAACTAAAATACCTTATTATTATCAAATTTCCACAATTTCAAAATGTTCATTTTATCTAGAGAAAAACATTTGGGTATTTGACTGCAGTGTTGGCTTCTGAAGACAATGCAAATAACCACTTTAAATATGCAACTTAGAATTTGTGTACCTCAGCACTCAACACAAATGCCTAACGTTGGCAAAGTAATTTAGAATTACTCAGGTGCAAACTGTTTCTTTTAAATAAAACAAACTAGGTTGTGCAAAAATATCATTCTCTTTCGTTCTTTTTCAGATCGAGAAGATAGAGTGGGACACATGGACCTGTGTCCTGGGGCCCACCTGTGAGGGAATCTGGCCAGCACATAGCGATATAACTGACGTAAATGCTGCCAGTCTTACCAAAGACTGTTCCCTTTTAGCCACCGGAGATGATTTTGGTTTCGTTAAGCTTTTTTCATATCCTGTCAAGGTAATATTGCGTGTTTATTATCTTTACTTGCTCAGTCTCCTTAATAACCTTAAATATTGTATCTAAGTGCATTTTTAAAAATTTGAAGTCATAAGCAATTCACATTATCGGAGTATTATTTATGCTGTATAAAAACCTCCCTGACATTGTGTTTGAGTGACTAATTTCAGTGCAATTCTCATGGCATAGAATTCTACCTTGAAAGGCCTTCAGTGGTCACCAAATCCAACATCTCACAAACTGCAAAGTAAGTGTTACCTTTACAACCTCACAGACCAGTGCCTTTCTAACTTTCATTAGGATACTTCCACAGATGAGGAACTTAATATCACACAGCACCCCAACTGATTTTTAAATACCTCCAATTGTTAAAACGTTTTTATCTATCTTGAGCTGAATTCTCTTCTTCCCTTTTTTTTTTTGTTTTTTTTTTTTTTTTTGTTTTTTGAGACGGAGTTTCACTCTTTTGCCCAGGCTGGAGTGCAGTGGCGCCATCTCGGCTGACCGCAACTTCTGCCTCCCAGGTTCAGGCAATTCCCTGCCTCAGCCTCCCGAGTAGCTGGATTACAGACGCCTGCCAGCACGCCAGACTAATTTTTGTATTTTTAGTAGAGAGAGGGTTTCACCATCTTGACCAGGCTGGTCTTGAACTCCTGACTTTGTGATCCACCCGCCTTGGCCTCCCAAACTGCTGGGATTATGGGCGTGAGCCACTGCGCCTGGCCTCTTTTCTTTTTAAATAAAGTTCTACCTTCTGAACCATCATTAAACCATTCCATTCCTCTAACAGCCGTCATCTGTAGTAAGATCACATTTGACTCCCCGAAGTCTCATTTTTTTTTCCAGCCTAACCTTTCTAGTTGCTTCAGCCATTTCCCATATTCGATGGCTTACAGCTGTCCCCTCCCTTAAGCACAGTCCAGTTTATCAATTCTTCCTTCAACTGTCTAGTCTAGAACTGTATTCAGTGTTCCAGTTGTAATCTGATCAGGTCAGAGCACAGTGGGACTGCTACCTTCTTGGTTTTGAGTTTTACACTTGTGTTAAATCAAACTAAAATGGCATTGGCCCTTTTGGCTGCCACACTACAAAATTGAATCATAGACGTCAATCTCAAAAATGTTCAGATTATCCCCAAGCCTGTACTTACACAATTGATTTTCTAAGATCTGAGTACAGAACTTTACATTTATACCCAAAGAGTTTTATTTATTTCTTCTCAGTGTTCCATCCTATCTGTATCTTTGAATACCTTGTCAGAGCATTTTCTCTCCCTTGCAGCATCATGTCATCCTCTGCTTTCACAATCCCGAGTTCTAAATCATAGAAAAAAAGACAGACTGGAACAATCACACGTCAACTCAAGGAACCTCCCCCTCAATTCAGTTTTACATTCCATTTATTTATTTATTTTAACTAATGAATGAATGAATGACAGGGTTTTGCTGTGTTTCCCAGGCTGGAATACAGTGGCACGATCACCGCTCACTGCAGCCTCTACCTTCTAGACTCAAGCAATCAATCCACCTCAGCCTCCCCAGTAGCTGGGATTATGTGCATACCACCATGCCCAGCTAATTTTTTTACTTTTTGTAGAGATGGGGTCTCACTATATTACCCAGGCTGGTCCCAAACTCTTGGACTCAAACAATCCTCCCACCTGGGCCTCCCAAAGTATTGGAATTATAATCATGAGCCACCATACCCAGCTGTCATTCTGTTTATTAATCTACACGTTGTAACAATTCTTTAATCAGTAACAGACATTTAAATTTACCCCCCTGTACAGTCATTTATCCTGGTCCAAGAAGACATCATTAAATTCTTGGCAAATGTCTTGCCTAAAGACAAGTGGATAGTGGTCTCTGTCATCCTTAATCTCTCCTTCTAATAAACCAACCAATAAAATATGTGAGGTTAGTTCACAGTGTACCCATTACTGTCTGGTTATCACTACTTCTTTTTCCAAATGCTTATCGAACTCCTGTGTAATATTTCATCCTAGAATTTTCCAGGGATTACATTACCTCATGAATCAATATTTTCCGGAGCCTATTTGTTTTCCCACTGGGATACAAGAACCGCTTTGTGTTTGATGCCACCTCTCCTGATTCCTAAACTTTTCAGCTATTACTGTATTATTTCTGTGGTCACGTTTGAAGGCACCTATACTCACGTAAATGAGTTCTGTTTTCTCCTTTGCGGTTTGAAGAACATTCTCTTTGACAGAGGAAATGAGAAATTGACTTTCAGTTCATGTGAAGCCACCTGATTGAGAAGTGTTCCTAACTTTCCTCTATTTTGCTTCCCCCCCCCCCCAATCCTTTTCAAAAGTCTTATTTTTTGTCTTTAGCATTCCAGAAACTACACTTAAAAGTTGGTGCAAGGCTTTTGTATTCAATCTCAATTATTTGCTACTCCTGTCATTTGTACATTTTAACCTGAACATAGCAGTTACCTCTATGGCCACTTTGGTTACTTTGGACACTTTTCCTTTCTTCTCCTTCCTTTGTTAATAACTGATTAGGTTATCATGGTGAGTAGCCCTGAGATACACATCTGTTTCTGTCCAGTGTTACGTTCATTGCCCATCCCAAAGCCGCCTGGCAACCTTCTGCCAATGATCTGTCACTTACCAGCCCTTCCTATTTGATCAGAATTTAGTTCTAAGTAGCCATTTTCCTTGCTATTTCTGTGTGTAAATGAAATTGCTAGCAGTACAAGGCAAAAAGTTAGTGATACCCTGGTTTTAGTAGACCAAGGTTTTGGAGCAGCTATTTAGATAACTAAATCCCCCACAGTACTATTGCATCTTGCTAGTACTTCCCCTACCTGACAAGGTGGCTTATCTATATATTAGTCATTTCAAGTTGTGTTCCTCAGACCAGAGTTCCAGGGAGGTATATCTCAGGTGGGAAGGAAGGAACCAGTGCAAAAGCTCTGGAATCCCGTTCCTGTTTCAACAAAGTTACACTATGTTTTGTATTTTGCACATTCATCTTCTGTGTATGCTTTTTTCTAAGATTTTATTGTGAAGATTTTGAAGCATACACATAAGACGAGAGAATAATATAGTGAACTAATAGAAACCCACAACCTAAATTCTGTAATTTAAAGTAAACTGTAGAATTAAGAAAGAAAAATAAAGATCTCAAATAACCTAACTTTACACTTCAGAAAACTAGGAAAAGAAGACCAAACTAAGCTTCCTGTTAGCAGAAGGAAGGAAATAATAAAGATTAGAACAGAAATAAATAAAATAGAGACTATAAAGAGAATAGAAAAGACCAATGAAACTAAGAGTTGGTGTTTTTGAAAAGGTAAAATTGACCAACCTTTAGCTAGACTAGCCAAAAAAAGGACTCAAATAAAATTATAAATGAAAGATGAGACATTATAACTGATACTGTAGAAATACAAAGGATCATAAGAGACTACTTTGAGCAATTACATGCCAACAAATTGGATAACCTGGAAGAAATGAAACATATCTGGAAATACACAGCCTACCAAAACTGAAGTGCAAAGAAATAGAAAATCTGAACAGATCAATAATGCACAAGAGATTGAATCTGTAATCAAGAACCTCCCAGAAAAGGCCAAGACCATGTGGCTTCATGTGTGATTTCTCCCAAGTATTTAAAGAAAAAATATTGCCAATCCTTTTTAAACTCTTTCAAAAAAAGAAAAAAAATTGAAGGGGAGGGAACACTTTTAAACTCTTCTTAGAAGGCCAGTAGAACCTTGATACCAAAACCAGATAAGGACATTACAAGAAAACTACAGGCCAATATGCCTGATGAATATAGGTGCAAAAATCTGAAACAAAATACTACAAACCAAATTCAACAGCACATTAAAAAGATCATACACCATGATCAAGTGGAATGTGTTCCTGGGATGCAAGGATGGTTCGACATATGCAAGTCAGTAAATGTGATGTACCACATAAAGAGAATAAAGGATAAAAATCATTTGATTATCTCAGTGGATGTGAGAAAAGGATGGACAAAATTCAACATCCTCTCATGATTAAAAACACTTCAATTAGATATAGAAGGAAGGAACTTCAATAAAGGCCATAAATGAAAAACCCACAACTAACATGCTCAATGATGAAAAGCCGAAAACTTTTCCTTTAAGATAAGGAACAAGACAAGGAAGTCCTAGCCAGAGCAATTAAGCAAGCAAAAGAGAGAAAAGGCATCCAGATCAGAAAGAAAGATGTAAAATTATCTCTATTTATGTACAACATGATCTTATATATAGAAAACCCTAAAGACCCCCCCAAAAGCTATTAGAATTAATAAAGTCAGTAAAGTTGTAGGATACAAAGCTAACATATACAATTCAATTACATTTTTATATACTTAGACTATCTACAAAAACTGTATCATCAAGACAAATAAAATGTTTAGGAATAAGTTTAGCCAAGGAGGCGAAAGAACTGTATACTGAAATCTGTAAGACACTCATGAAATAAATCGAAGAAGACACAAATAAATGGAAAGAGATCCTGTGTTCATGGAGTGGAAGAACTAATATTGTTAAAATGTTCACACTACCCAAAAAATAATCTGCAGATTCAATGTAATCCTTATCAAAATTCCAAAGGCATTTTTTTCACAAAAATTGGAAAAACAACCTTAAAATGTGTATGTAACCACAAAAAACCTGAATAGCCAAAGCAATCCCAAGAAAGAATAAAGCTGGAAGTGTCACACTTTGAAATATACATTTCAAACTATATTACAAAGCTATAGTAATCAAAATGTATGGTACTGACATAAAAACACATAGACCAATGAAACAGAATAAAGATGCCAGAAATATATCCATATATATTATATAGTCCATCTTTGACAAGGATACCAAAAATATACGGTAAGGAGAAGACAGTCTCTTCAATGAGTGGTGTCAGGGAAACTGGATATCTACATTCAAAAGAATGAATTTGGACTTTATCTCACACCATTTAAAAAAATTAACCCAAAGTGGATTAAAGACTTAAATGTAAGACATGAAATCATACAACTCCTAGAAGAAAATATAAAGAGCTCCTTGACATTGGTCTTGGCAGTGATTTCTTGGATGTAACAGCCAAAGCACAAGCAAAAACAAAAGCAAGTGAGACAACATCAAACTAAAAAGCTTTGCATGGCAAATGAAACAATCAACAAAATGAAAAGGCAGCCTATCAAATGGGAAAAATAATTGCAAACCATGTTTCTGATAAAGGGTTAATATACAAAATATATAATGAATTTTACAACTCAATAGCAATAACTATGATTTTAAAACAGGCAAATGACTTGAATAGACATTTCTCCAAAGAAGACATAGAAATGGCCAACAGGTATGTGAAAAGATGTTCAACATCACTTTTTAGGGAAATGTAAGTCAAAATCACAGATATCACCTCACACCTGTTAGGATGTCTATTAAAAAAAGAACAAGTGTTGGTGAGGGTGTAAAGGAAGGGAACCCTTGTACACTGTTATGCCCACCAACAGTGTACAAATTGGTGCAGTCATTATGGAAAACGATATGGAGGTTCCTCAAAAAATTAAAAACTAATATATGATTCAGTAATCCCACTTCTGGGTATATATCCAAAGGAAGTGAAATCAGTATCTTGAAGAGATATCTACACCACCATGTTCATTACAGCATTATTTACAATAGCCAAGATATGGAAACAACTGAAGTATCTATCAACAAATGAATGGATAAGGAAATTATTGTGTATATATACATATACATGGTGGCGTATTATTCACATAAAAAAGAAGGAAATCCTGTCATTTGCAATAATGTGGATGAACCAGAAGGACATGGTAAGTGAGATGAGCCAGGCACAGAAAGACAAATACTTTGTGATCTCACATATACGTGGAAGCTAAAAAAGTTGAACTCACAGAAGTAGAGAGTAGAAGGGTGGTGGCCAAGGACTGGAGAGTGGGTGGAAATGGGGAGATGTTGGTCAAAGGGTATAAACTTTTTTTTTTTTTTTTTTTTTTTTTGAGAGGGAGTTTTGTTCTTGTTGCCCAGGCTGGAGTGCAATGGCACAATCTGGGCTCACCGCAACCTCTGCCTCCCGGGTTCAACCGATTCTCCTGCCTCAGCCCCCTGAGTAGCTGAGATTACAGGCATGTGGCACTATGCCTGGCTAATTTTGTAATTTTGGTAGAGATGGGGTTTCTCCATGTTGATCAGGCTGGTCTCGAACTCCCAACCTCAGCTGATCCATCCACCTCAGCCTCCCAAAGTGCTGGGATTACAGGTGTGAGCCACCACGCCTGGCCAAAGAGTATAAACTTTTAAGATAAATAAGTTCTGGGGATCTGATGTAGAGCATGGTGACTGTATTTAATTATACTGTATTACTTTAAATTTGCTAACAGAGTAGATCCTAAGTGTCCTCACCAAACGCACACACACACACACACACACACACACACACACACACAATGGTAACTATGTCATGATTAATGCATTAATTACCTTGATTGTAGTAATTATTTCACAATGTATGCATATATCAGATTCTGTTGTACACCTTGAATATATAAAATTTTTGTTAATTATACCTCAGTAAAGCTGGGAGGAAAAAGTAAATTTTAGACATCAAGATACTTACCCCTAAATGTTTCATCATGCATATTACTATCTAGAGTTCAAGATTTGCTTATGGTATTTTTTAAGTAAAATTTATATTCAGTTGAAATACATAAATGTTCAGTGTTCCATTTGATAAGCTTTGACAAAAAGCTCATGTACCTATATAAACATCTCTTATGAAGATACATACGCCATTGCCACCCCAGGCTGCTTCCTCATACTCCTTCTGGGCCAGTCCCCATGCCCCCTCCCTCCCTCAGCTGAAACAACTGTTCCAATGTTTTTCACCATAAATTTTACCTGTTTAAGAATTTCATATAAATGAAATAGGTACTGCTTTTTATCCAGCTTCTTTCACTCAGAGATGTTTCTGAGATTTATCCATGTTGTTGCATAATAATAGTTCATTCATTTTCATAGCTGAGTAGAATTCCATTGTGTGGATATAACAGGTTGTTCATCCATATTCCTATGATGAACATACTTTTCCAGTTTTTGGTTATAGTAAAGCTGCTATGAACATTTTTAGACAAGTCTTTGTAGACATATGCTTTCTTTCTCTTAGGTAAATATATAGGAGTGGAATTTCTGAGTCATGGGGAAAAATATATATAACATTTTAAGAAACTGCCAGACCTTTTTCCAAAGTTGTATCATTTTATATTCCCACCAAAAATGTAAGAGTTCCAGTTGCTGATATTCGATCTTGTCAGATGCATAAAATTCAGCTGTCCAGGGGAGTAGATGGTGCCATCCAGTTGTGTTTTCAGTTTACATTTCTCTGATGACTAAGGATGCTGAGCACTTTGTCATCTATTTACTATTTGGGGAAGTATCTGTACAAATCTTCTGTCCATTGTTTTAAATTATCTTTTCATTCTTGAGTTCTGTGTATTTCTTGAGTTCTCTATTTCTTCAATCAGATTGAAGAAATAGGTTCATGGCTTAAACTACTAGCCAAATATGAATTATTTTGATAAAATCACTTATTTTTTTTTAAAAAAATTATTTATTATTTTTCAAGATGGAGTTTTTGCTCTTGTTGCCCAGGCTGCAGTGCAATGGCGTGATCTCGGCTCACTGCAACCTCTGTCTCCTGGGTTCAAGTGATTCTCCTGCTTCAGCCTCCTGAATAGCTGGGATCACAGGTGCCTGCTGCCATACCTGGCTAATTTTTTGTATTTTTAGTAGAGATGGGGTTTCGCCGTGTTGGCCAGACTGGTCTCGAACTCCTGACCTCAGGTGATCCACCTGCCTTGGCCTCCCAAAGTGCTGGGATTACAGGCGTGAGCCACTGCACCCAGCCTCTTCTTTTTTTTTCAACCTGATTTTTCTGGCACACTTTCCTTCCCAAATACATGAATCTCTTGCCAATGAATATTTCCAGCTGTATAGTCACACTTGTCTAACTGCTATCACTCTGTTGAACAAAGTTCATTATCTGTTATGAACTTGAATGGTTGTGTCTTCCCAAATCTGTGTTAAAGCCCTAACTCCCAATGGGACTGTATTTGGAGATAGGTCATTTAGGGAAGTAACTAAGATTAAATGAGTTTATAAGGGAGGGGCCCTAATCTGATAGAATCAGTGTCCTTATAGAAGAGATGCCAGAGAGCTAGCTTTCACTCTCCACACACACACCGCCCGCTCTTCCTGTGAGCACACAGTGAGAAGGCAGCTATCTACAAGCCAGGAAGAGAGCCCGCACCAGGAACCAAATTGGCCAGCACCTTCATCTTGCCCAGCCTCTAAAACTGTGAGAAATAAATTTCTGCTGTTTAGCTACCCAGCCTAGGGCATTTTGTTATGGCAACCCAAGCAGACTAATGTCCCATGCCATTGCTATATTCTCGCATTGAGTTCTATGTCATCAGTCTTGGTGATACCTGTGAGATCTTATTACCACCACAGAGCTCTGTGTCCAAAATTCAAGTTCCGTTTGTTGGCTGCTAAAATCACGTCACTATCTTGGCTCTTTTTCTCATTCTACTTTCCTATGAGTGGGCATCTCTTCCGGGCATTTTTCTTTCCATGCCAGACAAGTATCTTTATTAATATTCAGTTTTATAGGTTAAAGCCTTCCCAATTAGATCATTAGTGCCCTGACAGCCACCTTGTCCCAACCTCCATGAGACATACCCTATCCTTTATCAGAGACTTAACAGGAGCACGACCCATTTTTGTAGTACCTTAAACCATGGACCAGAAAACCAAATTCTGTTTTTTGACACCATCTGTATGGCCTGCAGATTGCTTCCCATAGCCTCCCTTCCCTTCCGAACCTAGACCCTTTTGCTAAATGGAGAGGCTAAAATACCACTGTGTCATTTGCATTTTTAAAACCCTCCATGCCCTCAAGTCCTTAAGTTTCCTCCTCAGAATGTGAAAAGCTCTGGAGGATGATTCTTCAGAGAGAAACTTTGCATGGAAAATTTTATAGACAGGGAAACTGAAATGTGAATGTAGGGGAGAGTGCACAGCTTTCACGAGATTCTCAGGAATTTCTTCCCTACAAGGGATTGACAACCACTACTCTGGAGACATATTCCAGATTTTTTTTGTTTTAAGATGGAGTCTCACTGTTGCCAAGGCTGTAGTGCAGTGGTGTGATCTTGGCTGACAGCAACCTCTGCCTCCCAGGTTCAAGCAATTCTCCTGCCTCAGCCTCCCAAGTAGCTTGGATTACAGGCATCCACCACCATGCCCAGCTAATTTTTGTATTTTTAGTAGAGTCAGGGTTTCACCATGTTGGCCAGGCTGGTCTTGAACTCCTGACCTCAAGTGATCTGCCCGCCTTGGCCTCCCAAAGTGCTGGGATTACAGGCATGAACCAGTGCACCTGGCCATATTCCAGGTTTTTCTGGTGCTATCATCCATTATTTCATCACTTGATGGATAGAGTTGTGGTGAAGCAGCAAGTTCTGATGGGTGTAACAAGTGCAGTTTGGCTTGAAGACCCAGAAAGGTCATTCATCCCAATGGCTGTGCCAGGTCTTGAGGACGTTTCCTCCGTAGGCCCTGCCGGGAACCACTATACATCCCTGCCAGTGTCTTTCTCTTGAGACAGCAGCTGGTTTCGCAGAACCTTCTAGCAACTGTCAATTCCCTTTATTGTTGCATGGAGCAGTGATTTTCTTTCCTATTCTGAGAATCTTGAATCACCCACTGCTGCAGGAATCTCTGCCTTGTTATATCTCTTCAGTGGCCCTGAATTTTTTCCTCTCTCTTTCTTCCTCTATGTCCCTTTTTTCCCCTCTGCAACCTGAATCTCATCCCTTAGAGTCTGTTTCCTTGAACCTTTCTTTTTGCATTTTTTCTTGCCATCTAGAAACCCTGTGTCCCTCTTATAAGTTGAGGGTGTAGAGAGGCATTTCTCATGCTCTTTTACTTCTGTAAAGAAACAGCTTGCATTTGTAGTGTATAAACTGGATGTGCTCCTGCTTCCAGCTAGAAGACCAGCAGGACACATGGCTGCAGCTGCTGTGACTGTCCTCTGTTTCCATGCTTTCTGGAACTCACATGTTCAAATGGGTTTTTCTTGGAAATTCTTTTGTTCTGCCTATTTGCTAGCAAACTAATGACTCTGGAGGGCCTCCTGGAAATCCTACCTGCCTGTTTGCTTCAGGAATCTTTCTAGGCTCAGTACTCTGCTGAGGAGTGGGCAGTTCCGCTCTGCCATCAGCTAGTAGTTGGCCAAATACAGGGCGATCTTGACTAGGAGTATTACAAAGTCACGAACCCTCCTGCACCTGTTTCCTGCTGTATGTCTGTGCTGTTTTCAGATTCTCTAGCATGCCAGTCCAAAACCCTCTGGGAGCCACTTGTAAATTACTTAATAAAATTTTCATCTGGGATACTGGTGACTCTGTCACAACCTCAGAGAGTGCATGTGGCCTTCCATATTCTGTAAGGTATTCCCTCGGAGTCGCTGAGAGGATGGAAAAACTCCATGTCTTTAAATGGCTCCCGCTGCAGCTGTTTTTGCCAGGCTGTGGCTCATGAGCTGAATATGGAAGCTTTTTCTGGTGCCAGCTTTGATTTTGCACCACTTGTCAGGACTGCCCTGGCATGAGCAGCTGACTCACATTCCACCCTCCACCCGGGGATAAAGGTGGGGTGGCCTGGGCACACCACTCCAAAAAGCTTTTAGTCGTTACTGATAAATTGGGTTGTATGTATTTGGCTATGTTTGTTGAAAAGGAGCTTTGCTTTAAATCAATGTTTGCGTGTTTGTATTAAAAATTCTTTCTAGCGTCTGTGGCAGAAACCGTTGTGTTCATTTTACATCTTACTTGAGGTCCCAGGTTTATAAGATATCCTTTGCTCTTCTGCCACTGCCTGGACTGTAGTACAAAAGTCACTGTAGGAGATGGCTGTGAAGACACTTTTGATCTCAGATGTCAGCCAGACTCACAGTCAGGAGTTTACACTAGAGACCTGTGGAGGCAGCACATTTGACATTTGAGAGAACCAGAACAAGCTTTTTATATGTCTATAGATTCCCAGAAAATAGGTTCTGTAGTCTAACATTTCATTCATTCCCTCAAAAATATATTGAGGACCTATTGTGAGCTGGGTACTGTTTGAAGAAAAAAGAGACCTAGTGCCTGCCCACATGGAGCTTACATTCTAGTTGAAATGTAGGAAATTGCTGTTGAACTGTTTCCTTTGTATCCAGTAGAAACTAACATGGATAAACGAGCCCAGAGAAAGGAATAACAGTGGCTGGGGTAATAACCAATTTCGGGCTTTACAGGGACAGCACGCAAGATTCAAGAAGTATGTGGGGCACAGTGCACATGTCACTAACGTGAGGTGGCTGCACAATGACTCTGTGCTGCTCACGGTGGGCGGCGCCGACACAGCCCTGATGATCTGGACCAGGGAGTTTGTGGGGACCCAGGAGAGCAAGCTGGTGGACAGCGAGGAGTCAGACACCGACGTGGAAGAGGATGGAGGTGAGCCCCCCACCTGCCACATGCCTCCTGCGCCGAATGCACCTCCCAACACCTCCCTTCCTGGGCCACTGCAAACCAACTGGCTCCCCAATCTCTTTCTGTTGTTTGAGGCTATGACAGCGATGTTGCTAGAGAAAAGGCCATTGACTACACCACCAAGATTTATGCTGTGAGCATCAGGGAAATGGAAGGCACCAAGCCACACCAGCAGCTGAAGGAAGTTTCCGTGGAAGAAAGGTATGGTGTTGCCAGGTTTGCTTGCTTTTATTATACCTGATGACAAGAAACTTGTTTAAGCCAGAGTGCGTTTTCTTTGCCCTCAAAGTTGCTGTTTAAGTCAGTCTTTTATAAATCTTCACAGAGTCTTCACCTGTACACAGGCTTAAGCTGAGAAAAAATTGCACAACATCCCAGTACGTGGCAAAGGGCGGTTTATACTTTGTGGAAGTTGGTTATGGAATGTGACTTGAATAGACATGAAATTTAGTTGGACTACACTTCTCCATGCCCAGAAAAAAATGCTAGGGTAGCCCCAAAGCAGTCCTGACTGTGGCAGCTGACAGGAAAGCCTGCTGACCAGCAAGGTAGGAGGGAGGACAGGATTCTGAGGTCATGGAGGAATGGCTGCAGAGTTGTGAAAAACCATCTTCCATTCTAACCAGAATCTGTGCCTTATACTCCATTCACTTGGTGTATCTTCTCTTACTGTGTCTTCATTTGCCCAGATTTGTCCAGGTGGGTTTGGCATTTCCAGCCTATCCCATTTGGTTTTATTGCCTTGGATCCTCTATATAGAATGAGTGTTTTCTAGTATTATTTTGGGGCTTTTCAATGTGCTGTTATAAGTATTGACAAGAATTGTCAAACACTTTAGCATTTCTAAAAAGAAAAGCTCAGAATTACTATATTACTTAATTTATCATATTCATGCTAAGAGTGGATATTGAATAAAAACTCTTAATAACTAAAGAGAATTTCGTGGATCTCAAAGATGTTTTAATAATTCTGTTGGCTGTTCACATTGAGGTAGGCTCGATGTTGACAATACGCTGGTCCCACAATATGTAATTTATGAGATTCAAGTAGTTTGCATTTAGTATGGCTTTCTGCCTAACAACAATAAGTCTGACCTATCACTTCTTACTATTATGTGGGGTTTTAGATGCAAAGAAATGTAACCTCCTCCTCCTCCTCCTCCTCCTCCTCCTCCTCCTGCTTAAATTCAGTGCCAGATGTTAAAATAAACTTGGTAAATGGTGGGTGTGCTACTGGCAAGAAGATTGAATCTAATGCAAAAAAGCCCTAATTTTTCCCTAGCATCTTTGTTAGATATTACAAAGATCCAGAGCTTTCTTTTAAGAAAAAATTAGAGATTTTTCTGCAGTGGTCTTCAGAGTTCATTTTGCTTGCAACATGGTTTTAAAGTGGCCACAAACAGAAAATAATTTTTAAAAGTCCTAATTCTAAGAATTAAGGGGAAAAAAGAACCATATGCACAGAAGTGCATGAATAGGCCTCCCACTTAAATAATCCAATCTAAAAAAATGTTTCACCTGAAGTATTCATTCCTTTGGAAAAAAAAAAATTACCCAGCCTTTCTAGTTTCATTTCTAGTTTCACATACCATTATGAAATGAGTTGACATGGCCATTATCCCAAGGGTGTTTCTGGCTGATTTCTGTAACTCATTCGTACATCATGCTGAGATTCATGCTAGCCACCAAAATATAATCATTTAACCCAAGCTCCAAATTCCAAACACTACAGCTGATTTCAAACCCTAACCAAGGCTCACCTAATCCTCTTCTTGTCTCATTGCCTCTTTGGGCAAATCTGTCAACATTTCGTACTGCCAAACTTAATGAAAGGTAGGAGGACTGATGATAGAGAGGACCCTAAGAATTTTTCATTTTAAAATTCAGAATTTTCATGCTACCCCATTTTATTATCAAGCTATACCCCATCAGATAGGAAACTGTATAGTCGCATACACTGGAATGACTCTTTTTTTTTTTATCAAAAGGAAAAAGCCTTATAATATTATGAAATAGGGGTAGGCAGTTCAGTAGTTTACTGGCATTTAAAAAAATTCACACCAGGATTTAGTGAAGAAAACAATTTTAAGATAAGTATAGGGTCTGGAGGAGTAATCAAACCTTTTCTGTAGAGAGCAGCTTCCTAGGTAACTTTAAAAGCCTTGACAGCCTCAATTCCCAGAAGGAGCTGGAACTAGAGCACACACTGCCAGCTGCACAGCATGCCGGGAGCAGAGTGGGGCCCTGCCAGGTAGGGTCAGCTAGTAAAGAGCAATAAATGATGGCCAACTTAGCAGTCTCCATGGGGGCAAATCACAATCAGAGCCAAGAACAAGCAGACTCCACCAGTCCTGGTCAGTAATTTTAGGGGAGACTGAACCTCAGAGATCAGACCGTAGGCATCTTTTTTTTTTTTTTTTTTTTTTGAGACGGAGTCTCGCTCTGTCGCCCAGGCTGGAGTGCAGTGGCGCGATCTCGGCTCACTGCAAGCTCCGCCTCCCGGGTTCACGCCATTCTCCTGCCTCAGCCTCCCAAGTAGCTGGGACTACAGGCGCCCGCCACCATGCCCGGCTAATTTTTTGTATTTTTAGTAGAGACGGGGTTTCACCGTGTTAGCCAGGATGGTCTCGATCTCCTGACCTCGTGATCCGCCCGCCTCGGCCTCCCAAAGTGCTGGGATTACAGGCGTGAGCCACCGCGCCCGGCGACCGTAGGCATCTTCTGGACCACAAAATAGAACATTGCCAGGCAAGGCAGGGCATTTGGGGAATTTGAGAGAAAGCAGGATGAGTGATGGAATTGGGAGGGTGGCACAAGATGTTAAACAGCATATCTTAGTCCTCATCTAGGGTATAAAACAGGACCCATGGACTCTAGCATCCTGGAATGACAGAGGGACAGAGAAGGAAAAATGGTGACATCAGGACCACATGAAGCCAGGCAGCAGTGGCCAGCTTCTCCCTGGGAATAATCAGGGCCGTTGCCCAGCAGCTCCTGATACTGTTTTCTTTGGCAACTTCAAGCCCTGCTTGAAGATTTGAGAGGCAGGGGTTTTCCTTGGTGTTCCCGTCATCGTGCCTTCCGTATATACCTGCAGATAATTCTGTATACCTGGGTGCTTTTTCTAAACACTTGGTTCAAGACATGCACCAATGAGACTAATGGGAGACGAGTACTTGAGGACTGAAAGAGATGTGAGCTTGGGACAACCACTCCACGCAGGGTCCTTAGCACTGTTTTGTCACTTAGCAATGTTTCAGGCAGCTCTACCTCTGGTAAATCCCCTGTCACCTAAAAGCAATTAGAAACCTTGAGATGACTGTAGCACCTGTCGTACTGAGAAAAATGCCTTGAAGGTAGCTGTGCTTTATGCATCAATTACTTTTGAAGCAACTGAATTCCTAATTCCTAAATTTTAAGATATTTGTGGATTGTTTCTAATTAGACTCAGTTATTTGACTTTAAAATAGCTGTGAGATTTCAGATCCTGCTTCTTTGCACAATTGCTAATTACATTGTGAGTTCTTATTCTTCAGAAGCCATATGATCTTCAGTTCTAATCTTTCAGAAAATGAGGAAGCTGAGAAGAAATTTACAGTTGGTCTCAAAAGAATCCTGGGCTACACCTACCAGATATGTAATGTCCATGAGGTGTTCAGCGGGTAGCCCAGTTACTCCAGCTTTCCTCTAACACACTGGGATACCCTGCCTCCATGACCCAGACTCATCTGGCTGGTCCCCAACCTTGGGTGATCTTGCTGCTCAGCTGCCACGTGTGGTGTGTGGCTGAGGAAAGTCATGAAGTCTTTTTTACTTTTGGGAATCCATGCTTTCACTCCTTATCTGGGCACTCAGGGCTACCCCACGCTGCCCTCCTTCATCCCCAGCCGACTTGACGCTAATTCTGGTCTAGAGGAACCCTTCCAAACCTTCCCACCTCTCAAGTGCCACGCCCCAACCTGACACACCTCTTACTCTCAACTTTTGACCTTATCTCCTTTGCCGTGTTTTCTTATAATGTACTCTTTTGTCCATCTACAAACTTAAGATATTTAATTGATACTTTAAATATCAGAAAAGTTCCTTTTGGGAGAAAAAATGAAGGAGGAAAGCATAGTTTTTCAGAGCAATTTAAGATACAAAATGCTTATATCATCTCAACATGAGGTATGGTGCCCAAATCCTGTATTCAGACTTCGGTAAAAACAGTTTTCCCCAATTCGTCAAGTGATGAAATCCCTAAGGTTTGCTTGGTACCAAATTACTAGAGTTGCCTGTTAAATTAAGAATTTTCTTTTCACGTTACCAAAGTCACACCTAGCTTACATACTGTTTTTTGATTTATAACATAGGGGCTTTCAAGGGGGTCACCCAACCCAAACTGGCCTAAGCAAAGGGGAACTTACTGGTTTACACACCTAAGTATGCAGGAGTGGGGCAACTTCAGGTGGCACTTGTTAAGAGAACTCAAATCTTGCTGCCAGGATTCTGGTTTTTTCCTTCATATCTCAGTTCTTCTTCCTCTGGGTTATTACAGTTCTTCAGGTAGAAAAATGGCTGCAGAACTTATAGTCTCTGTGGTTCAAAATCAGTAGGAAAGAACTGCCTCTGATTCACAAGTTCCCCCTACAAATGTCTTTTGAGGTGCTATTGGCTCTGGTGGGCCCCAGGACTACCCTTGAACCAATCACTATGGGCTAGGAAGAAAAAGTCTTTGACTCTTACCTTGGAAATAGTCACCTGCCACCATAGACTAGCAATGTAATCACTTCACCTCTCTGTAATCACTTCCCCCAGAGGTGATTTGGACAGACCCAAAATAGAAAATGTCTATTACAGTTCACCCTTTTCTTGTCATATATATTCTCTTAAAATGGCCCCATTTAAAACTATTCTATATATAGGCCAGGCACGGTGGCTTATGCCTGTAATCCCAGAATTTGGGAAGCCAAGGTGGGCAGATTACATGAGGCCAGGAATTCAAGACCAGCCTAGGAAACATGGTGAAACCCTGTCTCTCCTAAAAATACAAAAATTAGCCTGGTATGGTGGCACACGCCTGTAATCTCAGCTACTCGGGAGGCTGAGGCACCAATCGCTTGAACCCAGGAGGCAGAGGTTGCAGCAAGCCAAGATGGCACTGCTGCACTCCAGCCTGGGTGACAGAGTGAGACTCTGCCTCAAAAAGAAAGAAAAAAAAACCCACTAAAAACCCCCACTATCCTATATGTAATTTGAAATGCAGTTATGCCACCTTCCCAAAAAGAGGCGGCTCAAAGTCTCAGCCAGTTGCCACATCCAGGATCTGAGAGTACTATGAAATTTTCTCATCCAGGTCCAGATAAAGCCCCTCATGGTCCTGTGGCTAATGATAATATTAACCACCCTAACTTGCCAAATAGTGGTAAAGAGAGGACAGAATGAAGATAATTTTTTTGAATCACCACTTTGAAGGAGGGAGAATGAGACAACACGCAGTGATCACTGGTCCATAGCGTATTGTCTTCTGCTGGACTGAACAATCAACGATTCCTGCCCTAGCCGTGTGCGAGTATTATATGACTGGATGGTAATGTGAATGTTGGAAAATACCAGCAGTCAGGATATAAAGGTTTTGTTTGTTCTTTCAAAACATACACATATGGAAGTGAAAAATAAAAGTAGGAAGTAACATAATACTCTCTTAAAAGTACAGCTCTCCAAGTGTCCCAGGTTCCTACTGGGATGTCAGTGATGCCCCTGTATTTTGTCATTCTCATGGGAAAATTTGTATCCTCCCGCCCTCCCATGAGCTCCTCCCTTGACGAGAGACTGGCTCAGGGCTTGGCTGCTCCACAGGCACGCATAAGCTGTCACTTTGCTTGAGGGAAGGTCAATTTTTAGACATCTGCCAGGAGACCCACATTTCAGGTCAATCTAAATTCCGTTTTTGTCATTTAGTCCTCTGGCCTAAGATTTGGAGTTATATAGTATCAACTTAGAACATATATACATATATATATATTTATATTTATATTTGAGACTGGGTCTGGCTCTGTTGCCCAGAGTGTAGTATGGTGGCATGATCCTGGCTCACTGCAGCCTCAGCCTCCTGGGCTCAAGCAATTCTCCCACTTCAGTCCCCCAAGTACCTGGGACTAGGACTACAGGTGTGCACCACCATACCCAGCTTATCTTTATTTTAGAGATGGGGTGGTCTTACTGTGTTTCCCAGGGTGTTCTCAAACTCTTTGGCTCAAGCGGTCTTACACCTTGGCCTCCCAAGTGCTAGGATTCCAGGTGTGAGCCACCATGCCCAGCTCAAAAAATATATTTTTTTACATCTCAAACTGATACTTGAATTCTCAAGGGAAAGATATATCAATTAAACAAATTACTATTTTATTTCTTAAGTCAAATCACTTGTCACTCTGCCCTCATTTTTGGTGATAAACTGAGTATGAGTTAATTTATTATTGGTAGATATTCCTTTTTTAAAGTATAGTTTATATTATTTGTCTCTGGAAGGAATATTATAACCTTTTGTAGGCTCAACAAATTTTCATTAATGGTTTGGTATTGGCATTGCTTCGTGTTTAGGTTGTCACGTTTGGTCTTTAGCAGACACTCCTTTGGTTGGGTGTACGTGTCGTTTTTGTAGTACCACCATGTACCTTTGAAAGTGTCTGTTTTTTGCTAAGGAGTCCCATGCTTATCTTTGGTGTTCCTGTCCTGTGAATGGCGTCTGGGCTCTATGAGTACACATAAGCTGGAGATTTGGAGAACACACAAAATCTAGTTCATTCTCCTTTAATTGTTCTTTCTAATGGAAAGTGGTGATTATCACAGAAAAGAACCTTAGGGTATTTTACTGTTGAACAGTAATTACTATCATTTGTAACTACTTTTGCGTATGTTTTTATTACCTAGTATTATATCTGCATAACTTTTTAAAAATCAGAGATGGCCAGCAAAAATTCAACCAAATCAATGTCAAGAATTATTAGAGACATTTAAAACTTTACCCAATTAAAGTGAAACAATTTTGATGAGTCACAGTTTTTATACCACCATCTGAGCGTGCCACAACAATCAACTTTTAAAATACATTCATGCTGAGGTTTGTTACTTTTAAAAATTGTAGTCTTATATTCACATTATGTTTTGTTATTCGCATATATCTTTAAAAATAATGTTTAAGGCCAGGCGTAGTAGCTCACACCTGTAATCTCAGCACTTTGGAAGGCTGAGGTGGGAGGATAACTTGAATCCAGGAGGTTGAGGCTGGCAGGAGTTTAGATGAGCCTGGGCAACATAAGGAGGCCCTATCTCTACAAACAAAATTTAAAAAATTAGCTGGGAATGAAAACACACTCTTATAATCCCAGCTACTCAGGAGGCTGGGGTGAGAGGATCCCTTGAGGCCAGGAGTTCAAGGCTGCAGTGAGCTGTGATCACACCAGTGCACTCCAGCCTGGCCAACAGAGCGAGACCCTGTCCGTGAATGAATGAATCAATGTGTGTTTAAACATCTTGGGCTCATCTCCAGAGGTTTTCATTATCACATTAAGAGAAAGCCAGAAATTAGAAACTTATAACTACGGAAATATTTAGTGCCAATGTCTACATTTTTTGTTCTTATCAAATTATCATGTGGCTTCAGTTTTGTATACTGTGGTAACTACACGATCACAAAGGAACATTCTTTTTGATAATTGATATGTAGCATCTAATAATATCTCTAAGTGTGGGTTATGATCTTTTACTGAAATTCATATGAGCTGACCAGGTATTAGTCTTCCTAGTTACATCTGGTGGAGCCATGGTTAGTAATTTATTTTTAAATGCCTCCTGTTTGACATAGGTGGATGTCCTCATTTCTTCCTCACTTAACCGGCCACATAGGGGTTGGTCATAATGGATATTTTTATTTGCTATATACAGTTGGAACCTGCATTCTACAGAAACCCAACTTTATAATAAGATACAGAATAAATGGAGAATTAAACTATTACAGAAATTGGCATATAAGTACTCACTTAACCTTTATGTTTTGAAGAGGATACAATAATTAGCTCAAGGATTGTTTTCTCAATGCACCTGAGTCAGCCATCTGTATTTTTTTCAAGGTCCTTTATTAACAACTGCTGAGGCATACAGCTTTTGACTGTCTATCCAGGGATGAATAAATGAATGTTAGACTTACCACTTCCTGTTTCTACATTATTTTTATAACATTATTTTACTTATAGCATTTTTCACCTGTCACTGAAAAGAGGTTTAACTGCTCCTTCTTTTCTTACCTGAGAAGCTGCATAACTTATGGCCAAAAGTCAAAATTCCAAACTCACCTAAAGCATATTTTTTTCCTTCCGCAGTAGACTTTGGGCTTGTTGCCAGTCTCTCCTGCTTAGCTCAGGCTAAAACGGTCATGTCTCTCTTTTTTTTTTTTTTTTTTTTTAAAGTCTGGGCCGGGCACAGTGGCTCACGCCTGTAATCCCAGCACTGTGGGAGGCGGAGGAGGGTGGATCACCAGAGGTCAGGAGTTCGAGACGTGCCTGACCAACGTGGAAAAACCCCATCTCTACTAAACATATAAAATTAGCTGGCTGTGGTGCACATGCCTGTAATCCCAGCTACTTGAGAGGCTGAGGCAGGAGAATTGCTTAAACCCGGGAGGTGGAGGTTGTGGTGAGCCGAGATCAAGCCATTGCACTCCAGCCTGGGCAACAAGAGCGAAACTCTGTCTCAAAAAAAAAAAAGAAGAAGTCTTAGGCTAAGCATGGTGGGGCAAGCCGGTTATCCCAGCACTTTGGGAAGCCGAGGCAGGAGGATGGCTTGAGAGCAGCCTGGACAATATAGGGAGACCTTGTCTCTACCAAAAATTTAAAAGCCTGATGTGGTGGTTTAGTTGCTTGGGAGGCTGAGATAAAAGGATCACTTGAGCCTGGGAGGTCAAGGCTGCAGTGAGCCATGATCATGCCACTGTACTCCAGCCTGGGCCATAGAGCAAGACTCTGTCTTTAAAAAAAAAAAAAAAAAAAAAAAAAAAAAGTAGAAAAGTTAGTTTTTAATGCTTAAATTATATTGCCTTAGCTCCAACTTAGTGTAGTTTACTTTATAAATTATGGATAACTGTAGATACTGTGATATTTATAGTTTTAGTCACTGATTTGTTAGATTTTATCCAGTTATTCAGCTGTTTTACCTGGGTAGATGACATGTACACAGCCATCTTCTAAAAAAAGTTTCAAGCAACAGTGTTTTTATATACTCTATCAATCAAACTTTGTGCATTAATTAAATACTGTTTGTATTTAAATCATTATGGAATCTCTGACTTCTACAAGAGTTGGGTCAATGAGAATCAAAGCAAAACTTGGCTCCCCTTGGATTTCCTCTTACGTATAAAACCTCTTTATACGTAAAGAGGTTTGCTTTAATCCCACTTCTGACACCAATCTGCTTCGTCCTCACAGGACAGTGATGTTAGTGATGTGAATGATGGAAAAGTGATTGTATAAAAGTTAGGTGGGGCCAGGTGCTGTGGCTCACGCCTGTAATCCTAGCACATTGGGAGGCCGAGGCGGGCAGATCACCTGAGGTCAGGAGTTCGAGACCAGCCTGGCCAACATGGCAAAACTTTGTCTCTACTAAAAATACAAAAATTAGCTAGGCATGGTGGCGGGCACCTGTAATCACAGCTACTCGGGAGGCTGAGGGAGGAGAATTACTTGAATCACTCCAGCCTGGGCAACAAGAGCAAAACTCCATCTCAAAAAAAAGTTAGATGAAGTTTCTGTAATTTTAGGGTATGCAGAAAGCTATAGATACAGTTACATAAGGCAGGAGCTAATAGCAATTTTTAGGCGGCACTGTTAGGGCTTCCCAAGTCCCTCTCATGCCTCAGTGAGACATACAGCCATGCTTATTGGCATTTTTCCAAGCACAAGAGGCTTCCTTTATTTCTCTGAGATGTATTTTATACTTTTCTACCATCTCCTCCTGAAACACATACCCAAATGTTTAGCAGAATCTGAGTACATGCCTACCAGCTCCCACAGTATAAGTAACTACTACAAAACAGTTCTAACATACTTTGACACGTCCACTATGGGAACTAACTGACTTTGGCTTCAACAGAACCCTGCCTCAGGCCCAGGCTTCACGCTGTCTGAGGTTCTCTTCAGCACAATGTGATGGGTTCCTTGGACATCTTCTGGCTGCACCTGTTCGGATCTCTGAGAAGATTTTGTTTGTCTTTGTTCTGTTTTGCCAAGTCTGAGATTGGCACTGGGGAAAATTGCCTTTCTGAGGGCTTTATTTTTGGTTTCCGTATTATCTCATTTCTGTTGGTGGGAGACCTGGGAGTTGCCTTAAGAACTGAACAATCACAGGCCCTTGCTGTTGACCTGATCAGGGTTACACGTAAAGCTCTCCTCTCCCAAGTAGGTTGTCAACTCTGTGAAAGCAAAATTTCTGTTTTATACACTGCTTTATCTCTATAATCTAGAACATGCTGGCACTTAGTAAATGTGTGTTGAATGAATAAATGGATTCCTTAACAACAAGATTTAGATTCATTTTCATTCTAGCCCATGGATTAGATATCAAATTCTGAGATCTTGTTGACACTTTGTCATTAAAATCCATAATCCAGCTAGGAAATCTCTGCTTCTAAGCAGTTGGCCTCCCTGGTCATCCTTCCAGCGCTCAGGCTGCAGCATTCTCCATCTGGCTTCTGCCTTTAGGCAATTCCAAGTAGTGGTCTGAAGTGGAGAAGCCCTTGCCCCAGACTGCATCTCAGTGGTGTTGAGGGTAGTTGTCTGCTTTGTCTGGCAGGGAATGTGTGATAGTGGATGTTTAGGAGGGGTCTAGAGGATCAGGCAACTCTCCTTTCTCTGTCATACTTGCTGTAAGTTTACTTCCATGTGGATGGATGAGTACTGCTTCCAACAGTCCCCATGGACGAGGACTCATTTCCAAGTACCAGTAGCCCCTTGTGATATGCACCCATATTTGGCTGATCGCAGCTGTCAGCATTCCATCATTTTCAATAGCCCCCACTTGTGGACCAGCAGGCATGTCATAATCCTGAAGGGTGATCCTTATCCTCCCCGCTCCCTGCAGTGCCCCTGCCTGGGTTCTGCTCTGTCTCTCTTGACCCTCCCTCCAGGCAACAGCAGAGGCTAACAACTTTCATACAAGAGATGGTTGTCCTGGTTTAATGAGATTTGGGCATCCCATACAAGTCTAGGGGTGTGTCCCAAGTGGAATTCCTCTCCCAATTCTCTGTGAAGAGAGGGGAAAGGAACCATTTCACTTCACAAACTGCCTTCCACTATAGAGGCAACTTAACTCTCCAGCCATCTCAGCGGCCCGGCACAAGCAAACACGAGGAGGCGGTGCCAGAATTATTCTTAGCAGCAGATTATAAAGGAGGAATCTGTGAATATTCTGCATTAATATTTTAGTCCTTGTGGAATATATTCACTGTCAATCTATGGCATATGTTCCTTAGGAAACCAAGGAACTTTTACCAAA
This sequence comes from Homo sapiens, assembly GCF_000001405.40. Lineage (NCBI taxonomy): Eukaryota > Metazoa > Chordata > Mammalia > Primates > Hominidae > Homo > Homo sapiens. The sequence goes on from NC_000002.12 coordinate 54,940,073, forward strand.
CCAAAATTAGAAGTAGTTTCTAAGCCTTTTATAAATGGTGGTGCCCTTACCTGTGAACTGACAGGCGCTAGCACCAAATGACCTCAAAATTCCACTGTAGTATTAGCATTTTCCAGAATTTTTATTAGACTGTGCTTACAGTTGAATGGATAAGGCATTAAAACCTATCTTCCACCTCATTCTTTCTGAGTTGATTTGAATGGGTTTATGAACTGAAACAAAAAGAAAGTTCTATAAAGAAAACTATATACTGTGGGCTTAAAAAAATTTTATGGGGTTTCAGAGATTTTTTTTGTTTGTTTTGGTCATGTTTTGGTTTCAACTCTAAATTAATAGCCTTCTTTAATCCTTGATTCCTTAATTTATTAGTCTGTGGCGTCAATATAAAATTTCACTGGATTATAAACTGTGTAGGATTATCAGTTCCCCAGTGGCTGGTACTGTACCTATCATGGGACCACTGTGTGTCTAACGTGGTACCTTACACTTAATACACAGCAAACAAATACTTTTCAAATGAATAGATGAATGGACCAATTTACTTAGCCTGATTCTCTTAATATTTAATCTGTCTTCAAGATGCTGTGCAAGTCCATTCTTGGTCAGCGACCACTTTTACCTTCACTTCATTAGCAACTATGGATGGTCTTTGTGGGAAATGATGTGACTGATGTAGAATCCAGGGTGCCCCAGTTGGCCCTGGGACTGCACTTGGCAAAATGACTTTTTGATCTTTGTAGTATCTGTCCTTCAGGAATTACAATGTTTGTTTGGTTTAAATCTGTTTAACCCCAGGCAAAAGGAATCAAGAAGATTCTGTGTCACTGTGGCTATCATGCCTATTGTACACACCAAGGTGCTTTGTCAGCAGGTTTACAATGAAACAAAGAACATGCTCATAAGTGACTACGAGAAAACGGGAAGGATGTAGACAGGTTTCCTTCAGTCACCAAATCACCGTATATAAGTAATCCCAGTTTTCCTTCTAACCTTTTATGCTGTGCTTGGAAACAGAAATCTGGGAGAAGTTGCCCCCAGTTTGTATTTAGTTTCTAATTTTTTAATTGACATGCAATAATTTTATATGTTTATAAGGTACATAGTTTCAATATTTTCAATGTATAGTGGTCAAATTGGTATCATTAGCATATCTTTCACCTCGAACATTTGTCATTTATTTCTGTTGGGACCATTCAAAATCCTCTCTTCTGCTGTTCACTCATATGTGGAAGCTGCCCCCAGTTTTTTTTAAACGCCTTATTTAATCAGGAGATCTGTGGGAATTTCAAGCTCGCCTGAGGCATGATGAGCATGGTGAAGTGGCACAGTGTCAACGGCAAATGAGCAACCTGTGCTCCCAGCTCCTTCCTCAGCGTAGCCGGACAGAGGCCCTTTGTTGTCATTGATCAATAGCTGTTTTGTGGGCCTGTATTGTTAGAGTTGCTAAGAACTGACCATCCTGCTAAGCTAATGCTGCTGGATTTACCATATAGAGATTGATGAAAACTGCTCAATCCTATCTTGAAGCTTGGCCCAATAAATGGGGAGGAACTTCTAGTTCTACATTTCCATCCCGTTTCCAAGGCTGGAGTGAGCTTACAGAGCCTGAGAGTTGGTACAGAGATCTGCAGTTGCATGTGTGTTGTTTAAGCTGAGCCCAGCTCTCCCCATGGGAGAGTGATGGCACACGCGTAGTGCACGCAGGGCGAGGAGCACTCCTGCTCCAGAGCCCTTCTCTCGAAGCTGCGTTCTTCTTCATCCCACCCCTTCGTTCTGCAAGAGTTCTGCCCGCATAGCTGCAGCGAGCAGGTAGAAATGCAAGACTCCTGTTCTTTATGAAGTTGGAAGGGACTGAAATTATAATATCTATTAAACCCAGAAATGCTGAAATTAATCATCTCCAAGGCCTATTGCTTAGTTAGGTAACTCCACTAAAAGCTGAATCATTCGTTGATTTTTTTCTAAGTGAATATGATGCTATTTTCATAAATGATTTTCTTTATTCAAACCCCTTGATTTTCTGTATTGGTTTGAAGCAAAGCAATGACTTCTGTCTGATAATTTTAGGCATTAAACCTGCTGTTCATTATAGAATAGTTTCTTCACTTTTGATGACAAAGAGTGGCCAGTGTATAAAAATCCAGAAGTAAAGTGTTGGAAAATGATTTTTAGAAGCTTAATGTGCCTAGGAAATCACACTCCCACAGTGTAATCATCAAATCAAACCTACTCACTTATGGAGATAAAAGAACACTTCAAAAATATGTAAGCACTTTTCTGTCAAAAGGGAGTGACTCTCCGAAGACTGTGGCAGAGTTGGGTCTGATTCTTTTAGGCAAGTGTCTGAACATCTCACAGATTCTCCATCTGGGGGGAATGGGCACTACCAGGGGTGTTGATCTGCCTCCTGTCAATTAGTGTGTGGTCAGGATGTGGTAACCGAGGAGGCATTTGCAGGAGTGGAAGGTGTGAAGGATCAGGGTGCTCTTGTGGGTGTGTTTAAACTATGTTGGCGTGCTCTTTACCCGACTCCCTCTCGCTCATTTGAAGTTCGTGTCATGCTCTGCCATCTTCTGCCCCTTCCTGTTCTTGTCATCTGTCAACTTCCTGTCTCTGAGCAATTCAGCTCATGGTCAACTGGCCAACCCCAGCCAGCTCCTGCCATGCCCTGGGTTACATCATCACCAGGAACTCCTTTGTCCCTCAGTGTCTTAACCAGCTGTCCTCTGGATTTCTCATTCCCGGGTACACCTGATCTTCATCAAGACAAATAAGTGCCTAGACACCTTCATTTTTCCCCAAGTTCATCAGCCCTTCCTGGCCTCACTTTTTGTGCCTACCCAAATGCCATTTCCCAGTCCTGTTGGCCCTTCTCCCCTACATTCCTCCTACCACCTGCCTCTCCACTCTTCTTATAGGAAGTCCCACGTTGGCACAGATGGCCACCACCAGAGAGGCTGCCTGGCTGCTGCACATGGCCCTCCAAGCTCCTCCATCCTTTCCTTTGGTTGGTTTTCTCTGCTGCTTCTCAGCAGTCATCCAGGTTTCAACTCAACCTCCTGCCCCTCCTTCACTGAGAAAACAGAAGCCACTGGCACGCATTCCATCTTGGTGCTTCTTTCTCTCTCCTCCATTTTGCTTCCCATCCTTCACTCACGTAAGCCATTCACCTTCTTCCCTCTCTTCTCAGAGGAAGTAAGTCCCTTCTCCTATTCAAGACAGTTCCCTCACCTGGTGCTTGGCCCCGGCCTCCTGTCCATCCATGCTCCCTCATCTGTGTCTCCTGTGTCACTCTCCCACAGCCAGATCCATGTCCTCAACCAAAAAATACATCCCAGTTTCCCACCTCCACCCAGCTCTCCTCAGGAAAAAAAACAGGTCCTTTGATTAATCTTATAAACTTACACATTTCTGCCGTCACCTTCCTTCCAACCTTTTTCCTTTCTCATTCAGGCCTTGTAGTCTTTTCTTCATTCTCTATCCTATCTCATCTGTCCTCTGTCCCTGCCATTCTGCTGACATGGGGGCTCTTTAACCCCTGAGTCCAGTGACTCTCCTCTCTCTGTCTTACTAAGAGAACTTGTTTCTTCTAGAGTAGCATTGTCCAGTAGAAATATGTGAGCCACGTGTATAAATTTTCTAGCAGGCACATTAAAAAAGTTGAGATGGTGACATTGATTTTAACAATATATTTTAACTCGATATATTAAAAAATATTTCAACATGTAATATAAAATTATATTTTACATTCTGTTAAAAACTTTTCAGTAGGACTTCAAATTCCAGTGTGTATTTTATAGTTATAGCACAATTCAAACTTTTGAAAGCCACATGTGGCATTGGCTACTGAATTGGACAGTGCGTGTTAGAGAAGAATATAAACGTTCTTCTCTCGCCTTTTTGAAAGAATCTCTCTTGGCCCTTCTGGTGCCTCCCTCTCTCTTCTCAGTGTCTCACCTCTGCTTCCTCTTCCAGCCCCTTACATGCTGTTGGTCCTCAGGATTTTACCTTTGGCTGGCATCTTTTCACCCTCTACCATCTACCCTCTCTCTTAATTAATCTTTTATATCCCACCCATTGGCTAGTGATTCCCAGGGTCATGTCACTGACTCCCATCTCTCAGTGGAACTTCCAACTAACAAAGCTATCTCACGGGTGTTCAAAGCTCAACGTGCCAAAATTGAACTCATCATCTTCCCTCATTGATATTTTCTCTCTGTCTCATTCCATGATACAACCATCTGTCCAGATATGCAAGCTGGAAAACTGGTATTGCCCTTGAGTTGCTTTTCCTACTTCATCCCCTAAAGACTCTCCATGACAAAGTGCTGTGAAGTCTATTTCGCCAACCTTTCTTTAAATATTCACCTGTTTTCTTCTCCATAACCACTGCTCCAGTCAAGTGCTTCATCATTCCTCTCTTGGATCATCACAGTGGCCTCTTCAGTATTCTGCCCATCTTTACTTAGTTCCCTTTACGCCACCCTTTGTACTCTCATTTTTTCACCCAAATAACTTTGTATTCACCTAAAATAGCCAAGTCTAAGACGATATCCCCATTTTTTAAAACAACAACAAAAAGACACAAAGCTGTGTGATAGGCTTCAGTCAAGAGCATTTTCAAGAGGGTAGGCTTCTTTCAGGACATCCTGCAGTTCTTCTGCCTGAATCCTTTCCATCACCCCATCACTAAGTATCTCTGTACATGATTCTGGAAGACATAGGAATACACTCAACAGAGTCCAGTTCTTAGGAATACTGTTAACAGAGTCCAGTTCTGAAGAATGCACTTGACACAGTCCAGTTTGGTCTTGATAACAGAGAGGCCCCCTGGCTTTGGAGATTTTTCCTAACCCTGGATTTATCCTAGAGCAGTGGTTGCTAATTTCTCTGTGTTTCTCGCCCCTCCCTTTCTCCCTCCCCTCCCCCATCCATTCCTCCCTACCCCCCTCCTTCCCTCCTCCTTCACTCCTTCCCTCCTCCCTCTCTGCCTCCCCCTTCTCCCATTCCTCCCTCTCTCCCTCCTCTCCCACTCCTCCCTCTCTCCTCCCATCCCATTCCTCCCTCCCTCATCCCTCCCTACCCCTCCTCCCCCTCCCCTCTTTCCCCCTCCCCTCTCTCCCCTCCCCCTTCTCTCTCCCTTCTCTCTCTCCCTCCCCCTTCTCTCTCCCCTCTCTCTCTCCCTCCCCCTTCTCTCTCCCCTCTCTCTCTGCCTCCCCCTTCTCTCTCCCCTCCCCCTCCCCTTTGGATTTCCCAAGACATTCTAAAACCATTGGAGCATTTTATGCCACATTTTGGAAGCTGAAGAAAGCTGTTTCCTCCAAGGACACTTTGAACATTGTCTGATGAACACGACTCAAAACAACTTCAAACTTGAATTTCTTGGCTAGTTGGAACTGAGTTTCCCCACACTCACACCCACACCCACACCCCTCTTTATAGAAACTGGTTGGAACGACTTGGTTTCTCACAGGCTGTCCAAGCCTCACTCCCCAGTTGGCTCTCATGTTGTACTCATCTTGGGTTGCAACTGACTCGTGACCTCAGTGGTTTCAGAAGCTTCCCTGAGCACTTTGGCCCTGAATGCTCTTACACATTTCAGGTCATTGTGTGCTCTGCTCCACCTCTTGCTCTGTCAGCCCAGTGCCTTGGGGAGGGGGAAAGGAGGGACAAGTACCCAGGCATTGGCCTGCCTTGCGGGTCTGTGCAGGGCAAGAGCCCGTGTCAGGATAAGACTCCCCACATCTTTAGTTGAGTCTAAGCTTTCTCTTCAGCAGCCCAGCGCTGGGCAGTGGGATGACAGCAGGAATTGGCCTTCCCATGATCCTGCCCTGCCCACAGAATGTGCCAACTGTTTCCACAGGGGGTACAGGGTTGTGACTCTCCCCACAGGCACTGAAGAGCAGGGCCGACTTGTTACTCAACACCAAGCCCCAGGCTGGAGTTCACAGCCTCTCCCTGGGCTTCCTGCCTTCACTCTGTCTTCTTGGCAGGCTTCTCCTGCTCTCCAGAGCTTCGGCCTGTGTGCCACCCTCTCTCCTGATTATCCAGTTTGTTTGCTGTCTTGCCAGGCTCCCTCCTTAAATTTCTTGCCAATGGAAGCTCTTTCTCCTTTGTTCCCTGACCCTGCCCCCCTGCCCATTCTCCTCAAAGCCTACTTGCCCCACCAGGCCCCTTTGTGTCTCTGCTCCTCCCACCTCCAGTCTCTCACCCCCTCACCTTCCCAGATCTTGGCCCCACTGGGTCTCCCTGCCAATGCCGGGTTGTGCCCACAGCCTTCCTCGCACTCCTGTCCTGTGCCAGCTGGGAATGACCAACTCTAATGAGCTGATTGGACTGAAAGTGAGTGAATGTCCTCATGCCTCCACTCCTTCCCACCTCAGCAAAGCTTTTCAGAGTCCCATTTCTGATGGAATCTGAATCTAGAAGGATTTAGATCCACGGAAAACTGTTAAACCTCCAGTGTTTGGCTACGTGTGAAGTCTCTGGCAGTCCCTCCCACATCTGATGTTATGAACACTGTTTATAGATGCCTGGAAAGAAGCTTTTAATACTTGTATTGTGTTTTAACTTGCTTTCCTTTGGAGGCAGGGAATTGTCAAGTAAGTATTCACACCGCTCTGGAGACAAACACAGGTGTTTGGTGAACATCCAGTACTAAGTGTTCACGCAGAATCCACAACCGCGAAGGGTCAATACTTAAAATCCGCTGAATTTGCCACAATGCAGGTTTCTTCCCCTTGCTCCTCTCATCTTCAGTTTTGAAGCAATACAGCTGTAAACATATGCTTGCGAAATGAGAAAGAAACATTGAGATTGCTTTACCTTTCGGTTTTTTTCTGAAAATCAAGGTGAAAAAAAAAAGCATCGGATTGCGTCTGTGTATATATATACAATCTCCTGTATATATAAATACACGGTGTTTGTGCTTGTACGCATACTCTATATTCACTGTATAATATATTACATATTATACAACCTGTGTGTCCCCTGAAATCGAGCCCTGTGTTTATCCTCAAATAATGCCTTATGAGCCATGCCATAGTTCCAGTGTCCTCTTGCTCTCCTCATAGCCCCTGGCTTGCTTTTGTCATACACTTAAACGTTCTTAGGTGAAAGAAGAAACCCACGGATTTCATTTGAAAGTCCCACTAAAACAGAAGAAAGAGCAGATGTCCTGGGAAGCGATAATTAATGTGAAGGAAGTGTCTAATTGTGAGAACTGGCATGCCCCCAGTCTCCCGATTTTGCTCAATTTGGTGGCGATGATGTCAGCCGGGGGTGTCGTTTTGCAGAGATGTGCTGTCTACCCATTCTTCAGTGGTGATTATAATACCGTTTGGTCCAATTATCACTTATGATTACATAACGTGTTTTGATTGAAGAGTTTCTGAGAAAATAAAGGTACCCTGTCTTCCCCTGCACACAAAAAGAACCCCCGCAAGCCATTCGAGCAGGCAGGCTGACCTACCAAGAAACACTGGGAATTATTAGGCTAAATTATGAGTTGAACTTGATTTGGAAACAAAGTATCCATTGTACATAACTCCCCACGACATCCAGGAAGATGTCATTGTTTTTCTGACAGCAAGTTTCTCCCCAGCACACTCTAAGCAGAGTCCCCGGGCGCATTCGTAAAGTCACGGAGAGTGTGCGGGAAGCATTGACAAAGCTTCCTTTTCTCTCCCTATTCTGTAGGCGCTTTAGTGCAGAGTTTGCCCAGAGACGCCAGGGTATGAGCTTTCTGAATTTGTAGACTGGTGCACTCTTTCATTTCTGTTTTAGTTCTTTGCTGGCATGCTGGGGAAGCATGGTGTGTGCCACACAGGAATGTCTGTTCACTTGGAAAATGCTTGTGCATGAATGAGGTGGTTGCTAATGCGGCTCTAAACTGTACTAAGTTTCTCACTTGGCTTTGTTTGCTGCTTTCAAGGGGATCAAGGTAATCCTTCTCTTTGCATATCCCGGGAGCAATAACTAATTACTTTGGAACATGCGGTGGGAGCTGGTACAGTTCTTTCTCGACCCATCCATAGAGAAATCTGATTTAAGGAAACCCCACGTCACCAAGAACTGGCGTACTCCTCTAGGATTCCATTAGGGCTTACACATTATAAAATCTCTTCATTAAATTTGGAGGCCCCAGACCCCAAAACGGAGGCGGGAAAAGCAACCTTTGGTGTGGTAGCAGCTGAATGCAGACCCGAGTCCTGAGGCGAGGGCGGAGTGGGAGGCGGGAGTGCTGTCTGTCTCCTGTCCCTCTGCTTCCTGCCTGCCTGTCTGAGAAGTGAGGCCGACCTAGGCACTTGGCCTGTGGTCCTTAGGGCCCTTTCCGCAGCCTGGCTTGTAAGTGCCACTTCACGCCACACCATGGCCATCGACAACTTAATTCTGAACAACATGAGCACATCCCTGTCTGAAAAAGGTCAGCAAGTCCAGGAAATGTGGCCTCCCGCCCCTCATGGTCAGGCTTCTCCTTGGTTTTGAACCAAGCCCCTCTTGTTTCAAGCCCACATGTTCTTCCTGCTCCCCCTGCTCCCAGGAGAAGGTTAAGCAGAGGGAGGAGGGCTGACCCTGACCACGGTGCCTCAAGCGTGGGGAGGCCCAACCCAGTGCCTGTGAATTCAGGCTGGGTCCCGTGGCAGGCGGGGAGTGAGAGAGGAGGGCAGGACTGAACAGATCCAAGTGGAGGGGCCTTTGAGGCGGGAGGAGAGAGGAGGCCGGCACTGGCCTAGACAGGCCACACCGGGAAGGCAGCCTTGCAGCCCTTGTTCAATGCTGTGCTTCCTCTGGCCGCTCTCTCTTCCAGACCACCCGTTAGCCGAGCAGCTCCCCAGCCTGAGAAACTGCAGAAGAACAATATCACCAAAAAAAAGAAACTGGTTGAGGTGAGTTAAACAATCACTTGTAGTCTGATATTGACGTTCTAAGACATACCTGGTAGACATCCCCATCTGCACGTCCCAAAGACACAGTCAAATGAAACGGAGTAGGTCCCTTGGGCTCTCTTTTGTCCCCTCTCCCTCCTACGTAGCACTGTGTCTTCCATCCCAGGGACCAGAGTCGCAGCCACTGTATCGTATTCCTGCTTCCCCCAGCCCTGTCACCAGGTCCTTTCAGTACTAAATCTAAGATGTCCTGTGTCCCTCAAGCCTGGCTCCGTTTCCCTCCACTTGGTCCCACTCAGACCCTCAGCATCCCTTCCATGGAGAAGAAAGGAAAGAGACAGGGGAGCACATATTCACCGTCTCTAATGTTGCCTGAGCCCCGACTGTTTGCCGGGTGCCCTGCTCCATAGCCACGAAGCGTTTCATACAATCTTCACACACAGGAGGGACGCACCATTACTGTTTCCATTTTCCCGACGAGGACGCTGTGGCTGAGGGGAGTTGAGGGAGTTATCAGGTCCCAAGCCCAAGATCACCAAGCCAGTAAGTGGAAAGGGATTTGAACTCAATTGTTGAGACTAGGCTCTCATAAAGTCAGAGGCCTCCTGACTGTTCTGCCTGACTTCAGACTCCACCCTCTCTCTCTGACACATGCCCCAATGCCTCCAGAGTTGGTTTTTTAAAGTATACATCTTCCATGCCTCATGCTGGCCTTCAGACCTGGGAGAGTCCCACATTGCCAATGGGATTCAAGTTCATGGTTTCAAAACCTTACCCAGAGCCACCTTCTAAGCTTACCGCCTATGATTTTTCACCACAGTGCAAATCTCTGGCCCCCCAAACCCACCGCTAGTGTTCTCGGAAGCTGCCTGGGACTTTCAAGCCCCTGTGTTGTCATTCCTTCTGCTTAGAAGGCTCCTCCTGCCAGCTCCCAGTACCCTGGTCTTTCCAAGACCTTCTCCAGTATCTTTTCTGTAGAGTCTTTCCTGATGCTTCTCACCCTAAACCTTCCTGCAGTTCCCTGCCCACACCCCATCCTTCCACCTGCACAGTGATAGGCACAGAGGAGCTGCCTGAGAGGTCTGTGTTGGATTAAGAACTGATCTGAATCAGCCACTGTTCTTTGTCTTAGAAGACAAGACAGGAAGATGAGAAAGACTATAAACCTCAACAGTATCTAGTTTTTGGGGGAAAAAAATGGCAAATATGTAGCAACTTTGTAGAGCAAGCACCAGGCAGCAGAACGAGCATGGCCTTTGACTCTATGTTCTGCTCTACCCACCCTGGTCACATTGATGAGAGTTTATTAGAGCAAACCTCTGAGCCACCATTCAGCTCACCCAGAGTGCCTGCCAAGGCACAGACACAAAACTGCTAGGTACCCTTTACAGGGCATCAAATCTCTGGACTTTGGCACACTGACAGAGCCAGGAAGTAAATCTGGGTTTTTTGGAAAGTCATGGTGATTCTGTGTGTTAGACTGCCACCCCAGCATTTCAGAAAACTAAAGAAGGGGCTGCATTTTCTCCTCAGCCAGTCAAGAAGCAAAATGTTTTCAGTGAGTGTGTGTTGGCGTCACCAGCCATACCGTTCCTGGGACACACGAGGCTGCTCACGCAATGTGGGTGTGTTCCTCGGCTCTCCCTTCCTTCCTCTGAGGGTCACATTGATCTGTGTGTGTGAATGCAGGAGCTGGCTCTAGACCACGTGTTTGGCTACAGAGGTTTCGACTGTCGAAATAACCTGCATTACCTTAATGATGGCGCTGACATCATCTTCCACACAGCAGCGGCTGGCATCGTTCAGAACCTCTCCACAGGTAACCGGGGGTTAAAAAATACAGGTTTTTCTTTTAGCTGTTTTTTACATGCTTTCCCCACTCTTTAGATGCCCAAAAGCTTAAGCATTTTCCTTCCCTTATAGAGCCATTCCCCCCAATTCCAGCATGGTCTCAGTTAGGCCTGGTAACGCTCAGGTTCAGTTACCAGAGTCAGAGCCTTCTCTCTTTCTGACCTGAGCTTGACCTCACCTCATCATAGGCCCTAGAGAGAAGGCGGCCATGTTGACACCAGCCTCTGTAACCGACAGCCATGGAGAAAAGCAAGAGACAGGGTGTAAGGAGTGGAGAAATTCCTTGGAGACCATAACCATGAAGAAATCACAGAACTTTGCCTATTCATTTTTACAATGAGCTATTTTTTAACAGCTCAGATTTTTCAAGTTGTATTTTGACAGTTTAGCCACATTTATAATGAGAATGAAAACAATTAAACAATAAACAAAAATACCAGGCCCGGCAAGGTGGCTCATGCCTGTAATCCCAGCACTTTGAGAGGCTGAGGTGGGCGGATCACCTGAGGTCAGGAGTTCGAGACCAGCCCGGTCAACATAGAGAAACCCCATCTCTACTAAAAATACAAAAATTAGCCAGGCATGGTGGCAGGTGCCTGTAGTCCCAGCTACTCAGGAAGCTGAGGCAGGAGAACCCAGTTTGAGGTTGCTTGAACCTGGGAGGTGGAGGTTGCAGTGAGCCAAGATCGCGCCATTGCACTCCAGCCTGAGCAACAGAGGGAGACTCTTATTTCAAAAAGAAAAAAAAAAATACTCAAACCACATGGTGACTCAAATTTTAAAAATGAACATTTCAAACAAAAAGAACCATTCAGAAATTAACAGAAAACTATATCATTACCACCAGATTTAAACAGGTTCACATTTTGCCTTATTTGCTCATGCCTCAAGAAAAAAAAAAAAACACCTTTCATTTTAAATTTTTGTTCTTTGTCAATTCTGTGTAGTTGTTCATACATAGATTTAAACAGTGAAATCACTGGGCACATGTTGATTTGTGTGTATCTGAGGGGGAGGAGGACCTTGACATTGTCTATATATTTTCTTCACTTTCTAGCCTTGCCATCATATTGGTAGCAGTACACACCTTCCTTGTGTATCTACACCATCATTCATCTTTAGGTTCTTGAGCATTTGGGTGGGTTTAAAGTGGCTATTATGGAAGTCAGCAAACCCATTTGCTTTGATAGATGGTAAAGTGCTCTTTCTTCCACTTCCTGTGACATATGTCGAGTTAGGGCTTTCCAGGGTAAAGCCATCACCTGTGCTGTCCAGGCCCCCAAGTGGATTGGCATTTGGTGAGCAAAGGTGATTAGTCCCTGAGAATTTCATATTCCACATGAAGAAGTGGTACCATTTTGCTCAGTAAAGCATCATCTCCAGGCCTCCACCCCTACTTCTGCCCAGATGTGGACACTGAGAAGCACCAGTCCTGTGCCATGGAGTGGAGGAGACTTTGACCTTCATCATTGTGGACTCTGGAAACCCCTGTACTTGAACTGTGCTCTGGACCCACACAGAGTTGTGGGAAGTATCGAAGAGCAGCTTGAGTGTATCAGATAACAGACAGTAGCTCCCCTTCTCCCAGACCCAAAACAGAATATGAACATTCCAAAAAAACGACCCTTCATCTCCCCAAGTGTGATTCTGGAAGTGAGAATTTGAGGGCTGTAAGCTCTCACTTTTATAAGAAGTATCCAATGGCTCCACGCGATGTTTTGAAGTTGCCCTAAAAGGTCTTTAGGTTCCACTGTTCACCCTCCCATGATCTCTCTCCCCCAGGGAGCCAGAGCTTCTATCTGGAGCACACAGATGACATCCTCTGTCTCACAGTGAACCAGCACCCCAAGTACAGAAACGTGGTGGCCACCAGCCAGATAGGTAGGAGGTCCTGTGGCAGCTGAGGCTCTCCCAGCTTGCAGGGACGCTGACCTGTCAGCAATTATTGGGAGAGGGAGTGGGTGGGTTGCTTACATCCATCCCTTCTTGTTGATGTTGCTGTTGATTTTTTGAGTCCTGAGTGTATCTGTGTCACCTGCGTTGACACATCCAGTGACTGTGATTCTGAGGGACCATAAAGTCTGACCAGCGCCTGAGAGTCCAAATAAACGTTGGCCCCCATCCCTGTGGACTTGTAAGAATAGTTTTTCAGACCCCAAGTGTCAAGAACTCCGTGTCTTTTGAAGCTGGTTATTGTGCTTGGCCAGGGTAGGTTTCAGTAAGTGTGCCTGGACCCCCTGTGCCCTGGGAAACTGCCGGTGACAAATGTGAACTGATTCACATTTATGAGAAGTTTGTTTTCACTTAGTCATCTCGAGCAATTTTTACAACTTCCTGCTTGTTTTCATTGAATCATGTCCATTTTTAAGTTTAATTTGGAACTTTCTGATGCTGGTGTTGAGTGCTTCACTGTTGGAAACGTGACTTATTTTAGCTATTGTTTTCCCTTGACGCTTCCTCATTGCCATTGCTCACCCAATGCAGGTGATATTACGGAAACCCCAGGTAAGGCTGTTCCATCCGTGAGTAGTTTGAATCTGCAGAGCAAAATCATGTCATTCTATCATGTTTGCTGATTGTATCTTGCCGAATTGCAGATACAAATCATTGACCTCACCAGTTTCCTTCGTATAAAATCCTCTGCAAGTGTGTGTGTGTTGAACATAAATGTCCGTAGGGCTCTGCCTTTAAAAGCAAATTTCCTCTAGTCTTTCTCCTCTGGCCAGGTCAGGCTATAGGTCTCTTATGCCCAATGACTGTAACAGCCCTAAACATTTGTCTTAAAAAAGGCTTTTGCAGGCCGGGCGGCAGTGGCTCACATTTGTAATCCCAGCACTTTGGGAGGCGGGCGGATCACCTGAGGTCAGGAGTTTGAGACCAGCCTGGCCAACATGGTGAAATGCTGTCTCTGCTGAAAATACAAAAATTAGCTGGGTGTGGTGGTGCGTGCCTGTAATCCCAGCTACTCGGGAGGCTGAGGCACGAGGATCGTGTGAACCCAGGACGTGGAGGTTGCGGTGAGCTGAGCTGGTGCCACTGCACTCTGGCCTGGGCAACAGAGCAAGACTCTGTCTAAAAAAAAAAAAAAAAAGGCTTTTACATGAACATAAGCATCGCCTTGGCTCTGCCATTTGTCAGCCTTACTTCTTTGTCATGCCTCTCCACACTCAGGGACAACACCTTCCATCCACATATGGGACGCCATGACCAAACACACCCTCTCCATGCTGCGGTGCTTCCACTCCAAGGGGGTGAATTACATCAACTTCAGTGCAACTGGAAAGCTCCTGGTGTCGGTGGGAGTGGACCCTGAGCACACCATCACTGTCTGGCGATGGCAGGAAGGTAAACCAGCACTGGGCTTTCTGTCCCTCCAGGGTGTCTGCCTGTGGGTGTCGAGCCTGTGGGCTCGAACCCAGATCTGCCTCACTCCGAAGCCTGCCGTAGGCACTGACTGCTGCTGGGCAAGTGGAAAACAGGGCACTGGGGATCCTGGTATAGCTGCCCCACTGATGCCAGTGCATCCCAGGGTCCCAGGGCCAGGAGGAGGCTGGCCAGGGACTCCAGGGCCCATTAGTGAAGGGGCTCTGAGGAGGTTCCCCGATGTTGGCAGCCCTCCTCCTCGGAAGGCAGCAGCCTCCCCGACATCTGTCTTAGCCACCTTCCTACCCAAGGGTCCTTGTCTTCCGTGCTCTTTCTGATGGCCCCTGGATCCTACTACAGCCCTATCACTTTGTCTGCTTTATTTTAGGAAATGGGATCATGTTTTATCATAGTCTCAGAAACATTTAAATTTTTTTTTTAACATTTTAACACTTTTGAAATAGGGATTTATCTTACAATCCAGGTTTACATTTACTGTAACAGGATTTCTTTCTAGTCCTCCCCCAATACATGCACACACACCTCACACACATGCACACACACAAGCTGCAACTGAATGTGTGGTCATCTTAGAACTAAAGATGTGCAGTCCTCCTCATATATTCTCAGGTTGGGTACTGCCCTGGCAAGAGCAGATCCAATTAGTCAGAACATTAATGAGGTCTGTCTGCAGCTAGGCAGCCTGTATCTGGGACACGCTCTACCAGGCAAGCGCAGAGGTGTCACTTCTCCCATCCAGGGCTCTGGAGTCCCATTATCTCTGCATCTTCCCATGGAGGGGGTGGTGCGTGGAGGTTGTAAAGAGATCAGCACACTGGGGGAAAGTTCCAGTCACTCCTGAGCACCCCCATATGAGGAAAAGAGCCTGACAGCTTGCAGACATTTGTAATGATACCATATTCCTTCAGAAGGTGACATGATCTATAATGTTTCTAGGAAACCACATGTTCTCATTCTCTGGTTCACCAGTATATCTCACCCAGATGGCTGCACAGTCAGTATCCCAGGGGTGCAGATTCATTCCTTGTGATGTCAAGTGGCCAACTGATTGACCAGACTCAGCCCAGAGAAATTGAGCATCTTAAATGATAGACAGAGAGCATCTTGGAGTGGGAAGAACTAGAGAAGACTTCCTGCAGTTAGGACCCATCCTAAGGAGAAATTCCTTCAAATGCACCCCTTTGTCCTTTCAAGGGGTGTGGCTTTCAAGGACCCCTTGAATACTTTCAAGGATGTGGCTCTCCTCACTTCACAAGGCAGCCCACACGCTGTCAGAAAGCTCTTGCGTAAAGCCCCTTCTTATGTGGGGACAGAAATTGCTTCATTATATGTTTCTTCTGTGCTGCTAACTGTTCCTAGATCCTTGGAAGAAAGCTCTCACACTGGCCCCACTGCACGGCCTTGTCTTTTTAGGTTCAGGCTCACTGTCTTCACTCCCTCTACCTGTCCTCCAAGCAGTGCCTGCTTTGGCCTGCCCTAGCACAGACTCTTGCTCACCCAGGGTCCCTTCTGACCTCCCAGGGGAAGGTTAGAGGAGCCAGGGCTTTTAAACAAGCTCCCGAGGAAAAGAGGAGCCTGCTCTTGTTTGTACAGAGGGTTGTGAGCCAGTGCTGATATGTGACCTATCGCTAGCCACCACCTCTTCCGGGTTGACCACGGACATGTCATTTCTCCTCCCTTCCTTCTCCAGTGTGGGTTTGCCTTCATTTCAAGTCTTACTTACAGATAAATAGCATGTGTTTGGGGAGGTTTACATACATTTTATGTATCACTAGAGAGCCTATTATTCATTCTTCATTTATTAGAGGATTGTTTTGGGGAACGTGTGTGTGTGTGTGTGTAGGTAAAAATAAAATAGACCTAAAAATGAGCTTATTACATAAAATCCATGTCGTCAGGTCCTAGGTATATGTGTAATTTGCTCTGAGCAGACTAGAAGCCAATGCAGAGAGGGATACAGGTGTCTCCACAATTAGAAGCGTCCATGAAATTAAAACAAGGAAAATATAAACAGTGGCTTTGAAAAAATGTGCAACTCATTGTTTGTTTGCACTTCTCCCATGACTGGTGAGCTGGAATCTCTTTCCTTTGTTTGCACTTCTCCCATGACTGGTGAGCTGGAATCTCTTTCCATCTCATTGGCCACTTGTATTGGCTGCTTTTGTAATCTACCTGTTCAAATCCTTTTACTACTTGGAGTGGGAGGGTTGTCTTTTACTTATAATTTGTAGTTCCTTATAGATCTCTAATGTTAATCCTCTGAATCTTATAAGCATTGCAAGTGCTTTCTTCCCGTATGTTGTGTTACTTTGTTTATGGTATCCTTGGAGACTGTGGGTCTTAAAACCTCTGAGCCCTAAGTAGAGAGAGATCTGCTACAGTAAGTCAGAGATTCCATATGCAGAGAGAATTACAGCTGGGAGAAGTTCTCTGTGGGTCCCCCTAGCCTCGCCTGGAAAGAGATTCTGTTAGGGAGTATCAGAGGGGTGGCCACAGGCCCAGCTACATCAAAACCCACCACCATCATGGTACTAGAAAGCTGTCATAAAAACAAATGCGAAGTGATGAGAACGAAGAAGAAAAAAATAGGTGTGTGAATAATCAAGGGAGGGGTGACAAGAAATCGGAACAAAAACATTCAGAGTAAGTTAAAGGGTAACAGGTTTAAAACAAAAATTTAAAACTCGAGAGCTTAAAAATAATGAGATTAAAAAAGAGGTGAGTTTAAAATACAGGCTAAAAGAATAGAAGCCAAGAAATTTTAAAAGTAGCTAAAGGAGTGATGATAATACTATTACTACTACTACTAATACTGGCTAACACATGATCACTCAGAGTATCAAGCACTGTGCTCAGGGCTTCACTTACTTCAATTCTTTTTATCTGCACTGCACCTTCTGAAATAGGAACAATTATTAGCCCCATCTTACAGGTAAGGAAACTAAAGCACAGAGAGCTTAAATAATTTGTCTAAAGTTGTTCTACAAGTAAATGGTAGAGTTGGAATTTTATTAAGACAAAGGTTAAATAAAACTCAGGAGACATAAATAAATGGGGTTAAGGAAAAATAGTACTTAAAAGGTAAAAAAATTTAAACCTAAACACCACAAACTAAAAAGGAAAACGGGGAACTTAAAGAAAATGCAGGAGAATCTTAGGAAAAAAAAAAAAAAAAAAGCTCTCTAGAGGAATGTGAGTCCCAGTGGCCCTCTGGGAGCGGCTCTGTCATCCTGTGGGGGGACGACTCCTGTGGTGATGCTGGGGACTTGATGGAAGGGGGATGGGGGATATCTTTAAGCCACTTTGCTGCCTTCTCATATCTGGAAGCTTCCATCTCACAGGCCATCCTTTCTTGCTACGTTCATGAATGCCTGGGTTGGGGGATCTGTTACCAGCACCTGCTGCTCTGGAAACTTGCCAGACACACTTTCCCCGCTGCCACCTGGGGAATAGTGTCTGAAGGGGAGAGAGTGCTGTAAAGAAGAACTGAGGCATGGCTTACGCCTGCTGGGGTGGAGACCTCCTGGGCTGCGGCTCCCCCGGCCTGGCCCATGAAGCAATGAGGAGCCTCACTGGACTCTGTCACCCACACAGGTGCCAAGGTTGCCAGCCGAGGGGGTCACCTGGAGCGCATATTTGTGGTGGAATTTCGCCCCGACTCAGACACGCAGTTTGTATCTGTCGGGGTCAAACATATGAAGTTCTGGACCCTGGCAGGCAGCGCCTTGCTTTACAAGAAAGGGGTCATCGGGTCCCTGGGAGCTGCCAAAATGCAGACGATGCTCTCCGTGGCCTTCGGTGCTGTGAGTTCTAGCAGATACTCCCTGAGAAGGGGACCCAGACCCCCTGGGCATGGGCATGGGCATGGGCAGGAGGGGAGTTTGGCCAAGAGGCTGAAAACAGCAGGAAAGCCATTTCCACATTCGCTCCTGTACTGGCTTATCTGCAACCACTGTTCCTTTTCTGTAGCACATATGGGTGGGTTGGCAACATACATATATATATTATTTTTCTGAGACAGAGTCTTGCTCTGTCACCTAGGCTGGAGTGCAGTGGCGCAATCTCGGCTCACTGCAACCTCCACCTCCCAGGCTCAAGCGATTCTCCTGCCTCAGCCTCCCAAGTAGCTGGGACTATAGGCACCTGCCACCACGCCTGGCTAATTTTTGTATTTTTAGTAGAAACAGGGTTTCACCATGTTGACCAGGCTGGTCTTGAACTCCTGACCTCAGGTGATCCGCCTGCCTCAGCCTCCCAAAGTACTAGGATTACAGGTGTGAGCCACCTCGCCTGGCCAATATTTTTTTTTTCTTAAAATATTAACCAGAAAAGGTAGGACACCCACCCAGGACAGGAGGTTTGTTGTTCTAAAGGCAACCCTGAGTTGCAAGCCCCAGAGGATATTGGGAACAATTTCCACTGTAGATAATGATCCTTTTTCTTACCAGCCCTCTTGTGCCACAGATGCCCCCAATTACCACCCTTAAGTGGGCTATGGGGTGCCCTCAGCCAATGCAAGCTCCAACTTCGTGGTCCTCCAGGAGTGGGTTTCTCCCTCTTGTAGAGGAGCCCTAGGAAAGTGTCCTTTGGCCTGGAGTCTGCCCCATCCCTGCTGTCACTTGGGCCATGCTTACAGAAGGGAAGTCCTTGCTAATGCACAGCTGTGCTCAGAGGGGAAGTCAGATGCCCAAGCCAGTTAAATATAGTGAATTTCCAAGCCAGGTGACTGCCTTGTGATGTGCTCTCGGTGATTTCTTTGCAAATTCTGCTGCTTTCCTTAGCACAAAGAGATCAAACTGCCTAGGCTGTCTGCATCTCTAGCTCTGGTTCCTTAATGAGAGAACGGGTGGCTGGGGAGGGACCCGCTTGAGTGTGTTCCGGGTGTAGAAGATGTTGTTTTGTTTACAGAACAATCTCACTTTCACGGGTGCCATCAATGGAGATGTCTACGTCTGGAAGGACCACTTCCTCATCCGGCTGGTGGCCAAGGCTCACACAGGCCCCGTGTTCACAATGTACACAACCCTTCGGGATGGACTCATAGTGACCGGCGGAAAAGAGAGGCCGTAAGCCAAAGCTCCTATGGAAACAACTTGTCGTTTGTTGTTATCTTGGGAGAAACTGACAAAAGTGTTCCCAACTTGGAGAAAATGCAGACTGTCATCCTCCTATCTTTTTTGCATTAGGAAGATCAGTCTGCTCTCTCTCCAAGAGGGCCCTAAGTCAAGATCCTCACAAGGAAGAGAGGAGTGCAGAGGTGGTTTGATGATAGTTTAAAAACCTGAGAGAGGCATGGTGGTTCACGCCTGTAATCTCAGCACTTTGGGAGGCCAAGGTGGGCAGATCACCTGAGGTCAGGAGTTCAAAACCAGCCTGGTCAACATGGTGAAACCCTGACTCTACTGAAAATACAAAATTTGGCCGGGCATGGTGGTGGGCGCCTGTAATACCAACTACTAGGGAGGCTGAGGCAGGAGAATGGCTGGAACCCAGGAAGCGGAGGTTGCAGTGAGCCGAGATCATGTCATTGCACTCCAGCCTGGGCGACAAGAGTGAAACTCCATCTCAAAATAAATTAATAAATTAAAAGAAAATCTTGAGAGGTATTCTTGAACAAACCACAGTGACTTTGCTGTTGATAAAACGTTATTCTTAGTAGCTCTGTGGAGGAATGGAGGAAGGAGGAGAAGAGGGGAGATGCAGAAGCAAAGCCTGAAGACAGGAGAAACATTTCTGTGTTCTAATCTAATAAAAAGTCTGAATTTCCAAATTACGTTTTCTTTCCTCCCAAGATAGTAGCATTTGAAGGCATTTTAGGAAATCTGCAAGCTCAGGAGGTTGGGATTGCTTAGCACCAGGGCCTAAGAGAGAGGCTGCCTGGAGGGTCTGGACCCTGGAGGGTCTTTCCTTCTGGGCCCCAACTGGCCAGAACCCTGATGACTGGGAAAGAGGGGAGAGGGCCGGAGGGGGTAGTGGGTCTTAGGATGAGGGTTAACAGCCTGAGTCCCTTTCAATCTTTTTTAGGACCAAAGAAGGAGGTGCTGTAAAATTGTGGGACCAGGAGATGAAGCGCTGCCGGGCCTTTCAGCTGGAGACCGGGCAGCTGGTGGAGTGTGTGCGCTCCGTGTGCCGTGGAAAAGTGAGCACAGCCAGCTCCCCTGGGGGCTGGGCCAGGGAAGGGGGAAGTGTAGGTACCCTCCCAGCCGGCACTTTCTCTGGGCTGGTTTGTTTACTCCTTGAAACAAGGCCTCAATACATGAATTGTGCTGTAGTGGGAAGCAGCTTAAGAGAGTCAGACTCCCCCAGGAAGAACCAGCTGGGTGACCTTGGGTGTGTTCCTTAATGTTTTTGTGTCCAGCACACAGGTTTGTCATGAGGTTTTTGTGAGGGTCACATATTTATACATGACAGTGCCTTTCATCTTACCTGGCATATAGTCCCATTCAGGAGATGTTAGCTACTAGTATTATAGATGATATCCTCATAAGCTCAGAGATACTAAATAGTTTGCCCATGCCCTAAGCTATAGGGCCAGTAAGGAGGAGGGTAAGGGCCACCAAACTGTCTGACTCAAAGCCATTGGTTTCCAACTCATATTTGGGTAGCGTATCAAAAACAACTGTCGGGTTTTAAAGAATATGGATGTCCGGGCACCCACCTGGAGCTGGTGAATCAGAATCTCAGGAGTGGGACCTGGACCTGTATGTTTCCTTCTATTTCCTTCTATTTAAATTCCCCCAGGAGATTTGATGCACTTAAAAGCCAATCTCCAAACTTCTATTGAATACCTTGTGTTTGTTTTTAAATATCAGTCTAAGAATTTGCTTTCTAGATGCTGTCCATGAAAAAGGCAAACTGGATATGGAGTACCACATGATTCAAAACTGGGGATTTTGTTCTTAAATAGCTAAGTGATGCCCACCTGGAAGGGTAGTTATGGGAGATGAAGGCAGGACTATGCCTGGAGCCTGGAAGTTATCAGGAAGTAGTTTTTTTTTTTTTTTTTTTGAGACGGAGTCTTGCTCTGTTGCCCAGGGGGAGTACTGTGGCATGATCTCAACTCACTGCAACCTATACCTCTTGGGTTCGAGCGATTCTCCTGCCTCAGCCTCCCAAGTAGCTGGGATTACAGGTGCCCACCACCATGCCCAGCTAATTTTTTGTATTTTTAGTAGAGATGGGGTTTTCCCATGTTGGCCAGGCTGTTCTCAAAACTCCTGACCTCAGGTGATCCACCCACCACGGCCTCCCAAAGTGCTGGGATTACAGGCGTGAGCCATCACACCTGGCCAGGAAGCAGATTTTTGTTCAGTGGAAGGAAGAACTTACTAAGAGCTTGAGCTGTCCAAGAACAGGAGAATTGGCTGCTTTGCTCTGCAGTCACTGGAATATTCTGGCAGAGGCTGGGTGATGGAGGAGTCTGTGCTGAAGCTCTCACCTGAGGTAGCTGATGGAGAAAGGGCAAAGTAAGAGGGTGGAGAAGAGCAATTAAGAATGGACAGTTTGTTGTTAAAAACAAAACACTGGCCAGGCATGGTGGCTCACACCTGTAATCCCAGCACTCTGGGAGGCCAAGAGGCAGGCACATCACTTGAGGTCAGGAGTTCGAGACCACCTGGCCAATATGGTAAAACCCCATCTCTACTAAAAATACAAAAATTAGCCAGATGTGGTGGCGGGCACCTGTAGTCCTAGCTACTGGGGAGGCTGAGGCAGGAGAATCGCTTGAACCCAGGAGGCAGAGGTTGCAGTGAGCCAAGATGTCACCACTGCACTCCAGCCTGGGTGACAGAGTGAGACCCTGCCTCAAAAAACAAACAAAAACAACACTTCTCACCCCTTCTTATTTTAATATTAACACTGCAAAGGCATTTTCTCAAGTTACTTGTTTTTTTTTTTTTTTTAAAGACAGGGTCTCACTGTGTCACCCAGGCTGGAGTGCAGTGGTACCATCATCATAGCTCACTGCAACCTCAAATTCCTGGGCTCAAGCAATCCCCAAGTTTTTCTAATAATAGTGGTGTTTTAAATTTTTTTAACTGTGGCCAAATAGACATAAAATTGACCATTTTGACCATTTGTAAATATACAATTCAGTGGCATTAGGTGCATTCACATGTTGTGCAGCCATCACCACCATCCACAGAACTTTTCTTGCAAAACTGTAACTGTACCCACTGAACACTGACTCCCCTGTCCACCACCCCCATTCACCGGCAGTCATCATTCTACTTTCTGTCTCCATGAATTTGTCTACTCTAGATACCTCATATGAGTGCAGTCATACAGTATTTGTCCTTTTTCTAATAGTGTTTCAATTACAACAGGGAAAAATCTTAGTGGGAACCAAAGACGGAGAAATAATTGAAGTTGGTGAAAAAAATGCTGCTTCTAACATCCTGATTGATGGTCACATGGAAGGGGAGATCTGGGGCCTGGCCACTCACCCTTCCAAGGACCTCTTCATCTCTGCCAGCAACGATGGCACAGCCCGGATCTGGGACCTGGCTGACAAGGTGAGGCCGACTCTGCCCAAACTCAGATGCCCACGAGTGGGCTGCGCGGCAGTGGGAGCTGAGCGAGGAGAGGCCCAGCCAGCGTCATGGCAGAGACGGGGATGGGGCCAGGTAGGAGATCGAGTTAGAAAACCTAACGATAAAAGAAGCCCCACTCACCACACCCCGTCTAAACAATATAATTGAGAAGGATTATTCTGTTGTCATGAAAGAACCCACAAAACTAAAAATATAGAGACAAATCATGTTTTCCCTGGATGAGAAGACTAAAAATGATTTAAAATGTGAAATGTTCTGAAATGGGCCTAATGTATTTCTGTCAAAATCCCAACAAGGTTTCTCTTAGAGCTTGGGAAGGCAATGTTAAAGTTCATCTGGAGTAAAACTGTGAAATAGCAAGGAGTGGCTGGGCGGAGCGGGGTGGGTGGGAGGGAACAAAGAGTTCTTGCCGATCCTCATGGCCTTATCCAGTGTTAAAACAAGTACTCAAGTTCAACTAATTAAAATACTTGGTTTCATTTTAAAATGGCTGGTAAGTGTTTGTTGTATTTTTAGTGTCAGAGTCACAGAATAGTCAGGTAAAAGCTTGAGTATGGTTGCTAGACTTTTAAGTTAGTTTCTGTAATTATTTATTAAACATTATTAGCAACAGCTGTCACTACTTGACTAACTACATAACACCAGCTGCTTCATGGACATGATCAGTGCCTACAATAACCTTGCAAAACCCTTATTAACATCGCTATTAGTAAAACTCTAAAAACTGAGATGTAATTTACCCAAACACACCCAGCTAGTAAGTGACAGGGCCAGGATTCAGAATTTGAACTAGCAGAGGCAGAAGCTCACACTCTTTCCCCTAAAGAAGAGGTTGGCAATCTACAGTTAAAGGCCAGATCGGGCCTGTGGCCTGTTTCTACAAGTCCAGCTGCCCTCATTTATTCAGGTACTGAGGCTGTCTTGTGCTACAGTGGCAAAGGTGAGTAGTTGCGACAGAGACTATGGCCCACAGAGTCTAAAGTGGGTGCTACCTAATCATTTACAGAAAAAGCTGGGCAGCCTGTGCCCTAAAACTTGTTGTCCCCCAAGCTGCTCTAATCAAGACATACAGCTCTGCTCAGTTATTCAGGGACATTTACTCTAAGAAGCAAGAGATTTGGTGGCCTGCAGTGGCTGCGAGGGCAGCCTGACTTCTCTGGCCTGGTGCAGAATGTCTCCTGGAGACCAGCTGAGGGGGCCAAGAGCTCAGGTGACTTTCCTTTGCATCAATGTAGAAGCTGTTAAACAAGGTGAGCTTGGGCCATGCGGCCAGGTGTGCAGCCTACAGCCCTGATGGGGAGATGGTGGCCATTGGCATGAAGAATGGAGAGTTTGTCATCTTGTTGGTGAACAGCCTGAAAGTTTGGGGGAAAAAACGAGACCGGAAATCTGCTATCCAAGATATCAGGTACCTAAGTGGGTGGTCTGGGCATGGAGGAGAAAGGCAAGCATTCTGCTTACCAGTGGTTCCCATTCCAGCCACGGCTGGAATAAAGAACTCAGTTGTGAGAGGGTCACTTTCAACAAGCCACCTATGAAAGAATACCTTCTCCCACTCTCACTCTTAGACAAGTCTTTGCTAATTTCCATAAAAGTGTGGTTAAAATTACTTGTAAATGTCATTCTACATATTTCCCGGGGATTCGATCCAGATAAATTGTTGAATTCCGTAGAATGCCAGGAGAGGCTGACCACATGTGAGTCACAAGGTGGCTCTCATTGCCTTTAGGCCTGGAAGGCCTGTCACAGACCAGCCTTCGTGCCTGACCAGCCCCAAACAGCCCTCCTCATGGACTCTGCTCTCGGATTGCTTTTTCTAGAATCAGCCCAGACAACCGATTCTTAGCCGTTGGTTCTTCTGAACACACAGTTGACTTCTATGACCTCACTCAGGGCACAAATCTGAACCGCATTGGCTACTGCAAAGATATCCCAAGCTTTGTCATTCAGATGGATTTTTCTGCGGATGGCAAATACATTCAGGTATGCTTGGGGTTTACTTATATCTGGGGCAACCAATAATAACAGCAGTAATAACAATGGCCTATATTAATCGAGTCCTTACTGTGTACCAGGCAATGTGCTAACTCACTCTTCACCAGAACTCCTTAAGTAGTTACTTTTTCCATATTTTATAAATGTAGAAACAGAGGCTTAGAGAATTTAAGAACGTGGAGGAAATAGAATTTAAAATAATAAAGAGTAAGAAAAACAGGAAACACAAGCCCTAATCATCTTTAATCTGCCCCTCACCACCTCCTCTTCAGAGTTTCCTGATTTCTAGTTTTCTGGGGCTACACCTAAGCCTTGTGCCGCTTCTGGTATTTATTCATGTCTTTCCCAACTCTACTGGGTAGAATGGCCCCTCCATACGTGGGCCCTGGACTCCAGCCAGTGGGCCTGGAGTGAAAGCTCATCCCTGGGTCCCAGGGGAACTGACCGGTGGAAGGGAGGGAGAGGGTTCCACTGCTGGGACTGATCCCTAAAAACAGAATGATTTCTCTAGCACTCAAGAAATCTGCGTTTGTGAGCTGGCCTGGAGCTGGATATTCACTGTAAAAGGAGAGAGGATGTATTTATTCATTCAACTATTTGCTGAACCGGGCACTATGCTAGACTTTTAGATGGACAAAATGAGACTGGTCCCGTAACCACCCAAGGGGTTCACCTTGCCGGCTGCCTAGACAGAGCCCATTTCTCAAGACAGGGGAATTGCAATAGAGAAAGAGTAATTCACGCAGAGCTGGCTGTGCGGGAGACCGGAGTTTTATTATTACTCAAATTGGTCTCCCTGAGCATTCCGGAAGCAGAGTTGTTAAGGATAATTTGGTGGGTGGGGGGAAGCCAGTGAACCAGGAGTGCTAATTGGTCAGAGATGAAATCATAGGGAGTTGAAGCTGTCTTCCTGCACTAAGTCACTTCCTGGGTGGGGGCCACAAGATCAGATGAGCCAGTGTATTGATCTGGGTGGGGCCAGCTGATCCATCAAGTGCACGGTCTGCAAAATATCTCAAGCGCTGAATTTAGGAGCAGTTTGAGGGTCAGAATCTTGTAGCCTCCAGCTACATGACTCCTAAACCATAATTTCTAATCTTTTGGCTAATGTTAATCCTACAAAGGCAATCTGGTCCCCAGGCAAGAAGGAGGTCTGCTTTGGGAAAGGGCTGCTACCATCTTTGTTTAAACCATAAACTATAAACTTTCTCCCAAAGTTAGTTCAGCCTACATCCAGGAATGAACAAGGACAGCATGGAGGTTAGAAACAAGATGGAGCCAGTTAAGTTAGATCTCTTTCACTGTCTCAATCATAATTTTGCAAAGGCAGTTTCAGTCCCTGCTTCCTGGAGCTTGCTCTATAACAGAGAAGACAAGCACTAAACAGACAATCACAAAATATAAATATAATTACAAATTGTGATTATGTGCCAAGAAGGAAAAGTACAGCATTCCGGGGAGCATGTAACAAGGTGCTGAATTTAGATGCACTTCCTCTCAGCAAGTGATATTTAAGCTGAGGTCTGCAGGGTGTGTAGGTGTTAGCCAACAGAGAGGTGGGAACATTGTTCCAGGCCATCTGCATGAAAGCCCTGAGGCAGGAAAGAGCTCAGCTTCCCAGCTCATTCCAGGAGAAGCACTGCAGGGAGAGAGGAAGCTGAACAGGAAGGGCAGCAGCCATTCACTGCAAATGTCTTGATGGTAGGAAAAATGGTCTGTTTCCTTTAGAAGACTCCCAGAGCACCGAGGTTCAGGTTCTAGACACCTCAGAGATCATCTGTGTCACCCACTGTCCATGAGAAACCTGCCTTACCTCTGTACCAAAGGTTCTTGGTTTCCTGTGAACTGGGATTCCTGTGTATCAGAAACACCTGGCGGCTTTGTTACAGCAGAGACTGCTGGGCCCCACCCTTTCGGTGTCTGTCTGGGTAGGTTTGGGGTGGGGCCCAAAAATTTGCATTTCTAACACATTTCTAGATGCAGCTGACGTTGCTGGTCGGGAACCACACTCAGAGAACCGCTATCTTAGGACTCTGGAAAATAGCGAGAAAATGGATGAGAAGAAAGATGGGAAAATGGCCTGCTGTTGTTGTCATGGGCTGGCCATAGGCTTTGCAGCCTGGAGCTGAGCTTGGGTTTGGAGAAAAGCCCTAGGGATGCAGAGGCTGGGCAGTGTTCTGGGAAACTGTGCCCAAAGGGAGTCTGTGGGACTGAGAAAGAACGTTGATGAACATGGCTTCCCTTCTACCTACAGGTGTCAACAGGTGCCTATAAGCGCCAGGTGCATGAGGTCCCCCTGGGGAAGCAGGTAACTGAAGCCGTGGTCATTGAGAAGATCACCTGGGCCTCCTGGACAAGGTGACTGACTGGAAGAAAAAACTTGAGGAAAAGGTCACAAGGGAGTCTCTTGTCTCACTCAGGCTCAGCCTCCAAGTCTGTGCAGGATCTGAAGAAGCTGAGAAATGGAGCTGTCTTTTCTTTTGGGGGTGAGGGTGGGAGGCTTCTTGGCTAGTCTAGTTTAGGTCACTGGCTTTGATCTGACCTAGGTTTTTGAAATGCGAAGCCCCTCTTTTTGTGTAATTTCTTCTACAAGTCTCCAACCCCTTCCAGCAAGTTCAACAGGAAACCATCTCCCGTCTCTTGGCCAATCCTAGTGCACAGTGAGGCCTCCATTCGCTAGGGGAAGGGAGTGGGAGGGCCAGACCCCGGCTTAGCAGGATGAGAAACAATGGCTAATTCATGGGAAAAGAGACCATTTAGTCTGTGAGTTGAAAGGAACCCCTGCTGTTCTCCCCAACACACACATATTCAAGAGGACCACAGGGAACAGGGAGAGAATCAAAGATGGGGGTAACTTGTGTTTTTGGAGTGTAGGGAACTGAGGCAGAGGGGGAACAGTAAGAGCTGGCACAAATGTACAGAGGGGAAGGGGACAGATGCTTTCATGCCAGGAGAGCCACATGGCTGTACTGAATTACATAAAACAGCACCAGGGACCAATTTCATGGAATACAATTTTTCCAGAGACCAGGTAGGGGGTGGGGTTTCGGGATGAAACTGTTCCACCTCATAAGGAGCTTGCAACCTAGATCCCTCGCATGCTTAGTTCACAATAGGGTTCGCACTCCTATGAGACTCTAATGCTGCGGCAGATCTGACAGGAGGCGGAGTTCAGGTGGTAATGCTCCGCCACCACTGCTCACCTCCTGCCCTGCGGTCGGTTCCTAACAGGCCATGGACCAGTACCGTTCCGTGGCCTGGCTGTTGGGGACCCCTGATGTTAAACATCCCTCTCTTCCTTATCCCTGGGAGGTGATGACTGACTGCAAGGAGCCTTCGCCGTGACTTCCTTCTATCCTAACCCCTCTTTCTGTTGGAACAGCGTCCTGGGAGATGAAGTCATTGGAATCTGGCCACGAAATGCAGACAAGGCTGATGTCAACTGCGCATGTGTGACCCACGCTGGCCTGAACATTGTCACAGGAGATGACTTTGGGCTGGTGAAGCTCTTTGATTTTCCATGCACAGAAAAATTTGTGAGTGTTCCTCAGAGTAACCTCCCTGCAGGTTCTCTGTTTGGCCGTCTGCAGGAGATAGGGGCCACGTCTAGATGGCCCTCTGGGAGACACAGAGAAACCCTGTCCCGGTACAGTGGAAATATGGCAATGAGTTTTTCACCTCCTGGAGGGGCAGTCCTGGAAGCCAGAAGGGAGGATGGAGGGTGGATAAAATGACCTGAAGTGGGGCAAGGATGAGAGGCAGGAAAGTCAGCC
Organism: Homo sapiens; assembly: GCF_000001405.40. NCBI lineage: Eukaryota > Metazoa > Chordata > Mammalia > Primates > Hominidae > Homo > Homo sapiens. The sequence goes on from NC_000002.12 coordinate 54,968,519, forward strand.
AAAGGCTGGCTAATAGATGAGTCCAGACCAAATGGAAGTCCCCAGTGAAGGAAGGTTCTGGGAGCAGGGGATTTGAGTGCTGGAAGTAGTCTGTGGTTGCTGAGAGGAGCCAGGGTCTCTTAGCTGTCTCCATTCACTTTTGCTCACAGGCCAAACATAAGCGATACTTCGGTCACTCGGCTCACGTGACGAACATCCGTTTCTCTTATGATGACAAGTATGTGGTCAGCACTGGAGGAGACGACTGCAGGTACTAACGTAGCTGACCCAGTTCTTACTCCACAGGCCTGGCCAGCTCTCCCTCCCCATCTCAGGCATCCCGTGGGTCAGCCTCTCCCAGGGGCATGAGGAGGGCTGATGTGGGGCTAATAAACAGGAAATTCCATGAGTCCTCATGAAGGCAAGTACTTTCCAAGATAAGGCATTTACTCTTTGGTGACTGTCAACCCAATGGTTGTGACTGGAGCTGTCCTGGGATGGCATGGGCATGTGATAGCTACTCTGGGCACTGCTGGGGGAAAGGGACAGGTGGATGACACCCGAGATGGCTGATTTGAGTAGAAGCTCTTGGCAGCCCATGGGCTTTTGTGCATAATCAGGAGGTTAGAATGCAAATTCATCTATATGTCCTTTTAAGAACTCCCAGTTGATCACCAGTGTTGGGAATTTCTTTATTTACTCTAAATAGAGTATAGAGGAACAGGTCTAGGTCATTCTAACTCACTCAGCTTCCCCATTTCTGATGAGCTTCATTGTAGCATGAATACTGGGTTCTATTCAGCCCAAGCAAAACTCCTGAGGGGATAAAGATGAAATACAGGCCTTCTGATACTTCCTGGTGGTCTGAGTTAGGTTGTAAGAAAGGCACCTATAAAGAATCTCAACCCACTTCCCACTCAAAAGCACTGTGTATTTCTCATGGCCTGCCTGGGAGCCCCCATCTCCAGCCTGCTGTGCTGGCTACTTCTGGCACTTATAGCCCTTGAGATAGTACCGCCAGCAGCTCCCTGTGAAGTGCTAACACCCCTTCAAAGCAGCACCAACCCAATTGTGAACAAGCTAGGAGTAAAAGACGTAAATGAATTGGTCACCCCAATGCAGGGGATACAGACTTGTTTTAATATAAAAAAGAAGTGGCCTTAACCGTGCAGGGCTTGCAGGCCTTTGTAGGCATGGGAGCATGCTGTGATCCCTGGTTCTGTGCTAAACACTCAAAAGGGCTCTCTGACTCAAGTGGAGGTGATAAACCTTTTCAATAGTAACAGGAGAGAGTGTGATATCAAAGTGCCAGAAGTCCTCACGGACCAACATTTAGCACAGACATTCAAACTGCTGAAAGAACCAAACAGAACTCAACTGAAAAAAACAGACCTTTTAAGAAAAGCAATAGATCTTAATTTGGTGGCAAGATCCCTGGTTTACCTTTTGAAGTCAAAATGTTCAATACATCACCCGAGCTTGACTTTTGAGCACTTGGCAAGATTGTTTTTTGCCACTTGACACAAGTATGATGTCCAGCTATGCAAAATGACTGTTTGATCTGCCTTTTCAGTGTATTTGTGTGGCGATGTCTGTAAAATGCCAGAAGCCTCTTATGTTATTGCTGCTGCTGCTACCAGCCAGCAACTGCAGAGGCCATGCTGAGGTGCCTCCTTGCCACCAGCCGTTGGGAAATGCCTACCATGCTGCCCCGGATGCACAAGCTCAAAACGCTGCAGAAGTTACACAACTGCTCCCATAATCTGGACTCTCCAAAACCGTGATGCCACGAAGGAAGGTCAAGTTTTAAAATGTTAAAGACTGCTTGCCTCTGTTCCTGAGACTAAACAGTATACATACTAACTACATTGACAAAGAAATCCTATCTGATAATGTAGCCCGCTGACGAATTTTGAAGCCTCGGTTACCCTAACCAATATGTAGCTTTTAATTTGCATCAAAACTTTTACAAAGATGTTTTGCTATTGTTTCTATATACTTCAAGAATGTTCATTTTTACAAATAAGTTGAACAAGACAGCCTAAGTTAGATGCACCGAAGTACTAGAAATATCGCTAGCCTCTGTTCTCCAGTTTAGCTTTCAAAACCAAATGAGCCATGTATAAAGGAGTTGAGAAACTTAATTTTTAAATGTTTCATTTGCAGAGTTTTATATCCATTAAGTGCCTTTGAAAGTTTCCAGTTGTGTGGGCTGCTGTCTCACCTCCCACCAATTTCTCCTTTCTCCATATGGTGCTAAAACCTCAAAGCTGAGGAGGGCTGCAGGACCCTTAGCAGATTCAGTGTGTCACCCTTGTCCTGTGTTCACGCCAAGGCTTCCTAAATGAAAGACATCGGTTACCTGCTTATGGGAAGGTGAGCAGCAAAGGAATTGAAGTTCGGGACAGGGTAGAATTATGGGTTTTCATTGTGTTTCATGCCAAACCCACAAAATCCAAAATAGAATTCAAGTTAAACAAACTTCTACTACAAAATGGAAGGGGAAAAAGGCTCAGGAAGGTCTATGAGAATGAGCTGACTTATCTCGTTAAATCTTAAGATAAATGAGGGTAACCCAAGGCTGCACCTTGGTGTACCACCCTGAGTGGAGTTGAGGTGACTTCATTTGATTGCTTCAGGCGAACTATATAGGTCAAGTCCAGATTATAAAAAAATTATCTGCAGAACAAATTGTAAACCCAAGGAATAGCTGGTAAATCAAAATTATAAAGTGAGTTAGAGTTCCTTGGAGTTGGTTGTATGACGGAATATGACTTGGACAATCTTTACCAGAAGCCATCCGTAAGCCCCTCAGTCACACTTTCCATGTAGCTGACCAGTGACTACAGGATGTGGCTGACAGTGCTCACTGAAAGGAGAGTTGGTGCGGGACTGGTGGTTCTGAGCACATAGACGCCTATTAGTCCTTCTGGTCAGTGAACGAAAATTCTAGACCTACAGTTACTGGCTACTTGCATTTGTCAGTTTAGAGAAAAGGTAAAATGAGGCATTTTCAATTGTAGAATAGACTAACATTTACCACAGAAGTGCTTCAGCATTCTAAATGGATTAGATCACTCATTAAGCTATTTTTATATGCCAATTTACTAATGCCTTACATCAATCCACTAATAGGTTGTTGGGCCCGCAGTAGAGTCCCTATGCAGTCCCAATTCTGTTTTCTGTAACCATGTGACTGGTGATGCAGAGTGATAACCATGTCTGCCTATCTTGTACTAGACTCTTCATGCTGATCGGATCTTGCATTGAAATAACCATGTGGAAGAACAATGAATCGATTAATGATGACATGTACAACCATATTTAAAGAGCAATAGTGTCCGTGTGTCATGAAAAACTTATTTGTAAACGTTTATATGGTATGATTTTGATTTTATGTATGTTCATAAATCCTGCACTGTATGATATATGTGAGTTAAAACATTGGTGCATGAATTTATTTTCAAAGTATAAAACACATCACTTAAACATTTTATGTGTCAAATAAAATTTGATTATGTAAACACATTTGTTGACTTTTGTTTCCACAGTAAACAAACAAACAGCTGCACCATCAGCTGAAAAAAACCCTTCTAAAAGCACAAGCTACCATTCGCTGGTTGAAGCAGTTTACCCACTGTGTGCATTTTTAATCTGCTGCAATTTCATGAAATGAAAATACCAAAGCATATTTTAAGTCTATAAGCTTTATTGATACTTTGCTTTTACAGTTCACAATGCATTCCACAGATTTAGTTCAGTACAGCTTAAACCACAATGGTATAAATCTTCATTTTGTAATTAATAATTTCTTGCATAACAATGTTTGATATTTGCAAACAAACAACATTTTTGGAAGCATTAGATTCAGTCCATAGATTCTGTGACAAAATTAACTACAGTCAGTCTGTGCAATGAAATTGATGTTGGAGTTCTATGTGTGTGGCATTTCATGTTGAAAACAGATGGTAGTGCTCCTAGAAATATTTCTTCTTCTAGCTTATGTGCTTTGGAACTACACATGTATAACCAATGACTGACTCTGAAATATCAAGCACTGTGGGGTGGCTGGAAGGTAAAGGTCTAAGCTTTGTGAAACACTATACATATATAATCTATATTTACTTATATTGGCAATTAATATAACAGTAAAAGTCACAATACACCTAGAACATACCAGAAAAGCAAGCTTTGTCATTCCTGCTTTACCGGTATGATCTCGTCTAAACAAACATTTCATTTCAGAAAATCTGCATCAATCTACACGGACCATACACAGTGCACAAACTGAAAAGGGCTTTTTTTTTTTTTTTTCTAGCTCCACCATCTCTGCAACTTGCCAAGATGCGGCAAGACTATCTGCAACAAAGTAAAATATACAGGTTTTTTATTCCACCAGTGCCTCAGATAGATAGGAAAAAGATATGATTACGGTTTAAATCCATACATAGCAGCTTACAATACTTAAGATGATGAACACATGGCAGTCAAGACAGGTAATTTTTCCTCACAACAGTGCATGGCTAAAAATAAAGATCTAACAACGATCTGTGAAACTGCACTGCAACGTCAAGGTTCGTTCTTCCCTGACCCTCCCCCGTATAATCAAATGAATATCCCCTTTAAAGATGAACTCCTACTAATTATTTTGGGCGTTTTCATTCAGCTTTGCGCTTCAATCCAGGGATTTTTGCTTGGATTCTGAAAATGAAAAAGTCAATGTAAATATCAGTTTTGTTTGCTGCTGCTTAAAATACCATCTTCCAAGAACTACTTGTATGTTATTCAGCTAATACAATAAATGAAATCCTTAAAGCTGCCTAATTCTAAGCTATAATTTTGCCACCTTGGCCTCATGAATTAGATTTAAACAAAGCCTTAAACACATAATAAACCCAGAAACGAATGGTCCAAATGTTAGAAAAACAATCTTTTGGCAACTCTGAAGTCACACTTAAGGTCTGATAGAGATTTGTTACTCATTATGCCTGCAATATGAAAATACTGTTCTCACAATCCAGCACACCTTATCCTAGTAAAAACACTGCAGATTTTAAATACTTACTTAGCCATAGCATCTTTAACATTCTTATTTGCAAGTCCTAGATAATGATCTATCTGTGCCTGAAAGAGAGGTATAAAGGAATTATTACCGTTGCTAAAGAATCTTATTAACCACTACTATGTGTCAAGCTAAAGGCTTAAGAAACCATCACACTTCTCATTTTTGTAAGACATTGAAAATGGGCACTAATACATCCGTAAATCCCATGTAATAGAGTGAGTGCTCTATTCTGAAGTCAGCAGTTAGTTAGGAAATTACCTGATGCCGTTCATAAATAACAGGAACACTGAAGAGTGAAATGAGAGCTGAAAAGGGAAATATACAACTTTTCAAAAAGAACGGAATGATTTGGGAGGAATAAACACTCAAAAAACTATTAAACTGGCAACTCAAGATAACCAAGCAGTGTTCCTAATGAATGAATAAAAACATAAGGATCTCTGGATGCATCTGCTGTTGAGGAGCCACTCCAGAGGAATGAATGAACTGTGTGAGGCTGCAGTTATTAGAGCTAGGAACCATTTCTAGCTTCAAATCATATCACAGTGAGATTTCATAAAATAAAGGTATCCCTGGTTAGATTTATGACTGCACCATCATATAAAGCCACCCTTTATCTGGTTTATCACTGTTTGTTAGTAGGAGCTGTCTTCAGCAACTAAGGTAGCATTTCAATAAACCGGGAAGCAGTATCACCAACTTATTTAAAGAGAATACAACCTCAAACTTATTTTGAGATGGAGTTTCACTCTTGTTGCCCAACCTGGAGTGCAATGGCACGATCTCCGCTCACTGCAACCTCTGCCTCTTGGGCTCAAGTGATTCTCCTGCCTCAGCCTCCGGAGTAGCTGGGATTACAGGCGTGCGCCACCACGCCCAGCTAATTTTTTCTATTTTTAGTAGAAATGGGGTTTCACCATGTTAGCCAGGCTGGTCTCGAACTCCTGGCCCCAGGTGATCCGCCCACCTTGGCCTCCCAAAGTGCTGGGATTACAGGCATGAGCTACCGCGCCCGGCCCACATTTTCATCCCCTACTTTTCATACAATGAGAATATTCTCCACTAAAATGTCTAAGCTCCTGGCACACAATCTTTCCAGCAATTTTTCATCCCAATGGCTTTGTAGACTTACCCAAAATCAGTAGTGTCAGACCATTAAACAAGGCACCAACATAGGTAAATACCCACATCAACACTGCAAACTATAAGAAAATAACATTAGCCCATTATAAACAAAATTCAAGTAAAGTTTCTTAATTATGCTTTCAAAAGCATCCCATCTAAATGCCTACCTACAAAAGGCATACAACTTGAAGACTGGGTAAAGTACCATGAGCAGTTCACTATTAAGTCACGAGTCTCAATTATGAATTTCAAAATCCTAAAATAATTAATAGATTTGACCCATTTTCTCTGGACTACACTACCAAGTAGTTGATTCTGCTGAGATCAGACAATATACCAAGGGTGCATCTTACCCCTCCAGCCCTAACAACATTTACCTTTTAAATGGGAAGACTATAAAGGTGTTATGAGAATTGTCTATTAGAATTGATTTCAAAGTATGAACTAGTTGAGTGCTTGAAGATATATGAGCTGAATAATTCAGACATTAATATCTCAGCTGATAAGCAATAATTGGGCAAAGAGTACTTATCAGGGAAATTACGTTTCAGGTACCAAAAATATCACCTCTAGCCTTTGAAGGATCAGGCACAAAGTCAGTCTGAATTTTGTTAAACATTGGTCATCATCAGTTCCTTTGCTTTCTAATTCAAGGCCTTCATGTGTATGTCTGGCAATCACTTTGACCTACTTAGTAGGTAACAAACATGATGCCACCAGCTACAGTGATTATTTAGGCTTATGTAACACTATAAATGAAAAGGGGAGTAGTAGAGCACCCCCATTATCTAAAGCGGGGATCAGCAAACTTTCTCTGTGAAGAGCCAGACAGTAGAATTTTAGGTTTTATGGGCCACATAGGGTTTGTGTCTCATATTATTCTGTGTCGTTGTCATAACCCTTTAAAAATGTACACCACCCACTCTTAGCTCCCACACTATACAAAAACAGGCCGTGGCCCAAACAAGCAGTGGTTTGCTAACCCTTGATCTAAAGCATATATCTTTCTCCATGTATTAAACGAACTCTGACTGAATGCTTACTGACCATTAATTAAGCAGTCAAACATTAGTAAGCATATTTATTACAGCTTAGGAAGACACTTTGGATGACTCTACCAAGCAACAGTTCTACAAATAGCAACACTCTGGTCACCCTAACTGAATTTAACTAATGTTCAAGTCAGTAAATATCAGGCATTCTTAATATCTGTCAATTGAAAAAAAATTTTTTTAAGCTGCCGTATTCTTAGCAATTGCTATTGGAACCCCTGGTAGAAAGGTTTGAAGGATGACTTCAGTTAGTAAGGCTTTTCTCTCACAGTTTTATAGACTCCTATTGCTGAAGCTAAATATAACTTTTGCACTTGAGCAAGTTTACTATAGAGTAAGAGAGTTATTTTTATCCATCACTATCCACAAGTCTAAAGGGAAAAGTGTTGACCTTCCATATTTTAGAAGAAATTACTCTAGCAACGAAGATGCCCTTAACATGACAGAAGATAGTAACAAACACAAGCTAAAATAACTCCTCATTTGGTCATTACAGTCACTGACAAGGCTTCACTCCAAGTCCACAGGGGAAAAGCCCAAGACTTCACACCTGAGCCACTGTAGGGGCTCAAATGTCACTTGCCTCTTTGAGAACACTTCCTAAAAGCCAGGCTATCCCAAGACAAAGAGAAGAACACAGGGAGGTCTCAAATGTCCTTAGGGCCAGGCAGGTGACATACATGTATGTGAGAGGCTGGGAGAGAACTGAGGCACACAGTGATATGCATTCTTCCTCTCAAAGGGGCACTTACAACCCTGCTCCATACGCTGTGGCCATGCAAATATTCCAGGCCAGTGTTGCCAGAAATGTACACTTTTGTGTGCTATCATATAATTTTTAAATGTTGCAGCTATGTTGAGAAAACTGAATACTTCGGCGGCCCAAAACAGAAATAGTGGTTAAGTGTATTCAGGGAACACACCACCAGGAGAGAAAGGGGTGGCAGCAAGAACTAACCTAGAGAGTAACCATTATTAATGGGAATCCACCACAAATGATGGATTTGTAACATGGCAGGAATAAGGTCAATAAACACTTTAAAGAAGCAAACAGGCTGCTCTCATTTTGGACTTAACAAATTCTACACGATTCCATGGCAAATACTTTGCAACATTATAGCCAATACTTATTAACTGAAGAGGTCAAAGCTTATCTCTCCATTGCACAGTATCGAGACTGGAGGAAGGAGGCCTAAAATGTAATGAAGATCTAACAAATACTTACTGAAAAGGGGCAAGGGCCACATCTGGTTTATCTTTCTTCCAGGGCAATAAGAGAATTAAATTCACTGTGTATAACACACCTGATTAAAGAGCTCTGCAGATTTGTGATGTTTCAATTTGGGGGAAGGGGTATCTTTAAGGCAAACGGTGGGAGAGTGCTTAGTAAGATCTCAGAAATTACTCTGGCAGTTCTGACCATTTCAAAACTTTCCTGCACTCTCAAACTCTAAACTCTACTTGCCCTTCTGTGTCTCCTTCAGATTCATTCATTAGTTGGTAGTTTGGACTCTCTCTATATCCCCAGCCCACTTCCTTCTAATTTTTCTGAGAGCTCAAGAAACCTGAAAGGAAGCTGTCAAAATGTGAATGTTAACAGCTGCCTATGAGCCTGAGAGCTAGATTTTAGTGTTCTTCTGGGTCAGCTATTTCTGGAGCTCAGGCCGTTTTTTTTTTTTTCTTCCTCTCACTTTCAGATTTAAGATTGTGTTCTGGAACATTATAGTTGCGCCTCAATTACAGAAAAGTAAGAACCTCTGCTGAAAATACCTGGTCTTAGTCCCTAAAAAAGTAAAATTATTAGACAGCTTTTTGGGATTTGAGGTTTCAAAAGACAGGAACCTGCTAAGAAGGCTCAGTCAGACTCAATTAGCCCAAAAGCTGAGCCCAGTAGGCATTGTCATATGCTTTTCTTTCATAATTGCGGGTGGGAAGCGAGGGGAGGGAGGATTTATAGTTTAATGCCACAACTTTTTAAAACAGTGATTTTTGCCATACTATTTGACTAGGAAAATGATCGTTGCTCACTCTATAAATACTTGAAATCTTTTCTAGGACTTAGAAGTTTGTAGTTAATTGCAAAGGAGCAAAACAAACGGAATATTACACAAGAATTTAAAAGGAGAACTCTGCAGAACATGTCTTATTTTTATTCGCCCAAGTCAACCACCAGGAAACTTGGACCAGGCACACGGATACCCATCATTTCACACCGGTGTTTATAAAAGGACTAATGAGCCCTGGAGTTTGGTTATTTTTTTGATCACATTTTGAAAGGCCAGGCTCCTCCTTCACTGCCCCCGCCAAAAGGCAATAAGCAAGGAAAAGGTTTCACATGCTAGCAAGAGCGGCTCTAAAATTTCAATTTCTGAGGAAGATGGTTTCACATGGAAATAGTCATAATTGTAGGCTGGGCATGGTGGCTCACACCTGTAATCCCAGCACTCTGGGAGGCCAAGGCAGGCAGATCACCTGAGGTCAGGAGTTCGAGACCAGTCTGGCCAACTTGGCAAAACCCCATCTCTTCTAAAAATACAAAAATTAGCTGGGCGTGGTGGCGGACACCTGTAGTCCCAGCTACTTGGGAGGCTGAAGCAGGAGAATCACTTGAACCTGGAAGGCAAAGGTTGCAGTGAGCCTAAGATCGCACCACCGCCCTCCAGCCTGGGTGACACAGCGAGACTCTATCTCCAAAAAAAAAAAAAAAAAAAAAAGAGCTAGTGATAATTGTGACCCAGAATCTAAAAATGTAGATATAAATTTGAGGGCACACAACAGATTTTGCATTTATGAAGACAATGAGTTATAGAGATACTTCTTTCAAATTGTTGTTTAAAAACTATTATTTTGTAAACACAGAGCTTGATAAAAATGTCTTTTCTAAATGACAAAAATTTAGAAATGAGAGTAATTTCTACTACATTTTCCTGAAATTAAGATGGTTTCCATTTTCCTAGCTATGAATCATATAAAATCAATGTAATTCCAATAAAAAGCTACTTCCTATAAATTTTAAAAAACTCATTGTTATTTAAATAAGAAAAAACATTCATCTCAACTGGAGAGACTGGAGCTATTAGCAAACTTCCCATAAATTTAAAATCTGACTGTAAGGCATTAAAATAAATCCGTTTAAACAAGGTAAATACATTTTTCCTTATGTTGAAAAAGTAAAAAAAGAATGGGAATTGGAAAAACATTTTTTGCTTGCTTTAGGGTGACAGAATATAACTTTCCCTACCAGTTTTTGTGGCTAAAAGGCAAAAAGTAATACAGTCCACTATTAAGGAACTTAAGATTAAGATTTTAATAATTTTTTTTTTTTTTTTAAACAGACAGGGTCTCACTCTGTTGCCGTGGCTGGAATGCAGTGGTATGATTATGGCTCACTGCATCCTCCACCTCCTGGGCTCAAGAATCCTCTTGCCTCAGCCTCCCAAGTAGCTGGGACTACAGGCATGGGCGACCATGGCTGGCTGATTTTTCAGTTTTTTTTTTTTTATAGAAACAGTCTCACAATGTTGCCTAGGCTGGTCTCAAACTCCTGGCCTCAAGCAATCCTTCCGCCTTGGCCTCCCAAAGTGCTGGGATTACAGGCGTGAGCTACTGTGCATGGCCAGGAAAACCTTCTTCTTTTTAAAATGCTCTCTATATAAACAAAAACTGTGGTGGATAAGTGTGGCCATACACAGAAGTCTCTCTAGAAAGGTAATCCTATCAAGCGTTTTTATAAAAAAGCAAAGTGATTTTTATCAGCTTCCTTTTTTCAATAAAAGCTGTTTTAAGGAAGTATTCAGTATTTCTGTATATTCAATGGAAACAAACACATGGAATCTGTACTACTCATATACAATGACATTAGGAAAGGGTTTAGCTAAATTCTTGTGTGGCAAAATCACAAGGTTTATCGTTTATCAAGGAAGACCTTTCATGTACATTATCAGAGTGTGCACCTGAATTACCAAGGGCTTTACCTTTCATGGGGAGAAAAGGACAGATTCCCTGCCTTATTCATTTGCCTCTAGATTTTGAGATCTAAATGCCAGGTTCACTTTAAGTGCTAACATGATGAGGCAACTGTTACTTATTTGCAGTCCTAAATGAATTGCCAGCTGGGGAAGTCACCAAGCAGGTTTCCTTGAGCTCTGGGCTTGCCAAAAACACAACTCAGGGAAACCAATCAAGTACGTTTTTCTTCTCTTCTCTTTTTAAAAGGATTGCTAATCCTTAAGGATAAATTATAATTTTAATGAAAGTCCTTTTTTTCAATACTAAGAAACAACAAGTGTTCCAGAAAGGAAATCTGTCTCATCATGTGTTACTTTCTGTTACTTTCAAATTAGCAGTCACTCAATGCAAGAACTTATCAAGTTCGATTTCTCTCATTTATGCTAGCTTCCTCATGAATAACATAATTGCTTTTACAAAAAAATGTAGTTTTCAAAAGAAATTAAAATATAAGATTTAACAAAGAAATTATTTCTCAAAACTTTTTTTAAAAAGTCCTCATATTCGATTCTCAAATACGTGTGCAAAACAGAGATTTAAAATGTTTCTTAAGATCTCATCAGCCCCTTTCTAACATTTTCTCTCTCCTCTTGCCCCGTATCTACACAATGGACTGTGTATGGATGAAAATTTTCTCTGAAAGAATAAATAAGTTTTCTTTTGATTAAAGACAAGTGGAAACTTTATACTCAAACTCAGAAAACTAGAGCATAATGAATCATTCCCAGATCAATTTTAAAAATAGATTTATTCAAGAATGACATTTCTCTCAAGAAAAATGTTAAATTGTAGACATATAGCTGCCTTCACTGCTATACTGTGCAAACATCGAGGATGACTTTTGGTGTATCTCTGTTGCCGTGTTTATTGAATCTATAAAAACAACAAGCATCTCTCCTCTCCCCTAAGCTCACCAGGCTTTTCTTTGAAGTCACCTCTCTCCCCCACCAATCTTTGACTACTAAATTCAGAGATGGTCCTTTGCTGTTTGAAGCTCTGAATTACTACTTACAGACAGTATTTCTTCTCAGTCAATTCCTACCCACAAACCATCCATCTTAAGCGGCATCAGTACCTCCTCCTCAATCACTTTTCACACATGTTCTACCCTAGAAGTCAGCTACGTATAGAAGGTAATAATACATGAATAGGAACTGGTTTCCTCTAGGCTGTATGTACAAGGTTCTATTTCATTTGCTCCAAAATATTTTTAGTTGATCTCTTTTGAAACTTATTAACCAAGCATGCCAAACAACATAACCGTAATCTTTTTATTTACAGACTAACATCAGATCATTTTAAAACACCACTACAGATTTAGTCACTAAATGCAACCACTCTATACGAAAGAGGTAAGTAATAAAAGGAAACTACATTATTTACCCTTGATGTTATTAGGAAGTAACTTAAGTTCCAAGTCATAAATAAAAATAAGAGATGCGGCTGGGCGCAGTGGCTCATACCTGTAAGCCCAGAGACGCAAACAGCTGAAAATAACGTATCAACTACTAGGTTATAAAGGCTAAAATGTTTTTGTTTTTTTTTTTTAAAAAGCACTTTAAGCACTTAAACCTATTCTGACCAGTTCAGAAATTGTTTTTCTGAGTCTAAAGGCCCAGTCACCTTATTACTACTATATCCTTGGCATGTGTGATAAATATAAACTAGAACATTTCTCTTGGAAATGAAAAATGAAAAATTATGAGAATTACCACCACTACATTTCTGCCCAGGCTTAGATTGGAAACAAGTCTGCCTGTTTTCTGCAGAGTCACAGGAAAGAGCATATACAACACAAATGACAAGTTCTATGAAAAAGAAAAGCACTACAGGTCCAGTGCTTCAGGCTTAAATTACACAACTGTGGTTTAGTGCCTGTTTCGTCAGTCAGAACTTTGGGAGAGTTTATTTGCAAGGTGAGACTCTTAACAGCTGCTTATGTAGCGAGATCCAAAAACTAAAGAAAAACTTCCAATGATTACCAGTTGAAGATTAGTTGAAGTGTTTCAGAATATTAAATCTTATCTAGAATAAGAAAGAGTCCAAGATATGAAATAGCTTTCATGTACATAAGTGCTAGACTGTAAAGCAAAGTCAGAATGAATAAATCTGATAATGCATTAGACGATCTTTATGCTTATAGTCAAAATTCCGATTAATTTCCTTTCCTTTTAATCTTTATGATTTCCGAAAGTATTACTATATATATATATAATTTTTTTTTGAGACAGAGTTTCACTCTTGTTGCCCAGGCTGGAATGCAATGGCGTGACCTCAGCTCACCGAAACCTCTGCCTCCCGGGTTCAAGCGATTCTCCTGTGCCTCAGCTTCCTGAGTAGCTGGGATTACAGGCATGCACCACCACGCCTGGCTAATTTTGTATTTTTAGTAGAGACGGGGTTTCTCCATGTTGGCCAGGCTAGTCTCAAACTCCTGACCTCAGGTAATCCACCCGCCTCGGCCTCCCAAAGTGCTAGGATTACAGGTGTGAGCCACCACACCCGGCCCACAAGTATGATTTATAACTTATTCTCCTTTAAAAAGGAATACAGGACTCTCTGTATTAAGTATGACCAGAAAAAAAAAGGGAATAGCACTTCTTCATCCTTATTTGATTGGATTCTGAATTTTAAAACACAAGTTTACAGCCATGTGATTTAATTAATATTTATCATTTACTTGAATATAGAAGAACAGAATTTTACACTCAACTCTCTTGATACTAAATTCTGGGTATATCAAAAATGAAAGGCAAAATAAACTTACCTTCAGAGAATCAACTAAATCATCAACTAAGAAGAGGCGCCTGAGTTCCTTTATCGTGCAGTTCACATGACCAAGAGCAGAATTACTGTACTTCTGAACCAACTCCTCAGATATAGCAACTTCAGATTCCAGATATGCCCTAGAAAACAAAACACATCATAATTGTCACTAATTGGAGTGATTTTCCCCTAAATGTCAATCAGAAATTATATATCTGTAAGAAATTAAGAAAATATTCTACTATAAAAGCCAACTGTTTCCAAATTAGGGGCAATATAAAAACTCAGCAGTAAGGGGTATTTCCTTGATATGCACTGTCTGCTGACTAGCACAGAAAAAGCATACACTTTGAAGCCAGACTGATCTGGGCTTGAATCTGATGCTCTGCCACTTACCTGGCTAGGTAATTTTGCAAAGTTATTTATTCTTCCCTCTAAACTTAGTTTCCTCATTTATAAAGTGGAGATTATCATGAGAATTCAGTGAGAAAAGTGCCTAATGCAACTGAGCACAAGGATGCACTCAGTAAATGGTAGTTATGACTATGGTTGTTTTTTTTTTTTTCTTAAAGTTGACACTATGTTGTCTCATCACGTTTTCCTAACAAAGATCTTTTTCATTTCCAAATCCTAAACTCTCTCAGACTAACCTTTAGGGGAAATTGTTCAATATGTCAAGCACCAGATTGTAAAGTGGCTGCCAAAAGCACAGTAGCAATCCTAGCAAAACATAAGAGTTACATCATCTAGATGTTTTAATCCATACCGAGATGGCTAAAATTGTTAAATTTAAAAGTATTGTATTGGTAATAAATAAATAAATAAATAAATAAATAAATAAAAATACTATACTGGGGAAAAAGTCAAGTCCACAGGAATGTAAGAAACAGTTTCATTACTGTTTCAAAGAAGCCATTTTATCTTGGCAGGGTACAACCAACTCAGAAGTGCTGAGTGTTCCCTCGTATCTGTTGGAAGTAGTCCTCATAACCTCCCTATGTCTCAGGATGCCAGTTTCTTACAGTGGAAATAACATCTTAGACAACTCCTTGTCCCATAGTTTTACCTCTGCAACATGCCCCAAATATGTCTCCTGGTTTTTATTCACAGTGCCATCACTCTATTTTAAGCACTTACTATTTACGAGCTGGAATATTCTATCACTCTCCAAACCAATCTCTGATCTGCCTGCATCCAAATCCATTCCGTCAGCCAATGCCAGAATAACCTTATGTGAGCTATCTTAGATAGTGCTGTCTAGGCTGAACTCAAGCAAGAGTTAGAAGACCTGCCACTACCTAGCTATACAACATTGCAAAAGGCATTTAACTTCTCTGGGTAAGTGCTCCAACTCTGTAAATTTGAGAAACAGACTTTCCTCAGTTCCTTCAGGCTCAAACATTCTGTGATTCTATGACTCCAACTTTTCAACCAGGGACATCCTCCTAAATCTTTCCAACCTTACTTCCAACTACTCTTTATGTTGCAGCCAGAAATGAGTCATTCACTAAGTATTTTTTAACCTTAATGTAGCCCTTATTAATCATATGGTTTTCCCAATCTGCAATGCTCTCTTACCTCTGGTGATACCTTATTTAGCCAGTTAGCCCCATCTCAAATCTCACCCATACATAGAGCCTTATCTGCCAATCTCTTTCATAAAACCCTGATGTTCTCTCTCACTCCTGTATAATTCTAACAATGCTTTCTTTTGTGTTAGTCTTATAGTATTTACTAGATTCAGCTCTGAAATATAGACACATGTATACTTGTATATTTTTCCTACTAGAGTATAAGCTGTTATGGACCAGGAATGTATCTTTACTAATACATGGTCTAACACACTGTTAGACAATTATTAACAAAAAACTGAATTATTAATATCAAGTTAAAAATACTCAAATACTCGCACTGATATTTAAACCAGCAATTATTTGTTTACCCAAATTTGAGAAATATAGGAAAGTGGCTGATATAACCCTGGTTGGTATTCTGCTTCTTTGTACCACTGTTACTTGTTCTTGCTGAAGACAAGATGCCTAAGCAGAAGCCATAAAGACAGTACTCCCCATCAATGACATCCTGTAGATATTTACACTAATTCAACTGACATTTATGTGATATTAATACAATGCCAGCACTGTTCATCACTCAGTAACCACAGGTATTAGATACAAACCACATAATATCACCTCTACTAGTATGATTAAGGGGTACTAGGAAAAACTGTCCAACAAGCTTAAACTGGTATGTTGGCTGAATTTACTTTATAATGACTATAAAAGGACTTTAAGAATATAAAGTGTTTCTAGCCAGGCACAGTGGTGCATGCCTGTAGTCCCAGCTACTTGGGACATTGAGGCAGGAGGATTGCTTGAGTCCAGGAGTTCGAGACTAGCCTGGGCGACACAGTGAGACCCATCTCTTTGAAGAAAGTTTAAAAAATGAATAAAGTTGTTTCTAAGAAGGAAATAAATCACTAATATTTTCCAAAAACCTCAAAAATCAAATGATGTGTAAAATTGGAACGGTAGAAAATTTAGAAGTTTTGGCTTGACAATATTTTTACATATTTCAGCATAACTAATTAAAAATCATACTTCTTTATGATTTGTGGCTTGATAATAATATGACTCGGCCTTTTTTTTTTTTTTTTTTTTTTTTTTGAAAGAGTCTCGTTCTATTGCTTAGGCTGGAGTATAGTGGCATGATCACAGCTCACTGCAGCCTTGAACTCCTGGGTTCTAGCAATTTTCTTAGCTCAGCTGCCTGAATAGCTGGGACTACTGGCATGCATCACCACACCTGGCTAATTTTTAATTTTTTGTAGAGATGGGAGTCTCACTATGTTGCCCAGGGTGGTCTCCAACTCCTGGCTTCAAGCAATCCTCCTGCCTCAGGATCCCAAAGCACTAGTATTACAGGCATGAGCCAACACGTTTGGCTGGCTCTGCCATTTTCAAACTACAATTTCAAGTTACTGAATTCCAACTTTTTCCCCATCACCCCATAAAATGGAGTGATACCACCTATCTCACAGAATTATCACAAATTTAAAATAAACTTATTAAAATATGTACATAAAAGGTTAGACACATAGGAGCTATTCAATAAATGTTGGTCTCTCCCCCTAAACTTGTATAACATCATTACTTCATCACAAAGAGAAAGCCAGAGAAAAATCACCAGTCTTTACAATAAACAAAATAATTCAGTAGGTCTCCTCTTTCAAAGTCTGTAAATCCATTTAAGTTTACCCATTAATATCAACTGGATCATGTTGTAGGTAGGTACATAGTCATATGCCCAAACAGATATTACCTTGCCACAAATAGTTTTTTCCTTTGTTTCCCCTACTTTCAAGCTAACAAGTTAGAAATAGTTTTTAAATTATCTCAATCTATTTGAAGAAAAATGATCTCCTTATGCAAAACAATTAACATTTCAAAGGCTTAGTTAATGCAGTAGGAACTGAATTTTCGGATCATTTGGGGTCAGGGTTAGGAAATTCTCCAAAGAGCTGGGTCTTGAACCAAACTAAGAACCAAATAAAAAGTATGACTGAGGCAGCTAAGGAAGGCAGCATGAACATGGGTACAAAACTCTGGAAGGGGTAAATGAGAGACAAGACAAAGACATATGGACTTCATCCTACAGTCTATAGAGGGCCGGTGCATTTTCTTTTGTTTTTTTTCTCTTTAGAAAAAAAGTGGTACTTCTAGAAAAATTAATCGGACATCATCTGTAAGAACTGAAGTAATCCGAGGTAACTACAAGTCAATGTAGTAACAAATGGAGTCCAATTAGGGGTCAGCAAACTTTCTGTAAAGGGCCAGATAGTTAAGCATTTTAGGCTTTCACGTCCATATGGTCTCTCTTAAAACTACTGAATTCTGCTATTACAGTACGAAACCAGCTACATGAATGAGCATGGCTGTGTTCCAACAAACTATTTACAAAAGCAGGCAGCAGACTGCATTTGGCCATGGCCTTGCTTTACAGGCCCCTGGTTAGACTGAGGAAGCAGTGGAAAAGAACAAAATTTTGTGATTTTCCTAACAATATTTAGTGATTTTCTTTATATGAGATGAAAACAAAGATAACATCAAAACAGGAGCCTGAAAACTAGCATGGTAGTGGTGTTATGGATAGAAATTAACAAGTTTGAGGGGAAAAGTTCATTTAAAAACGTGGTGAATTAGTCGTTGTCGGGCGTTGGTTGGGGAGTTGAACTGTTAATAAGTAGGAAGTTTCTTTTTGTGCGATGAAAATAGTGATGGTTGTAGAATTCTGTGAATATACTAAAAACCAATGAGTTTTATGGTATATGAATTATATGTCAATTAAAAAAGAGGGGGAAAAACACGCAGAGTATGAGGTGAGGGCAGAAGACTCAAGCTGAGGTTGTGTCTCCATAGCAACTATATAATGCTATAGTATACTTGTGAAAACAAGGGTAGAAGATGATAGTTGAGAGACAAGGAGATGCTGAAATAAAGCTCTCCAAAAAATAATTAAAAAGTAAAGCCTTAAGAAACGAGAAGAAACTAGATAAAGAAAATACATAAAGAAAAGCATAACAGAAAACATCAGCATACTAGAAAGATACGAAATATCAGAAAGCACGTTATCAGACAGCATAAAAAGCAATAAAGAATATCCTCATCAAACCTACCCATGTTAAAAAGATACAACACTCATTCAAGTAAGATAACCAATGCTTAACTCTAATAAATATTCCTAACAAGTAGCAGAGTTAGTTTAATGATACATAAACAGTCTCCTCCATCATGAGCCTTTAAAACGACTTTTAGAAAATCTCAAAAGCAGATGTTTTTGGTATAGCTCAAGCAAATAACTGCAATTATCTTTAACAAAAAAATGCATGCTTGTAACTCTATAGACAGTAGATGAAGTCTTAATACCAATCCTGTTTACACTATTGCCAATGCATGCCTTGTTTTCCAGACATCTCACCTGAATGGGTGGCCTTCATCTGATTTCTGGATAGCTTGGATCACACCCTTGTATATCCTAAAGCTGATGGTCACAGAGAGCAGGGCCAAGGCAATGTAGGCTGTTACGCTCACAATGCTGAATACTGTCAATGAAAGCAGCAGGAATAGGCTGGCACCAAACACCACTCCAGTCTTCTTAATGTCTCTCCAGTACAGGAGGTCAACAACTAAAAATTGAAAAAGAAATCTGAAATTAGAATGTTATTTTATCAATTTGGATTTGCTCCATCTATGAAAACAAAAACGCTACTACATAAAGTAAAATCAAACCTAAAAATTTAAAGAAACACTAAGTTAAAGAAACACTAACTTTATAACCCACATTTTAAACCCACTCTTAGTTGTATATTAGTATAACACCTTTATTTTTGACCACGAAATGTTTTTTATTCAAATTTATTTCTGCATAACCAAATCATTCTAGCCATACACAATGATTAAATGTCTCCAAAGCCTAGAAGACTTCTAATCCAAAACAAGGAGTTACTTAAAATAATCTTGGGGGCTGGGTGCGGTGGTTCATGCCTGTAATCCCAGCACTGTGGGAGGCTGAGGCAGGTGGATCACCTGAGGTCAGGCATTCCACACCAGCCTGGCCAACACGGCAAAACTCCGTCTCTACTGAAAATACAAAAATTAGTGAGGCATGGTGGCGCATGCCTGTAATTCCAGCTACTCGGGAGGCTGAGGCAAGAGAATCGCTTGAACCCGGGAGGCAGAGGTTGCAGTGAGCCGAGACTGCACCTCTGCACTCCAGAATGGGCGACAGAGCAGGACTCTGTCTCCAAAAAAATCATCTTGGGGTTTTTCATCTCATACAATGCATGCTATATATTCAAATAATTCAATAAATATATTCCAATAACAGAAAAAATATTAACACACTAAAATGAGATACTTCAGTGATACCAAAATATATTTATATGCAGAAAATAAATTTAAAAAGGCCGAGATACAAAAACTACACATATGAATGAGCTTTTTTTCTTATTTGATTTTTTTGTGCTAGTAATAACTCTGCTCTTAAGATCTGTCTTTTAGAAACAAAATTGTAACTTAACCTGGCTATCATTAAAAGAAGAATTTCCTACAAAGAAAAAGACAAAACAAACAGCCTTTCGATTACCTGAAAAGCTACTTCCTTCTAAGAGTTGATAGATATAATGCCATAAAAATTTAGGGGTCAAAGAAAAAAGAAAAGTAAATGTGTTACACATTTACATAATGTTTATTAATAGTAAGGAGTCAGACAAAGCCCAATTTAGCATGTCTGCTCTTGGACATGGCCACAGGGCCACTGAGGGGATCAAGTAAGCATAGCCTGATGTCTCAAAATCGGGTTATGCTCAATGCAAGGAGAACCCCGAAGTGTGCCAAAGTGCTCTTGAATTCATAGGCTGATGTAATTAATCTCTCTCTGAACTGTGAACAATTGGGAGAAAAAAATTTATAGTAAATATGGATATACTCTTTCTAAGAAGAGGTGACATCAAAGAAAAATCACAGTTTTAGGGCTGCTTTGGTTTTGATCCCCAAGGTCCCCTAAGATGTATGTAACTTTCCTTTGCTCTTAAGGGTACTTCTGTAGGGAAAACTATGTATGTGAACTGCACAATGTTGGATATTAGTACAAAGCCCTTAACTGCTGCTAGTATATCATGAGTACTGTTTAGGATATTTTAAATGCCCATCACTGTGTCCAGTACATAGCAGGGATTCAAACACTTATTTCAGTTGCCTAAATGGTCTGGCTTGAATGCTATTAATTTAACATTCTATATATGATTTCGAAGTTTGTTTTCAAACTCTGATTTCAACTATTTATTCAAATATTCCCAAACTTGTTTGTTACAGCCCCTGCCTAAAACATCTAAAGGCGCTTAGTGCTATTCCACTAGTTTCTACTATTGTACTAGCACAACTGAGGACTGACAAGAACTTGAAATGGCCTATCTATAGGTTGTCAAAGGGACATTACGAATAATGTCATATTGAATAAAGAGATAAGAGCAACGCTAATAGGTTTCTGGCAATCAGCAAACACTTAATGAGGTGAAACTGTTCAAGTAACTCAACCTAGCAGAATGAGAAAACTCATTCTGATTCTTGAAGGTCTTGTCCAACATTACAATTCTAGGAAAGATAAGACATATAAAAGCAAGTCAATGAAGGTATAAAATAAACATTGCACTGCTATAAGAACTCAGAAAAGGGAAAAACTGGAAGAAATGTTAAGACTGTGAAATACTGTAAATGGAAACTGAGCTGGGTCTTGAAGAATGAATGCGACCTAGAAAACCTAAAGGTACAGGCCTAACTGTAAGCATCTTTCTGCTAACAGTGGTTCTAATAATTAATGCCTTTTTTTTTATTAGGAGGGTACAGTGAGAGAACACGGGGAGTGATGATAAAGACAGCCCTTGGTAGGATCACTCTTTCCTGTGAGGCTGCCTTTGTACCCTACAACGGTGACTTAATACACACAAACAGAAAACTTAGGTTCTATAGTTGGGTCACCTAGACTAAAAAAATGGTTGAATAACTTACGAGCTACGTGACCTCAGGAAAGTCACTAAAGTCCTCTATATTTCAGTTTCTTCATCTATAAAATGTATATTAAAATAGGAATGAACAAAAGGCATAAAGTTTCTAGATAGAAAGGAGAAAAAACTTTTGAGATTTACTGCACCCCAGGGTGACAACAGTCAATAGTTGTATGTATTTCAAATAACTGAGAGTAAATTTCATGTCTCACCACAAAAATAATAGGTAACAAGGCGGTACTTTAATAAGTTTGATTTAATCACACCACATTGTATACATGTCAAAACATATTGTACCCCATAAATATATACAGCTATGATTTGTCAATAAAAAAATAGGAATGATCTCATTGAGATGTGATTCACTAGATTTTTCATTAGTAAGATAATTAATGTAAAGCACTTAATAGAGTACATAGCATACAATAAATTCTTAATAAATGTCAGTGCTATTTGTTGCTGTTATTATTACCACAATCACAATCATCTTACTCAATACTTAAATAGTAAATACATAAAGAAGAAAATTTCAAACTTATTATTAACTTTAGGTTAATAAACTATACTGTTGTGTTATATTGTAAACATGTTACTTTATAAACCATATGGGAAAGAATTTTAAAGCTTATCTAAGTTTTTACTATTATAGGGTAAGTAAAAGCTAATAGCCCAAAGGAATCAGCAAGTAAGGTGTACCTCAAATATATTTTTCTTTTACTTTTTTTTTTTGAGACAGAGTCTCGCACTGTCGCCCGGGCTGGAGTGCAGTGGCGCGATCTCGGCTCATTGCAAGCTCCGCCTCCCAGGTTCATGGCATTCTCCTGCCTCAGCCTCCCGAGTAGCTGGGGCAGGCGCCCGCCACCATGCCCGGCTGATTTTTTGTTTTTTTAGTAGAGACGGGGTTTCACCGTGTTAGGAAGGATGGTCTCGATCTGCTGACCTCATGATCCGCCCGCCTCGGCCTCTCAAAGTGCTGGGATTACAGGCGTGGGCTACCATGCCCGGCCTCTCAAATCTATTTTTCATATGAACAAATGCTCCTTTATAAAAGTGGTTCTCAAACTGCTCAGAAACATTAATTAACCTTCAAAATCACTATTGGTGAGAAGTTAAAGTAAATGCAGATGTACTTGCTATTTTTTACCATCATTAAAAACTACTCAGTAAAACCTGGCCATGAAATCAATGACTTTAGATTTGAGAGGTTTGCACTGTACAACATAAATTAATGTCTAATCAAACTTCCTAATATTATAACAGAGTTACTGTTTAAACAGGTGTAGTGACTATATATGAATTATTTATAATTAGTCTATAATTTCTACCTAAATGAATATGGTAGAAGGAAATATCAGGACTGGGATTCAAGAGACCCACATCCTAGCATGTACCAGCTCAGCAATTGTGTGATTTTGGATACGACTCCAACCTCTCTGGCCTTCAGTTTTATCGTCCATAAAGGGCATTAATCTTCTAATCTCTCTTTTCCCTTAAGGAATTAACATGACCCACAGTCAGTACAAAGATACACACATTAGTACTGCATTCAAATTCCCTGTCAGTGGATCCAAACCGATGAAGTTTTACTACTGGGGCATTATCTGTGCTCAATATAATTTTAAAATATTTCCTTCCTTTTTAGATCTAGATTTTTTTGGGGAGAAGGAAGCTTAAATATTTTTATTCATACCAGTCTTCTGATTTGAACCTTCCTAGAAATATCTTAAGTACCAGACATTATTAAAACTTTAGGAAAATAACAAATTCATATTCCTACAATTTTTCAAGCAATTATAAACTCTATCATTATGGCAACTGTATGAGAGAAACTTTTTAAAAGTTTGAAAAATGATACGCTTAAGCCTGATAGATGTTTTGATTGCTGATCTACATTCTCCAATCTCCACACCTCCTTTATGCCAAACACTGCAGTAGCCTATACAACATTATCTCTTTCAATTATTAAAACCTAATGAGCCACTATGCAAAGTGGGTTATGCCTGTAATTCCAGCACTTTGGGAGGCCGAGGTGGGAGGCCAGGAGTTTGAGACCAGGCTGGGAAACACAGAGACCCCTCATCTCTTAAACAAACAAACAAACCTAATGAAAGGTAGGCTTGAAAGAGTGAAACCCAGCTCCTACATGACTAGACCCAGATCACATCATTAATAAGTGGCAGAACATGGATCTGAACCCAGGATTCCTATGGATAAAAACTCATATTCTCCATTGTATGATGCCAAATTGAAGGCTTAGCTGATTAAAGTGCTTCAAAATGTTATACGTGTGCATGCATAACAAATGGGCAAAGTGTAGGCAGATAATTACAACATGCAAGATGAATCATAAAGGCCAAGAAGAAAAGCTAAGTGAAATTAACAAGATAGTTTAATCAATAAGGGACAAATTTTAATGTGAATATTTCACCTACTGTTAGACCCAAAAACCGAGAACAGGGCTTTACTCCAATATATTTGATAAGTACTTTCCCACAGTAGAGAACTATAATTAAGTTGTTGAAAAATGACTTTTAAAAACTATGTGAATCTAATTAAATAAAATCAGGGTATATTTATGCAAGAGAAATGTGTAGCCATTAAAAAAAAGTGATACAGATCTACATTATCACAGAAACATGTCCATAATGATAAATGAAAACAGCATGTTACAAAAAGACTCACAGTATATTCTCACTTAAGAAATTAAACATATGGCCGGGCGTGGTGGCTCACGCCTGTAATCTCAGCACTTTAGAAGGCCGAGGCAGGTGGATCATGAGGTCAGGAGATCGAGACCATCCTTCCTAACACGGTGAAACCCCGTCTCTACTAAAAATACAAAAAAAAAAATTAGCCGGGCTTGGTGGTGGGCACCTGTAGTCCCAGCTACTCAGGAGGCTGAGGCAGGAGAATGGCGTGAACCCGAGAGGCGGAGGTTGCAGTGAGCCGAGATTGCGCCACTGCACTCCAGCCTGGGCAACAGAGCGAGACTCCATCTCGGAAAAAAAAAAAAAAAAAAGAAAAGAAATTAAACATATAACTATGAAGTCTGAAAGTATATCTACTAAGCAGTGTTTTTATCTCTGCATAACGGGATTATCAATGAGTTTTACTTGCTTCTTTACTCTTTTCTGTGCCATCTGAAATGGTCCCACTCTAATGGCAAGCATGAATCATGACTATAATCAGAAAAAAATTCACCCCATTCTGTTTCTATTCGGTACTACTGAAGAGTCTTATGAGTGTTATTTTTCCCAGTAGGCTTTCCTATTGGAAAAAGAACACCCTGTCTGTTAGGTTAATAAATATTTGGATCCAGCCAACAGTTAAAATTCTAGCAGTATATAACTAAGTTGATGATTCTGGTGTTCTGCGTTGAATCAAGTCAATTTTCCCAAAGTTAATGATACCAGAATAGTCATGTATAAGGCCCAGCAGTACTCAATGATAGTAAGCCCTAACCTACCACTTCCTTTCCTCTTGTCATATGGTTCCTAGGAACACGGTCTTTTCAATAAATGGAAAAGCTCTGAAAATTACATACGTAAGCCCACACATACTGAATAAAAATATGTAAGCAGCTACATGAGAGTAGCTCAAAGCAGGTATCATGACAGACATACTGAAACAAGTACTAGGAATGCTCTGGTGGAGCCATCAGACCCTTTAGAGCCCTGGAGGAAAACAAAAAGGGAAGAACAGCCAAGAGAAATGAGACAACTAGGCACTGATAGTCACACATAAGATAATATGAATATATCCTAGAATAGGAACACCTGAGAGGCAATCTACACTGCCACCAACCCCACTGTGCAAAGTACAGAAGAATTTCCATCTTTTTCCGTAAAGAAGCTGAAAAGATTGTTAGTGAAGCTGCAAGAATGAAAAAAATATTAGTTGATACCAAACAGTGTGGCTGACTTAATTGACATTTGCCAACAAAATTTCTAGTCCCTTACAGATTCCTCAAATTGGTTTTAATAAAAAAATTTTGAAAGATTGTTTATACAGGATAAATGATTCTCAATAGGAGGAATGTATAGAACTTTATTAAAATCCCTTCTGAGAAATATAGTGTTTTTCTGAGAAAAATACTGTTGCTTCTAATGGTCAACAAGAGAATTATTAGTTAATTTAGATTTATTAGTTAACTTAGAAGTTTGTTCAATCCTGATACCAAAATCAGACAAAGACATCACAAGAAAGGAAAACTACAGATAAATATCCCTTATGAATATAGATGCAATAATCCCCAACAAAATACAAGCAAACTGGATCGAGCAACATATAAAAAAGATTATACACCATGGCCAAGTGGCCTTTATCTCAGAAATACAAGATTGATTAAACATACGAAAATCAATCAACACAATAAATCATATTAATAGGATAAGGACAAAAACCACATGATCATCCCAACAGATGCAGAAAAAGCATCTCACAAACTCCAACACCCTTTCAAGATAAAACATTTAACATACTAGGAACAAAATGGAACATTATCAACCTGATAAAGAGCATCTACAAAAACCCACAGCTAACATCAAACTAAATGGTAAAAATCTTTCCCCCTAAGACTAGGAACAAGACAAGTACATCCATTCTTGCCACTTCTGGTCCTGGGGGTGCTATGCAGTGCAACTGGCCAAGAAAAAGACATACAAGGCATCCATATTGGAAAGGAAGAGATTAAACTCTATTTAAAGATAACATGATCTTATACAGTAAATCCTCACTTAAATGTTGAGGATAGCTTTCTGGAAACTGCAACTTTAAGTGAAATGACATGTAACAGAACCAATTTTACCATAGGCTAATTTATATAAACAAGACTTCATTTTCTATGGCATATTTCTGGTCACAAAAACATCATCATATTCTAAATAAAGGTCGGGCGCAGTGGCTCACGCCTGTAATCCCAGCACTTTCAGAGGCCAAGGCAGGCAGATCACCTGAGGTCACGAGTTTGAGCCTGGTCAACATGGTGAAACCCCATCTCTACTAAAAATACAAAAATTAGCTGGGCATGGTGGCCGGTGCCTGTAATCCCAGCTACTCGGGAGGCTGAGGCAGGAGAATAACTTGAACTCAGGAGGCGGAGGTTGCAGCAAGCTGAGATCACATCACTACACTACAGCCTGCATGACACAGAAAGACCCTATCTCTAAAAAAAAAAAAAAATCTAAATAAAGACTCAAAACACTTCTACTATTAAACACTGAAATAAAGTAAGCTATATATACATTTAAGAAAGATTTTTTAAAACACAATTTTTGGTGAATCAGTGATGGTGGTTGTAGTGGTGGTGGGTTAAATCAAGGAACAAATGTCTGCAAAGCAAATACTGTGGTAGGAGCACCTCCTACCACCACCACACAGTTCAGAAACAACAAATATGGAGGGATCTCTAAGTGCCTTCATACTGCATCATTTATTGTTGTGCATTTGCATGATTATTATATACTTTATGGGTTTTTATTTTATAATAATCTGTATTCATTCATTCATTCGTTCATTCATTTTCTAAGCTGCTTATTCCAGTTCTGGGTCACGGGTGGCCAGAGCCTATCCTGACATCTCAGGGTGCAAGGCAGGAACCAACCCTGGACAGGACACCATTCCATCACAGGGCACACTCATACACACACCCCCACACTCATTATGAGACAACTGATACACACCAGTGAACCTAATGTGTACATCTTTAGAATGTGGGAAGAAACCACAGAGTACCCAGAGAAAACCCCATGCAGACATGGGGAGAACATACAAATCCCATACAGACAGTGGCCCCAGCAAGGAATTGTTTTTTTTTCTCTTCCTCATGCACATTATAACGAAACAACACTGAACAAAACAATGATATGAGGGTCTGTTGTATGTATTTTAAAAATTCTAAGGAATCCACAAAAAGCTACTAGAAATAATGAATGAGAGTCCAGCAAGGCTGTAGGACACAATATCAATATACAAAAATTGTATTTCTATACACTAGCAATAAACAATCTGAAAATGAATTAAATAATTCCATTTGTAATAGCATAGAAAAAATAAGATACTTAGGAATACAGCGAAAAGAATTTCAAGACATATGAACTATACATAACACACTGTCGAAAGAAATTAAAGATGACTTAAATAATTGGAAAGACTCCTGTTCATGAATTGAAAGACATTAAGACAGTAACACTCCTCAAATTGATCTAAAATACAAACACTATCAAAATCCCAGCTGTCTTTTAGCGAAAATTGACATGCCAATTGCAAAATTCATATGGAAATATAAGGGATCCAAAAAATCAAGAAAAACTTGAAAAAGTACAACAAAGGTTGGAGGACTCGAACCTCCCTATATCAAAACTTCCTAAAAAGATATAGTAATCAAGACAGTAGAGTAGTTACACAAGGACAAACAGGTAGATTAGTGGAATACAACTGATAACCCAGAAATAAACCATTACATTTATGGTCAACTGACTTTCACAAGGGTGCCAAGGCAACTCAATAAGAAAAAAACAGTCTTTTAAACAAATGGTGCTAGGACAACTGGATATCCAACTGCAAAACAAATGACGTTGGATTCTTCTACTTCATATCACACATAAAAGTTAACTCATAACGGCCGAAAGACTCAAAGTTAAGAGCTTAAACTAGAAAACTCTTTTATCTTTGTTTCTTATCTTTTTGTTGTTGTTATTGTCGCTGAGACAAGGTCTCACTCTGTCACCCATGCTGGAGTGGAGTGGTGCAAAAGCAGGCAGCCTCAGCTTCCTGGGCTCAAACAATCCTCCTGCCTCAGCCTCCCAAAGTGCTGGGATTGTAAGCATCAGTCACAGCACCTAGCCAGAAAACTCTTTAAGAAAAAAATAAGTGTAAATTTTCATGACTTTGGATTAGGCAATTGTTTCTTACATATAACACCAAAAGCAGAAACAACAAAAGAAGAAAAAAGATAAATTGGACTTCATTAAAATTAAAAACTTTCACCACAAATAAAGTGGAAAGATACCACACAGAACGAGAGAAAACACTTGCAAACCAATTCTCTGATAAGAGACTTGTACTCAGAATATATTGAAAAACTTTTACAACAGTAAAAAACAATTTAAAATAGACAACAGATTTGAATAGACATTTCTCCAAAGAAGGTACACAAATGGCCAATAAGCACATGAAAAAATACTCAACATCATTTAGTCATTATAAAAATGCAAACCAAAACCACAATGAGATACCACTTCATACCCCCTAGGATGGCTATAATCAAAAAGATGAGCAATAAAAAGTGTTAACAAAAAGTGATGAAGATTAGAAGCCTCATAGATTGCTGATGGGAATGTAAAATTCAGCCACTGTGAAAAACAATTTGGCAGTTCCTCAGAAAATTAAATACAGAGTTATCTTATTACCTGGCAATTCCACTCCTAGGAATTTTCACCCAAGAAACTAGAAAACACAAAAACTTAACACACAAATGTTCATAGCAGCATTATTCATGATAGCCAAAAAGAGGAGACAGACAACCCAAATGTCTATCAAGTGATGAATGGATTGTTTTAAAAAAAGGTATATCCATATAACAGAATATTATTAGGCCATAAAACGAAATGAAGTGCAGTAGTCCTCCCTTACCTGCATTTTCCCTTTCCCTGGTTAGAGTTTCCTGCAGTCAACCACAGTTAAAAATTAGGTGAGTATAGTACAATGAGATATTTTGAGAAAGACACCACATTCATTTAACTTTAGTATACTGTTACCATGATTCTCTTTCATTGTTAAAGTTGTTAATTTCTTACTGTAACTAATTTATAAATTTAACTTTATCATAGTTATGTATAGATAGGAATAAACAGTATATATAGGGTTCAGTCCTATCTGCAGTTTCTAGGGCATACGCTAGGGGTCTTAGAGTCTTACCCCTCAAGAATAAGGGGGAAACTACTGTACTGATACATGTTACAACCCAGATGAATCTTGAAAACATATGCTAAGTGAAAGAAGCCAGTCACAAAAGGCCATATATTTTATGATTCTGTTTATATGAAGTGCCTTGAATATGCAAGTTATGAATTCTGTAGAGACAGAAAGTAGATAAGTGATTGTCAGGGGCTGGGGAAAAAGGGAAGAGGAGTGACTGCTAGAGGGTGTGGGGGGCTTTTTTTGGGAGGGGGGTGAAGAAAATGTCCTGGAAATAGATTTAAAACTTTAAAAAAATAGTCATTTCAACATACTTCTCTACTAGGTTGTAAACTCCATAAAAGAACATGTATGTCTTACTACCTAACTTTATCCCCAGAGCTGAGCAGAAAGCCAAAAACAACTAAATTTTCAATATTACTGTTGACTGATTAGAATGAATGAATACCTTATGACAGGTCACTAATTCTAATTGATTTATTTAAAAAATGTTTCTACGCTTTAGACTTAACATTTATTTTATTTACACTATTTTCAGATGTCTACATTTATTAAATAACAAATAATGCTTTCAGGTAATTTATAAAAAAGAAAACACTGTTTTGCAGGCTTGTCTCCCCTTACTAGACCCTGGAAAACTGATAAATGCCTTTCATCTTTATATTCCCATTACCTACATCATTAATGCTTGCTGCACTGTCTGAATAGCGGCCAGATTATTTTTAGAACAGAAACATTTAAATTCATTTTCAAATTAAAATAAAGGACACCTTTCAATAAGAACTACAGGATCACCAAAATGCTAATTTTGGATTCCTCAGTAATCACTTTAGTGGTTCCTTATTTTTGAAAAACCAAAATTAAGACAAAGAGTTTATACAGGGAAAGTTTAACTTTTCTTGGTTCCTCAAGTCTCCTTCTATACTGCAGAATAAAGGGTTAATCATACAAGGTAACCCTATTCTGTGGCCTCAACCTTACTCATACAAAATGTTCATTAAACATCCTTTCAAAGATCTGAGATGAATTTAGCAGTACTTTTCCATTTACAACTTTGGGGGAATGCTTATGAATTGCTAAAAATAATGTTCATCAATTTTAACAAACCCTTGTAGTTTAGAAAAAAGTAATTTATGCCCTGCAGTCCTTGCCGTTTGTCTCCAAGATAAAAATGTGAAAAATGACTGTGTGTAATAGCATCTTTATCAAAATAAAATTTTAATTCAAAATAACTCAGTACACTTAAATCTTTTCTTTAAAATAAAAACTTCTGGCTCAATGCACAGTAAGAAGAGCTGCCTACATTTGGTAATCACAAACTGTCATCTGCCATAGCTAAAAATAGTGTCAGCCTGCATTGTGCATGCCTTACGTGCAGAAGTCATCCAATTACATTTTGCCTCAAATCAAATTCTTACATTCTTCTTTGAACAGCCCGAAGTCAGGTTTCAATTTTAAAAAGCTTTTGTCTGGGAAGGCGGGGCAGTGGGGAGTTAAACTGGCTGTTCCTAAAAATACTAGGACAGGGAATGGCTGGCAGAAAAATACCTACTTTTGAAGCAAAAGCAAATATTAAGTTCTCTTTAATAATGCCAGGTGAGGAATGAGAATGGCAGTTAAATAGGAAATAAACAAATGAATATATAAATATTAGAACGGTATTAAAATTTCAGTTGTTTTTCACAACCATGTTTATAATAATAAGTAATTATATATTTATTAAGAATCACAACCCTTAATCAAATTCTTCCCAAATGCCAGGAAAAGTAATTAGAATTCAGAATTGAACATTTAGTACTACGTAATAGTAAGCTTTTGTCTCAACACAGTAAGCATTCACCTGTCAAAAAACTGACAGGCGAAGGTCCACAAAAAGGATCTGTGCAGAGTTTAGCTCTCTTCACAAAGACATTAAGAGGACCTTAAGTCCTATTTCTTTTGAGTCCTATTTCTTCCTTCAGGTTAGTATCAATATGATCTGAGAAGATAATGTAATCTCTGTTTCCCTGTGTGTAAAATTAGAAAAATAATACCCACCCCTAAGAAATTATTTGAAGCTGAATTGAAATTTCACATATGGAAATGCTTGGTAAACTGAACACACTGGTACTAAAGCTCAAGAGATAAGGTCAAGAAAGGCAATCAAATATTATATGTAATGCTTAGCTAAGCCCTGATTTTTTAAAAAAGGTGAATTCAACTTTCTCTGAAAGTATATGTAAAGAGGTTTCAATTAGCAAGTCTCAGCCTGATGGGTACCTGTTACTGCTACAAAAGTATCTCAACCAAATACCTGGCAAGCCAGCATCTGTCTTGGCTATCTCCTCTTCCTTTAACTAGAGTTTTTAAACAGATACGTGCAAAATTTCAGGTCCTTGTCTCTTCCACTAAATCTTTCCTGTCTTACTTTGATAACGTTACAGTGCTTTGGCGAATTTGAACCACCACACCTAAGAAAATAACACTTTACATGACAAACAAATAGCACTAATAAACAATCAGCAAAATTTCTATACTTCCCCTTTCTACAATAATTTTGTAATCTCCCAGTCTGAGCAAGGCACTGTGCTGAGTACATTGTATACATTACCTCGAATCCATAACAACTCTAAAAAGTATTATCTGCATTACATATGTGATGCAAATGTATTTGTACATTTGTAATGTAAACATATTGTTAAATAAATTGTGTAGGGTTACAAACTGAAATTCAAGTCTGACCATGAAGGTCTCACTCTATTATACCTTTTGTATTTAAAAGACTATATTAATACTCAAGTTTCTTTTTATGCTACTTGAGAATACCAAATGCTATTTCTACCTTAGTTTAAATAATTGAGACAGGAGACACAATTTACTAACACTACGAGTAGAGTTATAGGTGAGACCAATAAATTTCATTAAGAGATTCAATAATAGGAATAAACCATGTTTTGTTTAAATTGTTTTCTAGAAGCAATCTGAATTGTTCTCACCTTAAAAATAAATTTATACTATAAATAACAATCTATGTAATTACATATGAACTATAAAAATAGATAAAAAAGACATTGGTGAATTTAAGAATGATATTAAAATTTTTAAATAAGCAATAAACTTGACAAACACAGCATATAAAGCAACGAAAATACCATTTCTAGAAAATCTCCAGGAAACAGAAGCCAAACATAAAGATGTGAAGTTAAGTCAATGTTTACTATTCATTTTATTAAAAAACCAATCCTACACCCAGGATAGAACCTTATTATTATTACTGAGAACAAACGGCCTTTACAATTAAAATCGTTGTAAACACCGAGTGTGTTTTCACACACATACTCCTTTCCCCACATAACATGAACTAAAAGATGGTTTGTGATTTAAAAAATATGCGTCTCTAGCTCTCTAGTAACCAACACTATTTGAGGAGTACAAGATTCTCTTACCCAAGTTTAGTATTGTTAAATGGTCCCTGCAGTTATGAAGTTGCATAGGAAAGAAAATTTTCATAAATAAGAAAACATCCACTAAGTAATCTTCAAAATTAATCCAAGCTCATAAATATCCCTTACTGTTTAAATTCACCATCCAGCCTCACTCATTACCTAAATGTCTTGTCAGATAAAACCACCCAAATCAACAGTGCAAAATTGCAAATCTTCCTATTAACATGAAATTCCACAAAGTTAATGTTGTGAGTGATGCTGGAGAATTGCTCCAAAAAACACTGACAGTCCAACAGGCACTTCAAAACGGAGCCTCTCACTTCAAAAGATTAGGAAGAGCCCCCAGGAAAGTACATTTTTAAACCACTGAACATTTTTTGTAAAGGGACATTATATATGACCCACTGTGAAATTCAACCATAAAGCAAAAGAAGCCATTTTGTGCTAGTATACAATTTTGTGGCAAAAATTACATTCCCCTAAATCCCAAAAACCTGATTCATCCTCTATGTATTCTAAAACCTTATGCACGGCTGTGATTATAAACTAAATTATGTTAAGAATGAACTAAAATAAATTTATTTTCATAGTTATTGGTTTTTATGTGCCAAGATAAAGTCAATCAAATCTTATTTTATTTATTTATTTATTTATTTATTTAAGACAGTGTCTCCCTCTGTCACCCAGGCTGGAGCAGAGTGGCATCATCATAGCTCACTGCAGCCTCGACCTCCTGGGCTCAAGCAATCCTGCCACCTCAGCCTCCCAAGTAGCTGGGACCATAGGCGTGCACCACCACACCAAGCTAATTTTTTAAAATTTTGTAGAGGCAGGGCCTCCCTATGTTGCCCAGACTGGTCTCAAACTCCTGGGCTCAAGCAGTCCTCCCACTGTGGCCTCCCAAAGTGCTAGGATTACAGGCGTGAGCTACAAGGCCCAGCCAGTGGTCTTTTTTTCCTATATTTCAAGTAGAAAATGCCTCAAATATGTTGCAGGAACATAAAAACTACCTATGGCTGTTTGCCATCTTCTAAGGATAACACGAATTTCTCTAAGAGAAAAGTGAAGTTCAATAACACCATACATGCTTCATTTATAATTAAATTCACCAGTTTACTTCATTAGTTCATGTGGTTTTCAATATTTCCCTTAATCCTACACTCTTTCCAGCTTTACTAGGAGAAAACAAGCAAAAAAGGGCAGAAAACAGTTCTAATTTTGCACTCCTAGTTTTCCTAAACCATGATAATTTTCTCTTTACAGAATAATCCTACCTTTAATTTCATTTTCTCTAAGGTAAAGCTAAATATCTTCTCTTTAAGTATGTTGGATATACATGACTCTCCCTACCTGCACTCACTTTAACGATTTTTCAATTGTAAAGAATGTTAAAATGAGAACTTCTCCTATGACAAGTCTGTATTTCTGATACATGTTGATAAGCATGTGGTTATTAAGTTACTAGAATTGATCAAGACCTGCATAAATAGAAACCTAAAATTAGAAAATAAACTGGTTCAATGTATAATTTACTATAGTTTAAATTTTCCTTCTTGTTGGCCCATCTAAAGCTTAAAATAAGTAGGCACCAAGTCTTAGAAACCTGAGGTTACTGCTCAAAACCCTATTTTCTACTAACAAAAACTAAATGGAAAACATACTGTCCCGTAACTCTAGAAACTTGAAGCTTAATATACTGGAGTTGGGGGAGGGGAAGAGCTCAAAGCAAATTACTAGTTCAAAACACAGAATGAACCTCACTAGTAAGTAAATCAGTTATATTTCTTCTTCCATAACCTTATATAACTGTTGTACACACAATATAAATGTTCATCGAATCAATGAACAGTACAAATAATCATTAATATTTGATAATTTGGTAATTTTTCAGTTTTTAAATTGCTTTGAGCTTCATAAGAAAATGTTATATAGAATATGGTAGTGATATAGTATTTGAAGAAAGACGACACAAAATATTTTAGTGTCTATAATACGTCCAATGCCTAAGGGGCAGCTGAATCAAACAAACTTGAAAGCCATGAAGCAGATTAAAAAAAATACACACACACTCAGTAATATGTCAGCCTTATTCATGATAGAGCAGATAAATAAGTATAAATGTGGTGTCAGATCACTGCTCCAAGGATGCAAAGAAAAGTATTGCCTAAATTAAACATCATCCCTTAGCCCAAATTCTAGCAAGAGATGGGACCAAGTGAATACAGTCAGCCCTCTATGTCTGCAGGTTCCACATCTGCGGATTCAACTAACTGTGGATGGAAAAATGTAGCTAGACCTATGATGACTGCATCTGTAACTAAGCAAGTACAGACTTTTTTCCTGTCATTATTCCCTGAACAATATAACAACTACCTACATTGTAAAAAGTAACTCAGAGATGATCTCAACAAGATGTGCGTAGGTTTTACGAAAATACTGCACCATTTTATATAAGAGACGTGGGCATCTGTGGATTTTGGTATCCATGGTGTAGGGGGACGCGGGGTGGAGGGCTGGAAATAATCTCCTGCAGATACTGAGATGGCTGTACATAAAAAGGGAACTTAGGGGACAACCGGAGAACAAATTTAAGAATTCTATTCTCTGCCTAGATATTCTGCCTACATCCCAGCATGTAATCCAATCCTGAAAGATGAAAAGAAATTATTCTCCTGGCCCAGAGAACTCCCACTAGGTTTAACCTTTTGACAATACCTGTACTAAATGACTAACCACACCTACCTTCTTCCATGATTAGTGTGACAGACAACTGCCTGCCTTTTTTATTGCAGTGAGGACAATACGAAAGAAGTATACGACATTCAATAACATGCCACAAGTAGACTATGCACAAATAAAATATCAAAACATGGGCCGTTTTAGCTTATATACTTTTCAATCTTTGGTTATTCAAGTGCAAATATAAATTATAAAATAAAAACAAAGGCTTCATGCCACCATGGACCTGTGGCATGGTCCTGTGTGGGCCTGACAAATATTTAAATCTCTCGTTTTCTTGGTTTCCTTGTCAGTAAAACAGGAAAGTTGGAATAAATGATTAACAGAATGCCTTATCTGCAGGAATACTCTAAAAATTCTGAATCTACAGAAGTTCCTTCAGTTGCTGAATTGTTCCTTTAAGAAGGGGAAAAGTGGGGGAATCCTTTTTCTAATTGCTCCCACTTGAAATCATATTTTAAAATTTTCCAAAAATTTATGTGGGTTTAAGGCCAGAAGTAAACCTGGCTGAACAATGGAGTTCTCAGCCTTTTCCTTCATTGACAAGCTGCACCAAGTCAATCAGAAGACCCAGTGATGAAGCCATCACTGTTTTTGGCCTTCAAAAAAATTTGGAGGCTGGAAAAAGAGCCAAGATATTTATGTATAAATAATTGTAATAGAAAGTACAAAATGAAACCCCTCATGCCCTTCCCTTAGGGGGGAAAAAAAAGTACAAAATGAAAACCGAGAGATGGGAGTGAGGAACACTGAACTACCTCCCCAGGGAGGCTTAGTGAACACCTCAAGGAGAACCGGGCCTTTGATAAGGACTACTTCAGCAAAATGAAATGGGAAGAAAGGGCCTTCAAGGTGGAGAGAAAAACACAAGCAAAGGCAAAGAACAGGTATGTTTAGAAAACGAGTCCTTCAGTGTGGCTAGCGACAGGGAGTAATGACAGACGAAATTATAAAGGTTGGGGCTAGGCCATGGAATGCCTTTCAAACATCCAGGATAGACAGAAGAAACTTCATTTGAAAAGTAAGTAAAGGAAAATCCCTTAAGTGCCATGATTAGAGTTGCACTTTGGAAGAGTAATTTTAATTTCGCTGTGACACACATAATTTAGTGGAAAGATCAGTTAGGGGCCCTGGTAAGGATGAGGAGTACACAGACTTGGGTAAATAAAATAGAAAGGCTATTTCCACCATTGCTCCCACTGCTTACACATCTTACAATATAAAGCTGGTTCTTATCAAGTAATTTAATGAGTTAACACTGACGAAATAGCTATCTTAGAGTAAAAACTGTAAGAAAGGAATACATACTATTTAACCTTAGCCACAGATCCATGATAGACACTCACATTCACTGATGAAAATAACAATTTGTACAATCTTTCTGGAAAGCAGTTTTGTAAAAGGCGCCCAAAGCCTAAATAACATAACCCAGAAATTTGGAAATAATCACAAATAGAAACAAAGACTTATGTTCAGTTATAATCATTTTAGCATTGTTTTTACAGGTTGAGTATTACTGTAATATG
The DNA here is from genome assembly GCF_000001405.40 of Homo sapiens. Taxonomy (NCBI): domain Eukaryota; kingdom Metazoa; phylum Chordata; class Mammalia; order Primates; family Hominidae; genus Homo; species Homo sapiens. Next base: position 55,005,682 of record NC_000002.12, read on the forward strand.
TGGGACTAGAATATGTTGGAATATTTGGAAATATTTTGGAATACTTGCATATACGTAATGAGGTATCTTGGGAGTGAGGCCCAAGTCTAAACATGAAATTCATTCTGTTTCATCTACATGTTATACCCATAGGCTGGAAGTAATTTTATGCAATATTTTACATAATTCTGTGCATGAAACAAAGATTGTGTTAAGTATTTATGTGTGGAATTTTCTACTTGTGGTATCACATCAGCGCTCAAAATGTTTCAGACTTTGGAGCATTTTGGCTTTTAGATTTTCAGATTAGGGATGTTCAACCTGTACTTGCAAACTTTAGCAATAACCTGATTTAACTAGATGGAATTAAAATATTGTAGTCATTAAAATAGCGTACAGTATTTAAAAAATAAATACTTAATGGAGGAAAAAGACTACAGAATAAAATATACCACAAAACCCTCCCAACACACATTACCCTGTTAAAAAGATACCCCAAAACTATTCTCTATGCGATGTGAGTTTTACTCTTCTACTTACCTTCTAAATTCTCTATAACACATACCTATGTAGTGCTGCACTACTAACCCAAGATCTAGAAAATGTATCTAATGAATGCCTAAATATTCGGTTTTAACAAAGTTTAGAACTGAAAGGAGAGTCGTTCCAATCAGTAGGCCCCATAATTAATTAATGCCAAAGTTCCCTTGTTGGGCATTTTTTGGCCTTCCCGAGTAAGGCATTTCAAACAGCAAGACCCCTGCTACTCTCTACCAAAATGTCAGTATGAGCTTTATTCAAGGCTTTCAAAAAATGAAAGTAGCTTATCATAAGTAAAGATCAGAGAGCCCTAAAAGAATCTCTACACGGAAGTATGCTGCAGAAATGGTCCAAAACTAGTTTGTCTTGAGATATAATTATATTGAGTTTTAATGCTAGGAACATTTCTTTCCCTATCCTACAGAAACTTCTCTCAAAGATTACCTCTGGCACATTAACTGACAAATCCAAAGAGTACTGTAACAATAAAGAACAGTGTTGCACCTACTTTTAAAATTTAACAAGATTCACATCCATTTCTCACTCATATTAACCAGCTTCTCTAAGTATTTAATTGCCCATTCCTTCTTGAAAATTCTTTCCCCCCTTAGTATCAGTTACACTATCCTGCTTCTTTTACTGCTCTAGAACCTCCTCATTTTCCCTAAAGCCGCAGACCTCCATAACGCAGGTTTTAGGCTTTTCTTTCTTAATAGTTCTTTCAGTGCAAATCTCCTCACATAGTATTCACCTGCCTCACTCTGCATTTGACTCCCAATTCTTTATCATTAAACCTGTCATTTATCTGAGCTTCCGAGATGTTCTATCATCACTTCAAATTCAAAGCGTCTGAAACTCAACTTGGCATCTTTTCTATTTTAGCTCTATTTCTACTAATACTAAAGGACTGTCATTGCCAATATTTCACTCTAATTCAAACTTCATGTTGCCCCTTGAGTCTTTACACCTCATCCTTGTCCTGCAAATCTATACCAAATGCCAAGTATTCCTTCCTTGAATTTCTCAAATCTGCCGCTTCTTCTTCCTTCCTATTTCAGGCCAAATTCAAGCCTATCTACTTTAAATCTGGGCACAACTACAGTCATCCTAACTGGTGTGGCTATAGGTTATTCTCCCCCAGTTGATCTTATGCAGCACCCTAAACCAACTGCTATCATTTACCATTCCCTACTTTAAAACTTCCAAATCCTTTTTATTTCTTTTACAATCAAATCCAAAACTCAATGTCTTCTGCGGTCTGGCCCAGGGTATCTCTTCCATAAAACCAGAGAACCTCTCAACTGGAACCCTGGGCAGCACGCAAATGAGGAAATTAAAACCAAAAAGGTAAGTTTCTTATTCTAGCCAAAATCAAAATATACCAGAACCAAGGCTTAAACCCTAGATCACTGTTTCCCGAATTTGCCCAACAATATGAATTACACCAGGATGCTTAATATGCAGATTGCCAGGCCCTACAAAATCTGATTTGGTAGGTCACGACCCAAGGAATCTGCATTTTTAAGAAGCACTAGATGATTCTCATCTACAGAGAAGTATGAGGAAACCTAATCTAGTTCATCTAAATTTTCTACATTCCTTGACCACACCAATCTTATCTTTCAACTCCTGTCCTAAATATTCTGTTCTACCCAGAAAGTTATTTACTGTCTCAACTATAGCTTTTTAGTGGTTATATCATTCTCCTACCCCATCCAAATCCCTAGGCCTACCCATTCCTTCCTATTTTAAGCTCCTAAAAATCTTTTGACTACCTTAATCAAAATTTTCCATATAACCCCAGTAATCGAATACTATGTAAATGTCATTTGTCATAAGTATCCTAAACAGAAAATATGAAGAATATATAAAAGAATGCAAATTATTAATGCTTTCAGCCTGAAAGATCGAGTATCTTAAATACCAGTTAATCGGCAAGCAAACACACACACACACACACACACACACACACACACCACCTTTTAAAGAACACTGAAATCAGAGCATCTCTCAAATCTGTCACTATGCTATACTGGTGGTCAGGGGGAGAATGCAGTAGAAAAATGCCTAAGTATATTTTTTAAATTTACCTAGACCCTAGATTAGGCTCCTTCTCTGCTGTCAAACTATTTTTTTTTTAGATGAGGAAAAACTCATTCCATGACAGCTTCCAACTTCTCAGTGATTTCCAACTTAAACCTTACTCTGTAATCTTAAATATTACTCTGTAATAATAAAATTGTCTGCTGATAGAGAAAATACTAAAATATAATTTAACCACTGACTCAGAAAAACAGGCAAAGTTAATCTTACCGACCAAAACAGCCAGACAGGTACTAAAAAATATTAGGCCATTCCACTTACAAAGTGAGGCTCCCCAGAGATATTCAGGAGTAAATTCAATTTTACATTTGAGTACCTAAAAATAATCAAACAAATCTCTGGAAAAAATATGAACTACATTGGAACTTAATTTCTCCTGTCTCATAATACCTTTAAATTACTTCAACAAATAAAGAACTTAAGATGTTATTTAATGATTTAAGACTTAAGTTATTAATAAAGAACCTTAATAGTTGCAGAATGAGCCCTGATACGACTTTTCACCTACTTTTAAGGCCTGTATTTATTGTATTATTATCATTTGTATCATTTTCACTTAGCAAAAGCTACCATATATCAATTCATCAATCTGTAACGTCAACGGCTAACAGGATGAAGAAATAAAAATCCTTCTCTTTAAATTCACATGTAAAGAAATCCTAAAGGCAAAACCCAAAGCTGTATTGTTTTCTATTATTTTTTAAGTTGCAACCATAAAATCTTACCAATGTCTCAATATGGTCTCAATCTTAAATTCACCTTTTCCCCACATCTTTATTGAACAAATTTTTAAAAAGACATTGTAAAAGTTACTGTAATTAGCTCTACATACTTTTAGAAATATTGTTGCCAATCCTGCTAGAAGGAAATAATTTTTTTTAATTATAAAACTTGAATGTAGCCAGGAAAAAAATTGCTTACGTAGAATGTCTATTTTGGACTACTTAAAAATAGCTCTAATAATTTAAAGGTAATTTATTATAAGTGGTCAGATATACAGCCTACCACTTTCTTTTAAAGAAAAAAAGGTAGATTTAACCATCTACATAATAAAATATTCTTTAAATATTCTAGTCAACATTTTACCATTTACAGGCTTAAATTCTTACACAATGATCCACTGAGATTTGAAAGGATCTGGGCTTTCAAGGGGGAGGAAAAGGGATCAAAATCACTGATTGGTTATTACAAGGACAAAGGTTAGTGACTTAAATATAGACATGCATTTAAAATTACTGCGTAATTATACTGTGTAATTTGAATGATTTCAAGATGCACATAATCTGATTAAAAGAAAGTTGGTAATAATTTTAAAGGTTCAAATCAGATTTTCAAAGAAGAGGCTTACTGCAAACACAATATCTTGCTACCTACAAACCTTTGCACAGAATTTCAACTACACCAAGTAAGGTTTTTTAAAATAGTCACGGAAAATATGTCACTGTGAAACACAAAAACAGCAATGTGTATTTACCACATCCAAGTGACGAACAAATGAAATCTGTTAGATCTATATTGTTTACAATGTGCAAGATTAGAGAACAGAACCTAAACGGCAGGACTGAAAAGACTAAACCGAATGCCAGTGAAACAGAACAGCATGACATTTTCTGGTATACAACCAAATGTAAAAACACGTGAGATAGCCGTTTTAATCCTTTAGACTTCAACTCTTCAGAGGTTTCACTTTCAATCCAAAATATCTAAATTCCAAAGCTTATTCATAGAAATATATTAGTGGTCACATATAAAAACTGAATAAGAAATTAAAAAGCAGATATACCCTTGTCCTTCCAATTTTTCTTCTGACCGTCCATCTCTTGTCACGATCTGCTTTGCAGCTCCAATTATTAATTATGCATACCAACAGAAAAGCTGTAACTGCACAAACCTACTCCCTGAGACATGAAATACCCGTTTCCTCAACCGAAGTCTGCAGTCTCCTCTGCTGCACAACTGCAGCAGGACTGAAGTCACCTGACGTCTTCTGGGTGTGGAACAGTCTGACGCAGTGCAATCTGTAACTAGGCTACTAATACTCCAGCATTAATGCTTTCCTTCTATCTGTTGATTGTTTTAGGCATTTGCCTTGTTGCTCATACCAAATGGAGCTGCATTTGCAGGGAGAGGGCAGGCTACCAAAAGAAAGGAAATAAGGGTTGTTCTTAGAACTAACCACTGAATGTATCTGAAATGCAATTAAAGCCATATGCAGTTTTTTTTTCTTTCTTTTTTTAACAGATGGTCGAATTATGCTACTGGTTTTCAGTTTCATTTAAAACTCTAAAATTAATGGTTACCTAATAAGATAAAAATGGACTGATCAAATATTAATAGCCTAAATTTCAAGCTTGTGAAATGATGAGTCTCCTTAATTGCTCCTAAGTTCATTAAGACGTAAAACATTCAGCATTTTGCACCTTATGAAGAGATAAACAGAAAATAAAAGTCAAATTACTAATGTTTATTGAACATATTATTTGAACAGAAAACTTTAGCAACTTAATCTTCCTAATATCTTTTTTCCTCTTTTACAATTATGGAAATCCAGAGACTTACAAACATACACTTACTCTTAATCATCATCTGCTCCAACTCAATCTTTGAATATTTATTAGACACCTCTACAGACAGTATTAATAGATTCTTAGCTTGGGGAGATATATTCATGGGCTAATGATATAATCTGCCATGGGAAAATGACATAAAAGCAAACTATAATTTTATTTTATTTTTTATTTTTTTCTGACACAGGGTCTCGCTCTGTCACCAAGGCTGGAGTGCAGTGGTGCAATCATTGGTCACATGGCAACCTCAACCTCCCAGGCTCAAGAGATCCTCCCATCTCAGTCACCACAGGCATGTGCCACCATGCCCAGTTAATTTTTTATTTTTACACTTTTTTTAGAGATGAGGTCTCCCTGTGTTGTCCAAGCTGGTCACAAACTCCTGGGCTCAAGCAATTCTCCCACCTCAGCCTCCTAAAGTGCGGGGATTACAGGTATGAGCCACCACACCTGGCCTAAAATTTTACTGAAAAATATAAAAACAAATCTATGTACAGCATTTTTAAAATCTGTGTTCAACTTTATAAAACTGATTTTCATTCCAATGCAGTGTCTCTACTTATGTTCCACAATCAATTCACCTGATACTTATATCTGCCTAAGCAGAAAAGGCACTAACAAATCAGCTAAAATATTTTAAAATGCAATTTGCGAAAATACTATAAGATACGTAGCCTATGTACAAAAATACATACTTAAGACTGTATAGCTAAAATGAAATAGAGATAATATTTTCTGGAACCTGCTATCTGTGGGCTGCAAAATCCTTAATATCAGAAGTGGCTTGATATTAATATATACTCCTATTATGTACCCAAAAAAACTAAAAACAAAACATGTAAGACTTAAACATAGAAAGAACTAAAATTAGGAAAATGAGAGGGGAAAAAGGAAGTGGCTTGAATATCAATGACACATTTATTTCCCTATCTGCCTCTCTAACTCCAAACATAAATAAAGAAAAGTAATTTTTAAAAGAGCCCAGTATTCTCAGCTCGAGTTAATATTTAACTTTAAACTTTATTCACTGAACCCCTGCATAATGTGATATTTGAGAACCCGGTCAGCAAGCCATATCATGGCCTGAAAATGTCTGGCCTCTCCACGCAACATTCAGAATCTCAAACTATTTAGTAAATACAAAATACTGACTTTCTAATAACAAGTCCCTTAAAACTGAAAGCCAATAAATAACGAGCATTAGAATAAAACACTCAACTATAGTACTCAAACACTATTTTCAAGTCAGAGATTACTTCACTAGTAGAAGAAAAAAGTTTTACTGTGATCAAGTTACTCGGCACTTAAGACTACTTGTATCTTCCGTGGTACTTGATTTGGCTTAACAATTAAAGAAAAAAGTCTGAGAGGGGCAAGAATGTGTAATAAGACATACCCACTCATCTAAACATTAAACATACTTAATAGCACCCCTGACAGATTAAAAAGTCAAAATAGGAGCCCTGAAGTTTAGTAAACATTTCAGCCTACATAGTGACATCTACTTCTTTAATTTTTATGGTCTTTGTAAGTGTACAAGGAAAACTAGCTTGTGGAAATCAACTGACATTTTGCCCAGTTCTTTCTCACAAAGTTTTTCAACTAGACTTGTTTTAAGTTTGGCAAGTTAAGCAAAAAAGTGCTTAAATCTGAAAAACTGATATGACACAAATTTGTTAAAGATGTAAAGCCAGATGGGCTATGTTTATTATGAAAATCATATAATCTCTACTAAAAATAGAAGGCTTTAGGACATTGCCTGACAAAAAGTAGGCACTATGTAAGTGCTATTTACTTATCAGTATGCTAAAAATAACAATCAAACTAAGAAGCAACAAGACAAGTAAGGCACATCTAAGAAAGCTCATATATTAAGTCCTTCAACTCTAGGCAATAACCCAATCTTTCTAAACAGAATTGCCCCCTCTCATACACAAACTATTGTCGTTGCTGTATAGTTCTATTATTTTCCAGCTGAGAAAAATGTACATCTGCATAGTTTATAGGTCCTATTCCACAATGAACCCCAACTTAACAAGTCAAATAAAGAAAGGACATAAATCTGTTAAAAACTTATCTTCATTTATTTTGTTTTCCTTCAACTACCTAACTTTTAAAAAAATTAATTCTTTTGAGGACAATTTTCAAGTAGAGCACATGTCTCAACTTGCAGAATGGCATTTTGACTATTTGAGACAGGAACCTCTTTTCCCATAAAAGCAAAGGCTCACAAAGGAGAGGCCACAGAAAACTCCTTTATTTATACTGCAAGCCAATAAAAGTGTTGTATGAATTCTAAGCCCTATTTCATATTGTGTGTTTGTGGAGGGGAGAAGAGGGGAAAAGTATTCTCCTTTTCCTGAACTCAAAATCAGCTTTATACAGAACTTTTGAAATAAACTGTTCAAAGTTCATATTTGGCAATTTCCCACTCCTCAATGTCCATGTCCCCAGTATCCCCTTCTCCCAAGCATGACAAAAAAATCAAAGATGAAAACTTGCCCAAATACATATCCATAATGTCTTTCCTTTGCATCTTATGAAGGGATAAGCTCTAAAGGGTAATATGCTGTAAAATTACCTACACGGTTTCTTTTCTCACATCTCAGACCAAACCCTCGTTTCCTTCATGCACTTACCTGTTAAGTAGGAAATACGCATAAATCAATTCCTACTAAACAAGAAACTCTTTTATGACCTCAGAAACTGTGTGTATGTTTTTTGGTGGGTTTTTTTTTGGGGGGGGGGGAGGGTGTAGGGGGGGTGGTATCTAACTGGCAAGATTTCAGACAGTAGAAAGTTATATTTTAGATTTTAGAACAGGCAGCACTAGGCAAGGTGTTAAGTCCACCCCAGCCAGCTCTTATTCTAAGACATTCTTCCTTTTCCATTTCTTTCTTTCCTCTACTTCTGCACCCAGGAAAAACTCAGGTTTTTGTTTTGCTTCGTTTTTCTTTACAACATTTAGAGATGCAAGGGAAAGAGGGTGGGAAAGCAGCAATCATTTGGATTGAAAATGCTACTCTGAAAGTTAGAGACTGCTTATGTACACTGCTCTTGAGAGCTAAAATAATTTATACTTTCCAGCCACAGAAAATAGGCATGTTTTTTAAAAAATAAGAAACAATTATAGCTACACAGTAGTTTTAAGCTTATTTCAAAATTTAACTATTCTGAGCTACACAAAGGTATGAAATTAACATGTTTCAATACTGAAAGGAGTTAATTTTTAAAACCCTACCATATGCTGTAATATAATGCCCTCTATGGACTAAATTACAGCACTTCAACATTACTGAATTAAATCTTAAGAACTGGAAAAAGATTTTAGTCTAGAAAATGAATGACAGTACAAGTTAAAATAGCAAAACAACGAGCATTTTAAAGTCTATAAAAAATTTAACATAAGGTACCAAAAATGAATACTAAAATTCATAAACTGAAAGTGACACTATTTATGAAAACTAATATGCTAACTTCTTACATTATAATCTAAAACATACAAATATTCTTAAACACCCAAAGCATTTTTAAAAATTTTTTATATAAAAATATGAAACACTTCACAAATTCTATGCGTCATTCTTGTGCAGGGGCTATGCTAATCTTCTCTGTATAATTCCAATTTTAGTATGTGCTGCTGAAGCAAGCATTTTTTTTTTTTTGGAGACAGAGTCTCGCTCTGTCACCAGGCTGGAATGCAGTGGCACGATCTTGGCTCACTGCAACCTCCACCTCCCGGGTTCAAGTGATTCTCCTGCCTAGCCTCCCAAGTGGCTGGGACTACAGGTGCGTGCCACCAAGCCCAGCTAATTTTTGTATTTTTAGTAGAGACGAGGATTCACCATGTTGGCCAGGATGGTCTGGATCTCCTGACCTCGTGATCTGCCCGCCTTAGCCTCCCAAAGTGCTGGGATTACAGACGTGAGCCACTGCACCTGGCCTCAAGCACGCATTTTTAAATTCTGAATTCAAGAATTAATAGTCACTAGGCCCTAAACAGATCTTCTTAAACTTTAATGTCTTCATTTAAGTATCCAGGTTTGGGGGGAATCTTTAAGGTCATTTCATAATGTTTATAGTAGTATGATTAAAGCATTTGTTTGATTTGGTACAAGATGTCAATATTCAAAATTGTTTATAAAAATTTTAAACTCATCTGTTAGTGCAAAACGATATTCACAGCTCGCTAAATTTCTCTGTCCAACTGAATTTATTCCACATAGTCAATTATAGATCATTCCACAGACTTGATCTTCCATCTGCAACACTAGATGGCACCAACACCCGTAGTCTACAGTTGATTGCCCAGTTCATGGAAGGCAATCTGGCAAACATTAACTTTCTGGCTTTTCCACAAGATTGCTGCCTGGCCCTAGGCAGCTAGATCAGAGTATGGGAATAGGAAAACAACTCTAACACCAAAAAAATACGTGGGGCAAAATAATCCCTAATCGGAATCCAAAATCAATTTTAAATAGATCAGAACTAAGTGTAAAATTAAAACTATAAGTAAATAAAAAATATATTTTCCTTTGTGAAAACTGAAAATGTCCACTGAAATGTAAACTAAAAATCTTTTAGAAAACTGAGGGAAAACTATAACACAAGAGTTTACATCCTTTATATGTAAAGAACTCTCATAAAATCAGGGAAAAAAATGAACACCTACATTTAAAAATGGGCAAAGAGTATGAACAAGCAAAAATCACAGAAGAAATACAAACTGCCAACATGTTCACATTCACTAATAATCAAAGATCAAAAAAGCAAGTACTACTTGCACCTATCAAACTGGTAAAGGGCTTTTAAAAAATACCTAGTACAGAATGTCCAGAAGAATATTTAAGGAACGAGTCATAGTAGATAACTCTAGGAAACAGCACTAGGCAGCTGGACAACAGAGAGAGAGGAAGAAGTGTGACTGTCACTGTACTTTCTGCATTTTGTATAATGTAAAAATATTATCTATCAAAAAATAAGCAATATGAATTGTTGGTGAAAGTAGAGAAATGGGTGTTTTCTTCTTCTGATAAAAGGGTAAAAATTAGTACAACTTTTCTGGTGGCCAATTTTTATACAAACCCTTATAAATGCTCATACCCACTAACCTAGGTTTTTATTTCAAATTGATTTATGGAAAATAATTCAGGGATATGTAAGACATATTTAAATATAAAGAGGTTAATAGCATTATTTATCAATAACAAAGGAACAATCTAAGGGTCCAACAATAGCAAAGTGACTGGTTAAACTATACCCATACTAAGGAACACTAAGTACAAAAAATCAGCAGCAAAATATTTAAAGACATGGAAATGTTTGCATTATATAAGACATTACTAAAGTTTTTAAAAGCTTATAAACAATATATAGAGTATGATTCCAATTTCATAAAACACTATTACATTCTTAAAAATACACATATGCGGCCAGGTGCGCTGGTTCATGCCTTTAATCCCAGCACTTTGGGAGGCCAAGGTGGGCAGATCACTTAAGGTCAGGAGTTCTGGACCAGCTTAGCCAACATGGTGAAACCCTGTCTCTACTAAAAATACAAAAATTAGCCAGGCACGGTGGCCCACACCTGTAATCCCAGCTACTCGGGAGGCTGAGGCACGAGAATCGCTTGAACCCAGGAGGCAGAGGTTGCAGTGAGTGGAGATCCCGCCACTGCTACTCCAGCCTGAGTGACAGAGCGAGACTATGTCTCAAACAAAAACAAAAACAAAACACATGTGCATTGAAAGTAGACTAGAATAATATATTCTAAAATATTAAACATTGATTATGTCTGGGTAATATGATTATAATTTTTTTCATCTCAATGCTTTTCTACATTTTTCAAATTTGTACAATGAGCGTGTATTGTATGTCAGACTGCTTCATAAACTGTTGCTCTAACTTCACTGATAGTTATCAAGTCCTTAGAAAAAATCCTTATTACTAAAATATTGAAGCTCAAGTAGATTAAAACATTTGCCAAGGGTCATACAGCTAAATCAGTGAAAGGGTCAGAATTAGAACTCAGGTCTGTAAAATGCCTAAAATTAAGTTATTTAACCACATTATATTTAGCAGGTATCTCTTTTTTATGGTACATATTTATTTTCAATCTGTATTGGGCCCACAGTAAGCACTAAATAAATCCTCACTAATTTAACAATGTCACTTTTTAAAAAGTAAATATAATCGTTTCCTTTATTAACAAGAGTCAGGTTCTAATTTAGCTACATTGTACATCTACTGATAGCCTTCCAGTTAAGATTAACTACTTATCATAATAAAGTCCAACTTACATCAAAATTTTCCAAATATTATTTGCTCAATAAAAATATATTTTAAACAAAATATCAACTCTTAGTATCTACAGTACTTCAGTAAAAAAACTCAAAGGCTATATATACTTTTTCAGAAAAATATTTTAAGTCGTAAGAATATCAAAACAATTCTTATTCATGAACATATGTAAGTTCTTATTCATGAACATATATAAGTTTGCAAAGCTAATTTCGTACTATTTACCTAGACAAACAAGCCCTTTTAAAGTGAGTGATCATGGTAATACTACTTGGTGAATCCTGGGTATTACATAGTTTAATTATAATGAACAAATAATCAATGTATGGTCGGTTTACACTTCACTTACCAATAGTTCCAATTAGTTCAGCAAGACACAATCTATATTTCGATTACGAACTAAAAATATTCTCTGTGCATTAGTGACAAGCAACCAACAAACATATATTAAGTTATCATTAAGTCAAGATCTCAGCAGTTTGGACAGGAAACATGAGCACCTTTCTGTACCAATGGCCTACCAACATAAACAGATGATAGCAGTTGTCCAAAGTAGGGTTTTTCAGTCTCCACATACTAGCAACAGAATGTTACCCTAGTTCCAATATCCTTACATATGTGAGAAAATGTAGATGGCAACCAACTTTCTTGACATCTTAAGATGTCAAGAAATGTCTTACATTGCCTAATGGTTCAACACAACAGATATATGATAAAAGCAGTAGCACCTTGATTGCCTGCTAAAGTTAGGACAATAACTGCTTATTCCAAAACCAGGAAATAACTGTGAACGGACAAAACCTGAGTTGGAATCGCAGTTCATTCTTGTGAAACTAGGTAACAACTAATACAAATAAGAAGTTAGCCCAATGTCTGAAACACGGCAGAAGCTCAAAAACATTGTGCTTATTACATAATTTACCAGGTATCCTTGAAAAAGTTACTTAACATCCTTAGGCTTAGATTTTATCATCTATAAAATGGTTCCTTCTTTCAGATTATGGTGAAGACCTAAATGAAACAAATATGTGAGAGTGCTTGTTGGTCAGAAGATGTTCCATAAATGATAGTCTTCCCTTTCCAGATAAAATGAGAAGAATTCAGCTTTTCTCAACACTTTAAAATTCTCAGTTAAAAACCTAAAACTGGGAGAAAGAAAATCTAGAACTGAAACAAATGAAGCTAATTGTATTTCAAATGAATATCATAGCCATTAGTCAGTGGGAGAAGGACGCAGGAAAAAGAAAAAAGAACAAACTAATACAAGTAATCTGTGAATAATGTATTTGACTATATACATTCCATCTTAGGCAGGGTTGCAGAGTAGGGATTTGCAAACAATCCAGAACTCTTTTATCAAGTTTTTTTTTTATTATAGTGATATGAAAAAAGCATTCTAAAACTCTTATAGGTGTATTAAAGGACTGGATATAAATAATGTATTGGTGGTCTTAGGAACCAGGGTTCTCACTATAAAAGAAGAGACAAATATGAAATCAGGAAAGAAAGAACAAACCCTGTGAGAATGGATTAGAATTAGAGGTATCTATGTGAACTCATTTCTTAAGTATGTATGTGTATGTGTGTATGTTTATTTTTATGTATGTATATAAGCATTTCCTAGCTTTATCCACTGAAAGGGTTAAAATGGAAAGATCCCCACAGTAGCAATGACCACAACTAGCATCTAGCTCTTGATCTTTAATACCTCACTATTATGAAAATGACCTCTCATTCTACATTAAAAGGAATCAGGCATCCTTGGAGAAATGGCTGATTCCAGGGCTGGGACACGGTAAGCATAAAATAGGCCTACAATATTTTGTTAGGCTAGAAAGTAAGAAATGCTCCCCTCCCAACCCCAAAGAAAGAAGGTTGCATGTCCCTGAGCCTACCTGAAGGAACCCTCAAAATATGCAATAATTTACCACCAAAATAATAAAGTTCAGTAATGAATCATAAACCATTGGAAAGAAAATGGAAATTCACGGATCCATACTGATAATTAATTAGCTAATTAATTCATTAATGGAAATGGAGGTCTGCTGCTTAAACAGGAATGCTGAGGGTCAAATGAAAAATGTACGGGGAGTACTGGAGTTAAAATCATTTTTCAACTCTCATGGTAAAGACTGGATCAAGCAAGAATCATCAATGGTTTACTAAATTGGAGGGGCGAATTTTGATAGGGAGCAGGATATCTGCATGTGTTCAAGTGTCACTCCTCAGACTGCTTATCATCTGCAAGGGAGAAACAAAGACAATATAAGGAAATCAGAGCTCATCTTGCCCAGACGGTCAAAATTAACATAACCAGTGAGGGACTGATGAATAGCAGATAACTCTAGAAGTGGTGCTATGAGAGGGACACATCATCATCTATACAGTATCATAAATGAACCCATAGCCTCAAATTAATCACTAGGAAACATCGGACAAATCCACTAGGAGGAATGTTCTATTATAAAGTCGGGGGAAGAGAGGCCCTGTGTTCTTTAAAACTGCTAATGTCATAACAAATAAATAAAGACTGAAATGGGAAGTCCTACCCAGAGCAATTGAGCAAGAGAGAAATAAAGGATATCCAAATTAGAAAAGAGGAAGTCACATTGTCCCTGTTTGCAGATGACATGATCTTATATAAAGAAAAACCTAAAGACTACCAAAAACTTGTAAATTCTGTAAAGTTGCAGGATATAAAATCAATAACAAAAATATCGCATGTCTTTACACAAACAACAAACTAGCTGAAAAAGAAATCAAGTAGGAAACTCCATTTGCAATAGCTTAAAAAAAAATACCTCAGAATAAGTTTAACCAAGGAGGTGAAAGACTTCTACGAGGAAATCTACAAAACAATGATGAAAGAAATTGAAGAGGATACAAACAAATGCAAAGAAAGACATTCCATGTTCATGAATCATAAGAGTTAACATTGTTAAAAAATGGCCGTAATATCCAAAGCAGTCTACAGATTCAATGCAATCCCTAATAAAATACCAATGACCTTCTTCACAGGAATAGGAAAAAAAATCCTAAAATCTGTATGGAACCACAAGACTCCAAAAAGCAAAAGCAATCCTGAACAAAAATAAAGCTGGCGGAATCACACTACTAAATTTCAAAATATACTACACAGCTATAGTAACCAAAACAGCATGGTACTGGCATAAAAACAGAAACACAGACCAATGGAACAGAACAGATAACCCAGAAATTAATTAACATATCTATAGCCAATCAATTTTTGGAAAAAAAAAAATGCCAAGAACATTCATTGGGGAAATGCCAAGAACATTCATTGATACTACTACTGAGAAAAAAAATCAGTATTTACATTCCAATAGTAAGAATATAGTTTGTCACAAATTTCTTTGTAAATGGAGGGGGAGGAAGACCAGAATTCATTAGTTTCTTGACAAACTTTACTTCCCAAAATTAATAAAGCACCATCTGCATCACAATACCTTATTCATCTCTCTTGCAAAATCAATCTTTCTTCCCAAAACTAAAACTGATTTCTGCCTACAAAATGTCATTTTAAGAAAACAAGAACAGGAAAGTCCTGGAGGCTCACACCTGTAATCCCAGCACTTTGGGAGGCAGAGGCGGGAGGATCCTTGAACACAGGAGTTTGAGACCAGCCTAGGCAACAAGGCAAGACCTCCTCTCTACAAAAATAATTAGCCAGGCATAGTGACACGAGCCTTTGGTCCCAGCTACTTGGGAGGCTGAGGACCACCTGACCCTGGGAGGTTGAGGCTGCAGTGAGCCATAATCTCACCACTGCACTTCAGCCTGGGCGACACAGCAAGAACCTGTCTCGAAAAAAGAAAAGAAGAACATATGAGATAATAAATGATCTGAGGAAATTAGTATTTTATTATTTAATAGTTTAAATGTTTAAATGCATATACATTAATAAGACCCAGAATTTTTTTAAAAACACACTTAAATATTTCATAATTAGAGATGGCATAAAACTTTTAAGTCATCTGAGAAGAGAGCTTCCCTTATGTTTTATCAGACCACTGCTGTATTTTGGTACATTTGACTTCAGTACACTTGAACCTCCCTTTCACGAAGATACACAGGTAAGTACCTATCCTCACTATAACATAGATCACAATGTTTAACTATGTCCTCAACAGTGTGTCTGTACCAGCTGGCTGTAAGTTGCATAAAGCGCAAAACTTTGTCTTAGTTTCATCTTTTTCCCTGCCCCCCCCGCCAAAAAAAAATCTCATATAGTGCCTGATAGAAGCATGTTAAAGCAACTCTTACCTGCTTTTACACTTTTTTTTTTTTTTGTCTTTTTTTTCTCCCTTTTTTGTGGAGAACGGAGTCTCACTATATTGCCCAGGCAGGTCTCGAACTCCTGGGCTCAAGCTATCCTCCCACCTCTCCCTCCCTGAAAGCTGGGATTACAGGCGTAAGCCATTGTGACTGGCCACTACTTACCTGCTTTTAACAGATGCCTGTTATATAATCAAGTCAAGAAAATTATTAAGTTGCAAGGACTTGAGCTAATCCACCCTTCCTTTTATAGAAAAGGAAAATGACATCTAGAGAAACAAAGTGATTGTCAGTGGTATAGCCAAGACTAAAACCTCAGGTCACCTATATTGTTTTCATTATAGCAATACTGGGTTTCCTTCCCACAACTTTTGTAGAATATATATATTGGGTGTATCTAAATAATTCTCTATTCCCTAGTAAGTTGCTATGATAACTAATATCAAAAAAGGTTAAGTCAAAAAGGCAGGAAATAACAATTTTCTCAGAGAAGGGAGATAAACATATTCTAAAAGAGAATGCCCAAGCATTGCTTACACTTTCTTCCACCATTCCCATTAAGCTTTCAAAGGCAATGCCCCCTTTTCTTCCCTTACTTCTAAACTATTAGGCTATAGATTTCCCAGGTTTAACAAAAACAATCCAAGAAATAGGTGACTCCTGAAATACTGAAATTCCTAAGGGCCACCATCTACTAGAGGACTGCTAGCTTTAAGTTTTGGGAGGAAGCACTAGCGGGGAGGGGAGACTTCAAAGGTGTTGCTACACCGATTACTCCTTGCTCTTCACCCAGTCATCACCAAGCTGCTCTGGGCTTCTGAGACCCTTCTTTCTACTGTTCCCTCCTAAACCATTTTACTGTGCTGTTTGAAACCCCCATTCCACTGTGAACCAGCTCCTCTACTCCTCAACATCTTTACTGAACATTCCTGCCTTTACCTCGCCTTCACTAAAACCTGGCTGTTCCTTGAAGATACTGGTTTCCCTGTGGAACTTGCTAAATGAAGGCTAAATCGTTCTCTCATATTCTACACACCTAAGGGAGGAGTGGGGAGGTCAGTACCCTCTGCTCACCAATGCTGCTTCCAGACTTTTATTTCAGAGACCTTGGGCAAAAGTCTTGGCTATTCCGCTACGTCATTCTCTGTCCTTCCTCATTTCTTCTACCTACCATCCTGCCAGTTACCTCACTGCCCTTTACCAAGGACTCTAACCCCAGTATTCCTCTCCACCCCTAGTCCTGCCATCACCCTGGGTGACTTCAATGTTAGGTAGAAGTGCAATACAGTATCATGGCCTCATAGTTTACTTGACCTCACCTCTAGCAATCTTAATCTGACTACACAGTAGGCCTTTGCCTGATGGCCTAACACTGGCCATTATAATCAACCTGAACTGCTATTCCTCTGAAATTCTAAATTCAACATCCAACACACACACACACACACACACACACACACACACCCTGCTCTCCCGCACATGCATTCTTTCTCTCCCCTACTTTGACCACAATCTCCTATCATTCTGGCATGTATTTATTCCTACTACTATTGGTTCTTAAACCTAATCTGGGCCTTGAGTTCACTGACCATCTACTCTCCTCCTACCTCTCCTACCTTTTTCTATTCACATCCTTCAACTTAGATGCCACAGTCCATCACTTCAAATTACTCTCCTGCTATCACCCTCAACTTTCTTGACTTACTGTCCTTCCACAGGGCCCACCTGCCAAAACACATCCTTGAATCAATACAATCATTTGCCTTCCCTGAACCCATACCTAGGTTGTTTGGCACAATCAAAGAAAAGTCACCCTACCATTTAGACCACCTTTCAACCTTGATTAGGCTCCTAATACAATGCCTTTGGTTTCCCTAGTCAGAGGTATTGCAGATCTCTTCCACCCAAGCATGATCTACTTCATTCCCAGCAAATGAACTAACATACTGCTTTAAAGAACAAACATAAACCATCAAATAATTCCCTCAACTTTCAGTCACAAAACCCTAACAGTATCAATACCCCATACTTTCCTTTCCACTCACTACAATCAAAGCTCTATCGTTCCTTCTCTCTAACACTAATTCTTCCACCTGAACTAGGCAGCACATCCCCATCCCCTTCTGACTTTCTGCCAGCACCTGTAATCAGATTTTCCCCTTCCCACCTTAAAAAAAAAGTCCTACCTCCACTGCATACTCTCCTTCCTGCTTGCTAATATTTTAATTTTTCTCCAATAAAAATCTCAAACTTCTTAAGAGTAATCAACATTTAATAACCACTTACTCAAGTCTCATTCACTTCTCAATCCTAGCCATGCCCATGCACACCACACCATTTGCCGCTGTCATGACAATATCTTCCCTCCTTTTTGACCAACTTGCAATCCTTAACTGACCTCTCCAGTATTTGATAATTTTGACCATTTCTTCCACCTTCAAGTAGTCCTCTTCTCTTGATTCTTCCTAATTGGTATCTGGGGCTTTAATTTCTATCTCTAAGCCCATGACAGACACATACAGCCAAGATCTCTCTCAAGAGCTTCATGTGTATAATATCCATAACTTACTGGATATCTTAGAGGTATGTACATCAATACCAACATATCCAAAACCAAATTTGTATCTTCCCTCTTAAACCTACTTTAATCTCTCATGTTCCCTATCTCAGTTTCTCATACTGCCACCCATACAAGTGCACATGCCAGAAATGAAATCCAGGGTTCCTGGGGTCATCTTTACCTCTTCCCCTCATCCTTTATGTCCCTATCCGTCAAACACCAAGTCCTATGTCTCTGTGCTCATCCCACTGCCTGAATGTTCATAATCTCCTCTTTCTTAGATTACAGCAACTGGTCTACCACTGTTCCAATGGTGATGAGCTGGACTGTACTGCTGAAGCACCAGCACTTAAATACATAAGTATATTCAGTAAATTTATCATAATCACTATTTTAGAGAAAACGCAGCTAAATCAGAATGCTAATAAAGAGCACATGTGCAAATCACCTTGTGCAAATCACCTTATGCAAATCAGGTATGTGGAAAATGGATAGTCAAAAGAAAAAAAGGAGAATCGGTACTTTTCAAAAGAATTCATAATAGCATAACTCATTTTATACTTTTCAACAAAATGTCTACACTCAATATGCCTAACTTTATACCTACCACTGGAAAAGTACTATATTATATAGAAATATTTAAAACATACTATAGAAATTTTCTTTAAAAATTAAATATGGTAATTTCTGGGATAACAAAAACACATCTGAAAATATTTTAATATCTCTTGCTCTTCATGTTATCAAGAAACACAAGTGAAAAAAGAAAGAAAGAAAGAAATAGGTACTAAAGCCAATTCTTATAAACAAAAATATTTTCTATTAATAGTTCCATAGTGCAATATAAAAGTGTAACTGTGTGGAAAAGTTAAGGGTGAATGCTGAGTGCAAGAGAGTTAGAAAAAGCACTAAAACCTTTAACTGAAAAAGTGGAGAAGACTTCTTACCAATGTGACATATGAGACACTATAAACATAATATAAAACACAAAATGTAGTGGAATGTTCCCTAAATCCAAAAGTGGCATGAAAGCACAAAACTGCATATAGATTGGATTACCTGAAGTTTTACTCAGCTCTGCTGAAAATATAGCAGATGGTGATCTGTCCTCTTTTTCTGTATCGGAAGGAAGTTTTTTCTCAGCTTCTTTCACAAGAACTTTGGGTTTAACTATGCTCTCTATCTCTGCTTGAGTGGCCAAAGCAGAAACATCTGGAGGCAATAAGAGCACCTTTGATGTAGCAGACCCATTTTTAGAAAAGTCATCTGAGAAACTGATTTTCTCTTCAACTTTGGGTTGTATGTTCTTCAAAGAAAGGTCATGGGGCAATTCTGTGCAAGGCAATGACCCAGCTCCATCCGGGGCATTAGCAATTTCACTTTTGTGGGATACTTCTAGGTCAGTATATTCCCTGGCTAATTTAGAAAATGAATCAGTTTTAGAACTGATCAATGTAGGGAACTCATCTATAATTTCAATTGGAGATGAATCTGAAAACGTTTCAGTTTCTCTTATCTGTGCTTCCTTAGAAATAAATAAGTCATCATTTGAATAAACTGCAGTACTGAGCTCCTCCATCTGCAAAGGAATTTTCTCCTTTTTGCTCAATGTTGAAACTTCATCAGGTAACAGGGTATCTTTTGTGTTATCTAAACTGAGCTTAAAAGATTCCAAATATGGCTTTCCTCCCTCAGGTGGCAAAGCACTGAGTTTTTCCTTATTTTCATATTCTATCATTGACTCAAATGAAGTCTCAGTGAGACTTTCTTTCACAAGCATCACAGTTTCATCTTGTTTTTGTGGAACGTCAGGTATTGAATCATCACTAAATAAGTCAACTGGTTCAGAATCAGGTGAGGAATCTTCAACTAGCTCAGAATGATCAGGCACTGGCTGTTCAACTTTTGCCATTTCTGAATAATCAGAGAAATCCGGAGCTGGTTCAGCAGAAAGCTTTGTTTCTTTAATTAAATCACATGCAATAGATATATAAGGAGCTTCTGTTTCTTGAAGAGCTGCATTAATATTTTCAGGCTCTTTAATTTCTTCCTTTATTCCTGATACTTTTTTTAGTGATACACTCATGGCCTCTTCATATGGTGGGGGGTTTTCAGGCTCATGTTTTATGCTTTCATAATTAACTGAAGAAGCTTCTAATGGTGATGAGCTGGGCTGTATCACGGAAGCACCAGCACTAGGAACTGCAGAATTCAATGGTGCTTCCATAACAATGTCAGGCAAAACTGGTGAAGGAGTAGCTTCTGACTCTTCAAATGATGGGCAAAGCTGTGCTGCAGGATAGAGTGACTCTTGCATAACTTCTGATGTTTGAACCAAGTCCATTTTTGTTTCATAAGCAATCTTTGTACCAGTAACTTCATTCAATTCACTTTCACATGCTTCCTGTACTAAATCTGGAGTCAGGCCTTCAGGCATGTTTGCCACGACTTCCTCAGTCACCTTTGTTAAATTATCTGTTGTGACATAATCTGTCTCAGAATCCTGTGCTGCTACAAGAAAAGGGTTTGATGTTTTGGTGCTAGTATTCTTCTCTGTTACTATTTGGGCCTTCTTTTCTTCTATTTTTTTTTCATCGGTCTTATTTTCTGAAGTAGGATCTCCTAACAAAGGAAAAATGTTTGTTGCAATGCTCTCAGTTGCTGCTGGGTTAAAGGGAGCACATGTGATATATGCTCCTGAACGATCCTTTATACCTTCTGGCGTACTGGGGAAAGAAGTATCATCATTACTACTCTCACTATCTTTTTCGTGATTAGTTTGCTCAAGGCTATCTGCAAAACATTTTTTATCCACTTTACTTTCCAAGTTGCTCTCGATTTTACCTCCAGCAGCCAACATATCACTATCTTCCTTACTATCTTTCACTTCCCATACTCGCTCAAATGGTTTGAAGTCTGCATATTCCTCCCTCATAGGAGCTTCCACTGCAACTCTCTTTTCATTAAAACTGTCTTTTGCTTTTTCTGAAGACACAACTTCATCCTCTTTAACCAATTTAGTAAGAGCTGTAGGTAACTCTTGTTGATTATGAAGGATGTTATTACTAACTAACTTCTCTTCTTCATCTTTATTTTTCACGATTATTTCTTCCCTAGGATTTGCTACTATTACGGCAGATTCTGCTTTTGGAGAGACACTGAACGATGATCCCATTTCTGAGTATTCTAATTCTGAAAACTCTGTTAAATCTCTATCTATGAGTAGAGTTTTTGCCTTCTCTGAGACCTCTTTAGAAGCTTCACTGACATTTTCTTGAAGTGTTCCTTCAGTGGGTAATACTGTTGACAAATTACCAAGGTATTCATGTTCTTTGAAAGAAGCGGCTGAGAGAGGAGACAGAGAAGGAAGAGAAGCAGCAGTTTCAAGCAGGACAGATGGGAAATCCTCTTGACCAGCCGAAATAGTGTTACCTGGCTGCTCCTTCAAGTCCATATTTTCTGTGACCATGGACAGAAAGGAAAGTTAGAGAATGCCAGTGTTCTCAGAGTTAATGCAAGTTTTATGACAGATCCAAAATAGTGTTAGTAAAGACTTACTGTTTACTAAAATGAAATGTTAATAGCAATTAATAAGTAACAATAGAGTAGACTTCAATCATTACTGAAAATATTAAGCTATTGTAAATATAACATATGCATGGCTACAGAGGCAATTACATGCTGTGCAAAGACAAATCAAGTCTGAGTAAACCTCAAATGTTATCAACTAAGATACTAATAGCTAGTTTTAGAGAAGAGAAGAATATCTGTGAAAAGAGTTTCGGTGACAGCATAGGAAAGAAGGGGCACTGGGTAAATGCCATAGACTGGTATTTATTTACAGGAAAGCCTTTCTGGCTATACTCAAACTGTATTTGGAGAAAGGGAATGGTAAATATGTAAATGTAATTCAAGGGTCCAAGAATTCCTTATGTACTTCCAAGTATTCATCAGATTTTGCTCATTTTTCCCTTGGGCATACCATATAAAATGCACATTTCAACTTTTCCAGTAGACAAAACATTCTCGGAACCATGCTAATTTTTAGTAAACCCAAACTACTCTGCATAGTGTTAACACACTAAAGAGTTAAAGTTAGAATACAGAGAGGATAAAAGGCTGGCAGAAAGAACTTGCCTGCAGAGGAGCGTATCACAGGCTCAGATGCAGCAGGAAGAGCAAAAAGGGTCTCATCTGAAAAACAAATAGAATATAACCTCAGCAGAAATAAAGACAGATTGAAAGGAGACTAAAGATAAGAGGAGCAAGCCAGGGTTCAGTTTGTAATAAGTTAACAAAAAACTTTACAGAGAAAGGGCCAAGATCAAAAGGAAGTCAGAAAAAGTAGTACCATTAATTCAGGTTAAATCATCATATGTATTATAAAGCTAATTAAATGTTATCCATAGAACCTATCATTTTTCAAGAGGCAATACAACCTGTTTATGTTAAAGAAACTTATGAATCAAAGTGGCTTTAAAATACTGTTCTACTTAACATATCACATCCCAAGCTTTCACTCAGGTTTTCACATAGGTAAATTGTCTTGTTCTATTCAGGCCAAAAACAAAAAGCTGAATTTGAATACAATTAACAACTACAAATGTTTAATCTTTTGTTATTGGCATATATTCAATTTAAAGAAACACTTTTAAAGAATTATGCATTTTCTCTTACATTCTAAGTTGTTACAGTCATTGTACATTGCTCTTTGAAGACATTAGTCCTGTGCCAATGTCCAAATGCCAGAGTCCAAAATACAAAAAAAAAAAAAATTAACTGCCTTTAGGATGACACCATTATTGGTTTTGCTTAAAATTAACCTAAGTGAGGGCTACTTGTTATTTGTATACACAACTAGTAAGTGAGAGACTAAGGCAATTCAATTCCAGAGCCCATTTCCTTAATCACTGTATGTTACAGAACTGAATGCTTATATTTCCTACAAAACTCATGTTAAAGCCCCAACCCCTAAAGTGATAGTATCTGAAGATGGGGACTTTGGGAGGTGATTAGGGTTAAATGCAGTCAGGGTGGGGCCCTGGGCCAAGGGGATTAATGCCCTTACAAGAAGAGACACCAGAGAGCTTGCTGTCATGCTCCCTGTCTCCCCAGGCACACACAAGAGGTCATGTGTGCACACAGTGAGATGGTGGTCACCTATAAGCCAGGAGAAGAGGCCTCAAAAAGAAATCTACCTTGCCAGCACCTTGATCTTAGACTTACCAGCCTCCAGAATTGTGAGAAGTAAATTTCTGTTCAGCCACCCAGCCTATGGTATTTTGTTACGGCAGCCCAAGCTAACTAATACACTCTATATTGGTAATATTAACTTTGTACAATGTCATCTTGTACCTGCAGTTGGGAGATCCTAAGCTAAAGATCTTCCATGGTTTACACTAGAGAAAGGCCTCTACCATCAGACAATTTGAAACAGCCTGAGAGATGACTGGAAGGTGATATTCCTTTAACAGAGAGAACCTAATAAATTTAGACAATTTCATCTGGATGGACAAGCTAGACAAGGCTGATCAAAACAGATAAAAATCCAAGAAATGTAGCTAACATGAATACGGACTTGTCTTCCAAGCATATTACCCTTAATGAATTAGGAGAGCTAACTTCACAAGGTCTTATATATTTTAGATAAATATATACTGGGCATGAAGTCATACTTAAAGGATTCCTAGATGAGGGTGATGACGGGAAATTTATGATGTGTGTTTAAAAGGGTTTCCTCCAACCTAGAGCACTAGGTAGGATGGGCTATCCAGTCAAAGGGGTAACATAATGGCTTATAAGATTTTTAAATAAAGTGCATATATATGTGTACACATATTTAAAAGATTACTTGCTATGTGATCTTAAATTACAGTTTCTCATTTGTAAAATGAAGGAAAGTTCCCTTCAGCTAAAATAATGAATTATTAGCTTGTATAAAACTGAAATTTGAGGGTCAAAGAGCAGAACCAAATAATTACGCAGCTGCTCCATCTAAATAACAGTTAACCAATTCTTAACAAAATGGTTGTCTTTTTTATCTAGACAATATAGTTAAAAGCCACTAATTCAGAGGCTAGTCTATCTGGAAAGTGAACTAGAAACATATATTACTGTTAAAGTTAGTGGGAAAACAAACTACATCTAAATTTGTGCCATAATTTTAAAGTATTTTTTTAATGTACTGTACTCTTATTCCTACCTAGTGCAATAATCTTTTATAATAAAAACTATATTCCTGGAATTTTTCTAAGTAAAAAAGTTTTCAAATTGGTATTTCAAAGATTCATTATGTTTAAGAAAAAAAGAAAAATCTTCATTTTGTAAAATGGGATTCGATCCAGTTACCCATAAAACAAGTACTACATTTCTAAAAGCTCTTTAAAAAAATCCAGAATAGTTAACTATCTTCTGGGACTTCAAGAATACAGTTCAGACTCCTAATAAAGCAATCACAGATCATGAAATTGAATTGCCTAAGTCCAAATCACAAATCCATCACTTACAACTGTAACTCTTAGCCTTTCTGTGCCTAATGAAACTTGTAAAATAAGGATAATAAGAGTACCCACCTAAAAATGTTGTGAAGGAGGGAGAGGGAAAGAAAAAAGAAGAAACAACTTGCCCTAAGTCACAGAACTAGGAGGCCAGAGGGTCAAAACATCTAATTCCCAAGTCTTTGTGCTTTATAATTATTATTATTTTTTGGCTAGGCTTCCTCAAAGCACGAGATGTGCTTCATCTTCTGAAGGATGTATTTATGTACAAGTGCAACTGGTGCAATCCTTCTTACTGTATCAGCCCCTCAAGTTAGTTCTCCTGAAACAAGGTAAATCGTCACCCAGTAAATACCTTGTAATTAGCAGAAATATTGCATTGATCAATTGCTTCTATTTTACAATGTAACAACATTTATAGAAACATTAATGTGGGACAGGTACTGTGCTGAGCCGGCACATTTGTTTCAGATGTTCATTCTGTTCTCAAAACTACCCTGTAAGGTAGGTACTACTGTTACCCCCATTTCACATACGAGAAAAGAGGCATTTAAATCATATCTAATTACAATACTACAAAAAACCTGCATTTTAAAACCATAGAACTTCTGCTTCTGGCTATGAGAGTAATTACAACAGACTAATTCTTCCAATATAAGCAACTAAAAATATGGGCAAAATACTAGAAGCAACTATCTTGAGACACTGGACAAGAGGCAGGACAGCAGTGTGAATCCTGAGAAAAGGGAAACCTGCAAGATGACTACGCTGCTTTCTGTCTGAAGGCACATTCTGGTCTACAGTACAGAGAGAAGCCTAAGAATACCGCACTCTTGCTAAGCTGAGGAGGCTGAGGAGTTGTCTGGAATTTGTGAGACAGGGTAACATACAAAGTAAAGCCTCACAGAAAAGGAGCTCCAAAAATCTGGATAGGGGTTCCTCTTAAACCTCTGGGTGAATACTACGCTGCATGTGCACAGCACAAGACTCGGCAAGGCCTAGCCAAGAAACCTATGGTAGAGCTGCAAATTAACTGGATTATATCGAAGGTCAGAAAGTGCTGAAGACCTGATCTAAAAATTCTGACCAGTCAGAAAGGAAAGATCTCTCTAAACACCTCAAGCAGGACTACTCTAAGCCTAAAGGATACTCTAGACCAAGAGTCAGCAAACCATGGCTCATGAGCCCATATTGTATTGGAACACAGCCACGCCCATTCACTTCTGTGCTGTCTATAACTACTTTTGCACAATAAAAACAGAGACGAACAGTTTAGACAAAGGCTGTATGGCCCACAAGCCTAAACTATTTACTCTAACTGGCCCTGTAAGTCTGCAGACCCCTACCTCTAGACCCACCCTAACTTTAAAATCAAAACTTGAAAGGATCAAAATGATTTTCCAGCAAATTAACTGCCTGCCAGAACAAAGTTAAAACCACCAAATCCATGACATGCAGTATAAAATAAATTAATGGACATGCAAAGCAGCAAGAAAATATGACCATAAATAAGAAAGAATAGCAAATATAAACAAACAAATAACGTAGACGTTGGATTCGCACTTTTTTTTTTTTGAGGCGGAGTCTTGCTCTGTCACCCAGGCTGGAGTACAGCGGGGCTATCTTGGCTCACTGCAACCTCCACCTCCCAGGTTCAAGCAATTATCCCACCTCAGCCTCTGAGTAGCTGGGATTACAGGTGTCTGCCATCACACCAAGCTAATTTTTGTGTTTTTAGTAGAGACGGGGTTCACTACGTTGGCCAAGCTGGTCTCAAACTCCTGACCTCAAGTGATCCGCCAGCCTCAGCTTCCCAAAGTGCTGGAATTACAAGTGTGAACTAACACACCTGGCCTGGATTAGCAAATATTAAAATGAAAATTAAAATAGCTATTAAGATATTAAGTACAGAAAAAGACAGACATATAGAGTAGACAGGGAATCTTGGTGGAGAAATATAGACTAAAGGACCAAATGGAGATGCTAGAATTGTAAATTATATTAACTGAAAATAATCACTAGATGAGCTTAAAGGCAGATTAGACAATACAGAAAAAAAGATTTATTGATAAACAAACTTAAAAAACAACAACAGAAAGTATCCAAACTGAAACACAACAAGGGAAAAGGGCAAGTGAAAAAAGGAACAGAGCCTCAGTGCTGAGAGACAATCAAGGAGTTAAAATACCTATAATTGCAGTCCCCTTAAAAAAAGCAACAGTGGCCAGGCATGGGAGCTCATGCCTGTAACCCCAACACTTTAGGAGGCCAAAGTGGGAGGACCACTTGAGGCCAGGAGTTGGGACACCAGTTTGGACAACACAGTGAGACCCTATCTCTACAAAAAACTTAAAAATTAGCCGGTGTAGTGGTGCACACGTGCAGTTCTAGCAACTCAGGAGGCTGAGATGGGAGGATCACTCAAGCCCAGGAGTTTGAGGCTGTAACAAGCCATGATCACGCCACTGCACTCCACCCTGGACAACACAGTTAAGACCCTGTCTCTTTAAAAAAGACTGAAGAAGTTAAAAAAAAAAAAAAAGAAAAAATGGCCTAAAATTGGACAGAAGTTGGCATTTTGAAAATACCAACCAACAGAGCCACAAAGCTCAATGTACTCCAAGCAGAATAAACACAACACCACAAAAAGGCACACCATAAGGGTCAAACTGAAAATCAAAGATAGAGACAACCCTAAAAACAGTCAGAGGAAAAAAGCAGGTAAACAACAATAAGAATGACCTCACCTCTCATTGATGTAATCCAAAAGGTAATGAACGCCTTTAAAGTTATGAAAAAACTGACAATCTAAAATTATATACAGATGATCCTCATTATTCATGGATTCCTTATTTGCTCATTTACCTGCTCACTAAATTTGTAGCCCCAAAATCCATACTTGCAGCACTTTCAGGACATGCAATGAGCAGAGCAGGCAAACCAGAGCGGGTCATCCAAAGTACAAGTTCCCAGCTGAGATGGAACAAGGTAACCCTACCGCCTTCTTGTTTCAGCTCTGCCACTGACTTCCCTGTTTCATATGGCCCTTAAGCACAGCGCTGACATGGTATCGAGTGTTTTTAACCACAAGAAGGCTATGATGTGCCTTACAGAGAAAACATATGTTAGATAATCTTCCTTCAGGCATAAATTATAGTGTTCTTGGCCATGAGTTCAATGTTAATGAATCAATAATACATATTAAATAAGATGTCTTTATTTTTTAATTGATATATAACAGTTGTTTTATATTTTGGTAGTACATATGATATTTTGATACCTATATGCAATGTGTAATGATCAAGTCAGAGTGACTGGGTTATATATCACCTCAAACATTTTTCTTTTCTTTGTGTTAGAAACATTACAATTCTTCTAGCTATTCTGAAATATAGAATAAATCATTAACTATAATTTCTCTACTGTACTATCAAATACTAGAACTTATTCCTTCTATCCAACTGTATTTTTGTACCCCAGGTGGCTTTAAATAGAAAAACACATAAAACAAGGTAATATACTGATTGGTTAACAAAAATATTATGACAAGAGGCTTACAGGAGCCAAGTCTGTATTTCCCCTAAGAACAATGATTCAGTATTTGCTAATTCCCTGTTTTTGGTGGCTATACAGAACATAGTGACAGCTTAAAAAAACAGAATTGGCTGTATTATTCAAAACATATTTTTTTAAATAACCAGGCATGGTGGCTCACACCTGTAATCTCAGGACCGTAGGAGGCTGGGGTAGGAGGATTGCTTGAGCCCTGGGGTACGAGACCAGCCCAGGCAACAAAGTGAGACCCCAACTCTCCAAAAAAATTAAAACATTAGCCAGGCACGGTAGCGTGTGCCTATAGTCCCACCTACTTGGGAGGCTGAGGTGGGAGGATCACTTGAGCCCAGGAGTTTGAGGCTGCAGTGGGTTATGATCAGGCCACTGGACTCCAGCCTGGGCAACAGAGTAAGACCTTATCTCTAAACGAACAAACAAAATATATAGAAAAAGTAAAGATTAATAAAGGTATCTTCAGATAAAAGCTGAAAACAGAAGCTGAAAGAATTTGTCACTAAGACACCTACAATACAAGAAATGTTAAATCAAGTTCTTCAGACTGAGAGAAAATGATATGAGATGTAAACTTTGATCTTTATGTAGGAATAAAGAATGGCAAAAATGGTAAATATATATGTAGATGTTGAATATACAGGTAGATGTTAATTTTTCTCATTTCTTAGTTTCTTCAAAGAATAACTTTCTGAAGCACAAATTATCACAAAATACAATAACTATAATACATTTAGAAGCAAAACTTATGACAATAAAAGCACAAAGGATGAAAATAGTATATGAAAGTATGTTTTATTACATGTGAAACATGTAAGGTGGTATAATATTCTTGCTATTTTATGATAAATTGAGAATGCATTCTGTAATCCCTAGAACAGCCTCTTAAAAAATAAAGAGGTACAGCTAAAACCCCAACAGAGGAGATAAATCTGAATATTATAAAATCCTTGATTAATCCAGAAGAAGAAACAAAAGAAGAAAATCAAAGAACCCAAAAAGCAGATGGGACAAAGAAAAAACAAAGACACACAACCACACACTATCAGTTAGGATACAGATGATTTAGGCCCCACTACCAATGAGCTAAACTGACTTTTATGGAACACTACAACCAACAATATAATACACATTCTTCTCAAGTACATATGGAACATTCACCAAGATAAAACATTTCCTGGGCTACAAAACAATCTCAATCTAAAACAAGTGAAATCATGCAGTCTATGTTCTACAATGAATTAAATCACCTAAAATATCCTCAAATGTTTAAAAACGAAACTACAGAATTCTAAATAATCCATGAATCAAAGAAAATAGGGGGAAAATTAAAGAAATTCTGAATCAAATGATCATGAAAATGTGTGGGATGCAGCAAAGTAATGCTTAGAGAGAAATGTATAGCTTTTAAATGCTTTTAGAAAAAAGGCTTAAAATCGAAGTGTAAAGCTTCCACTTTAAAAGAGCAAGTTAAATCCAAACAAGTAAAAGAAAATAAGTAGTAAAGAGCAGAAACCAATGATAGAAAACAGATTAAAAAAAAAAATCAATGAAACAAAAAGTTGCTTCCCTGAAAAGATCAACAGAATTGATAATCAACTAAAATGATCAAGACAGAGACTGAGAGACAGAGAGAGGAAGCAAGTATTGAAAATAAAAGAGGGACTGTTACTGTAGGTCCTAAAAACGTAAGAGAATATTATGCACACATTTATGACAATAAATTAGACAACTTAGATGAGTAGACAACTTCCTTGATGTCTACTTATCAAAATGAAAGACAAGTTTCTTTATACCCAGTCATCAAAATGAAATAGATGCATTCCTTGAAAGACACAAATCACCAAAACTGACACAAGCAGAAATCAAAAATCAGAATAGTCCTATGTGACTATACTTGTAACTTAAAACCCCCACGAAGAAAACTAATATAAAACATCTAATGAATAGTACCAACCTTACACAAACTCTTTGAGCATATAAAGGAAAAGCAAACACTTCCCATAAAATTTTTATAGATTTATGCATTAATACCAAAACCAGACAAGGATATAACACGAAAATTAAAATTAATTTATATAACAATATTCCTCATAACCACACATGCAAAAAATCTTCAATAAAATAGTAGCAGATTGAATCCAGCAACTCATAGAAAGTATAATCATCACCAAATGGGGTTTAATTCCAGGAAGGTGAGGTTGGTTTAACATTCAAAATCAAACAATAGGTCGCACGCAGTGGCTCATGCCTGTAATCCCAGCACTTTGGGAGGCTGAGGTGGGCAGATCACTTGAGGCCAAGAGTTTGAGACCAGCCTGGCCAACATGGTAAGACCCTGTCTCTACTAAAAATACAAAAATCACCCAGGTGTGGTGGCGTGCACCTGTAGTCCCAGCTACTCAGGAGGCTGAGGCACAAGAAACGCTTGAAACCAGGAGGCAGAGGTTGCAGTGAGCCAATATCGTGCCACTGCACTCCAGCCCAGGCAACAGAGCAAGACTGTCTCAAAAAAAAAAAAAAAAAAAAAAAAATTAAAAAAATTTAAAAAGTTTTTTTAAATCATATAATGAAATTCACTATAGTAACAACAGCCCGAAAAGGAAAAACCATATGATCATCTCAACAAATGTCAAAAACTTATCTGACAAATTTCAACACCTGTTATCATAAAAACTATCAGCAAACTAGGAATAGAAGGAAGCTTTCTCAACCTAAGAGTCAGGATATCTAGGAAAAATATGCAGCTAACATCATACTTAAAGGTGAAAGACTAATGCATTCACTCAAGATTCTGTGTTAAACAAGCAATCTACCAGGCTTCTCGTAAAGATCTGAAGAGAAAAGTAAAACTATCTTAACTTACAGACAACAGGACTGTATAGTTGGAAAATCCTAAGGATTCAAAATAAAATAACCCTACCAAAGCTAGTAGTGAATTTATAAGGATACAGGATAGATGCAAAGACAGTACACAAAACTTAACTCTATTTCCATACAGTAGCAACAAAGAGAAAATGAAAATATTTTCTAAATATCACTCACTGTAACAAAAAAACATAAAATATTTAGGCATAAATTTGACAAGAGATGCACAAAACTGCTATACTGAAACACACTGCTGAGAGAAATTACAGATGATCTAAACAACAGAGATATCACATTCATGGGTTGAAAGATATAATATTGTTGAGTGTCAGGAAACAGTTCTCTATGAGTATATTGTGTTTTTACACATCTTCCCTTTGTTCCTATCTTTTAAAAACATTTGTATTGTGAACAGCCTTGGAAAACAGGGACAGTTTCTTCTTCTTCAGCAACTAGCAGCCATGCTTATTATATGACACAAAAGATTTGTTTCCCTAAGCTTAAGATTTCTGTCTATAATACAACCTGCTACAGGTGCAGATCTCACTCAGCCATCTCAGTGTTGCTCCATGTGAAATGGAGCTGAGGGAACTGGCACAAGAAAATGCTAATATTCTGGCTACTGTCATTGCTGTGAGTAATAAAGTCCTCTGCCTCTGACCCAGGCATCTTATATCCTCTGCCAGCATCCATGAAACTATGACAGGCTAACTTGTTACCTTTGAAGTAGTGTAAAATCTCAAATCCTAAGACGTCACTTATCCCCCCTACTAATCTCTAGATTCAATGCAATCCCAATCAAATTCATAACAGGCATTTTATAGAAATGAACAAGCTGATTCTGAAATTTATGCAGAAATACTAAGGGACCTAGAAGACACAAAACAATTTTGAAAAAAGATCAAACTTGCAGTCATACTACTTAATTTTACGACTTGCTATAAAACTACAATAATCAAGTATTGGCATAAGGATAGACAAATCAGTAGAACAAAATAGATATATATAAATAGACACACTTCATATGGTCAATTTCTTTTCCCAAAGGCACCAAAGCAATTCAATAGAAAGAGAAAAATATTTTCAAAAAACTCTGCTGGGAAAACTGCTTATTATATGTATGGAAAAGAAACAAATAAATCTGGATCTATGGTAACTCATACCATAGACAAAAACTACCTCAAAACGGATCAAGACAAACAAAAGCTAAAACTATCAAGCTTCTAGAAGAAACCAAAGTGTCTTCACAATCCTGGAAGGAGGCAAAGATGTCTTAGACATCACAAAGAAAGCACTAACCATGAAAGAAAAAGTAATTATGACTTCTCAAAATTAAAAATTTATACTCATCAAAAGAATCAATAAAATTAATAGGCAAGCTACAGACTAGGAGAATATATTCACAACACATGTATCAGACCAAAGATTTGTATTCATAATATATAGAGAGAACTCTTACAAATATGTAGGAAAAAAAAAGGCATACAACACAATTTAAGAATGGGCAAATTACTTGAACAGACACTTCACCAAAGAAAACACACACAAAGGACATGTAAAAGTCCTCTAATTCATTAGTCCCTAGGGAAATCTAGATTAAGACCACAATGAGGAACCACTACATAACCACTAAAATGGTTAGAATTTAAAAAACTGACAATATCAAATGTTGGTGAAAACGTAAAGCCACCAGAATTCTCACACATTGCTGGTGGAAGTGGTTGGGGGAACAGTTAAGCAACTTCTTATAAAGTTAAATATATAGTTACCCCATGACTCAGCAATTCTACTCTCAAGTATTTACCTAAGAGAAATGAAAATATATGCATACAAAAATGTCTATGTAAGAATGTTCACAGCATTTTGTTCATAGTAGCCA